>NC_000016.10:19092546-19395576 GCF_000001405.40 Homo sapiens
CCTTGACAGGTAGAGAGGTTTGGAAGGATGATCCTCAACTCGTTGGAGTCATTGTGTCTCCCTTTCAGATCCACAGCAGTTAGTAATGATTTCACTTATAGGTCAGAAGGACCATGGACCTATTTGAGGCATTTGGAGATTTATCATATGTGAAATTAGGAAATTGAAAGTTATTGGGATTGATCAAAGCACATGAACATAAAATATACTTCACATCTCCATACTTCTTAAGGTGATGAAGAAGGGTGTGGCTGATGATATTGTTTGTTGAGGGATCTGATAGTGTCCAAAGAAAAATTATCTGCAATTTTCTTTTCCCTTCCTTCCTTCTTTCCTTCCTTCTTTCCTTCCTTCCTTCCCTCCTCCCTCCCTCTTTTCTTTTCTCATTTCTTTTCTTTTCCCTCCCTCCCTCTTTCTTTCTTTCCTTCCTTCCCTCCTCCCTCCCTCTTTTCTTTTCTCATTTCTTTTCCCTCCCTCCCTCCCTTCCTTTCTTTCTTTCTTTTTCTTTCTTTCCTTCCTTCCTTCCTTCTCTTTCTTTCCTTCCTTCCTTCCTTCTCTCTTTCTTTCTTTCTTTTCTTTCCTTTCTTTTTCTTTCTCTTTCCTTCCTGCTTTTATTTCTTCTCTCTGTCTCTCTCTGTCTCTGTCTCTGTCTCTCTCTCTCTCCTGTTGCCTAGGCTGGAGTTTAGCTCACTGCAACCTCTGCCTCCTGGGTTCAAGCAATTCTCCTCCCTCAGCCTTCTGAGTAGCTGGGACTACAGGCTTTAGAACTGGCGGCTTTATAAGAAGAGAAAGAGAGATCTGAGCTAGCACACTCAACCCCCTTGCTCTGTGATGCCCTGTGCCATCTCGGGACTCTGCAGAGGGTCCCCACCAGCAAGAAGGCCTTCACCAGAGCGGCCCCTTAACCTTGGACTTCCCAGCCTCCATAACTGTAAGTAATAAATTATTTTCCTTGTAAATTACCCAGTTTCAGGTATTCTGTAATAAGCAACAGAAAATGGACAAAGACAATCACTATTTTTTGAATCAATGAATATTGAATGAATTATCTATAATAAACAGAAATACCTGTTAGGTGAACAAAAGTCACAGAGTAGGACAAGGATCATTCTGTTAAAATAACTCTGAGTAAACATAGCTGCCTGCCTTTTCCATCCCTCTGTGTGGTTAAGATAAGCTGTGCCTAGTTTGGGCTTTGAGTTTTCACTCATGCAAAGTGAACACTGGCTTCCTACTGGGCATGGTGTGGACTGGAGATCCCAGGTGATTGACAAAGTGGATATTGTTCAAAACCTCCTAAAACATGCAGGTGTTGAGGTGGTCCTTCATGCAGGGTCAGAAATGAAACACATCAAATTAAACCTCAGGTGGCTTTGCAGAAGAAATGGAAGGTAGATTATGTGCTCCGCACAGCCCTGACACGAGGGCAGGGCTGACGATCCATCACTTTTAAGCGCACGGTGTGGCGTAGATCACCTCCAGCTGCAGGAAAAAAAGGCTGACCTTTAGATAGGGCTATAAAAAGAGAGCCAAATTCACTCCTTCTTTGCTCACAAAGTGCCCTCAACAAAGGAGGAAAAATGAAGGACCTCTGTGTCCAAGAGCCAGGTACACAAAGGCGACTCGGCATTTTGTCAAGCTGATGGTCAGAGCATGAAGTGACAAAGAAGGTGGCTAGGCTTGGGGGAGCCTTATGTGTCTAGGTGAGAAGCTGCCAGTGTGACTGTCAGCAGAGAGGAGCATCTTGTTAGTGCCAATCTTGCAGCACGATCAGGTGAGCAGGGAGGTGGTTTAGAAAAGCTGCTCAAGAGGTTCCGGAGCAAGGAGTCCCAGATCACTGGGAAGTTAGCTTTTTTAATTTTTTTTTTTTTTTTTTTGAGACAGGGTCTCGCTGCATCCCGGAGGCTGGAGTGTAGTGGCGTGATCATGGCTCACTGCATCCTCAACCTCCTGGGCTCGAGTAATTTTCCTGCCTCAGCCTCCCGAATGGCTGGGACTACTGGTGGGCACAACCATGCCTAGCTATTTTTTTTTTTTTTGTAGACAGGGTCTCACTATGTTGCCCAGGTTGGTCTCAAACTCCTGGGCTCAAGTGATCCTGCTATCTCAGCCTCCCAAAGTTCTGGGATTACAGGTGAGAGCCACCATGCCCAGCCCGAGGTTAGTTAGCTTCTGAGGATTTAGAAGTTACATCCACATTTCCATGAATTCAACGGGTTGGGGTAGGTTGAAGGATATTATGCCCTCTAGCAAGAGTATTTGAAACTGCAATGGACTCCAATATTTCTAAGCGAGAGTTATTGAAGGTTTCAGAGTAAGAGACCTGTTCATTCTCTCCATCTCTTTCCATGTGGAGCTGAGGTCGGGGGAGGTTCCAAGGTCAGCCAGGATGGTGAAAATCACTATTGTCAAAGACGCCCTTGAGTACAGAGTCTCCCAAGAACTCCATACACATAGTTTATTTTTTCCCAGGGCCGGAACACATCGCTGCATTTCTTCAGTTGAGCTCTATCAAAAGTAAAACCTTAGACAAATTAAATTTAACAGAGTTGAATTGAGCAAAGAAAGATTCATGAATTGGGCAGCCCTTGAAACAGAATAGGTTCAGGGAGACTCTGGTGCAGCCACGTGGTCAAAGAAGATGTATGGACAGAGAAAGGAAAGTGAAAACGGAAGTGAGGTACAGAAACAGCTGGATTGGTTACAGCTCAGTGTTTGCTTTATTTGATACGGCTTGAACAGTTGGCCTTCTGTGATTGGGCAAAACTCGGTGATTGGCACATGAGTAGTTTATGGTCTGTTTATACCTCCAGTTAGGTTACAGTCCATTATGGATGGAGAAACCTTTACACAGAACTAAAAATATGTTAGGAGGCAGCTTTAGGTTAAGCTTAATTTAACAGCTCTGTAAGACATTGTTTCTAGGGATGATGTTGAAGGAAAATAGAAATCTTTATTATTATTATTTTTTGTTTTGTTTTTGAGACGAAGTCTCACTTTATTGCTCAGGCTGGAGTGCAGTGGCGCGATCTCGGCTCACTATAACCTCCACCTCCCGGGTTCAAGCGATTGTCCTGCCTCAGCCTCCCAAGTAGCTGGGATTACAGGCACGCACCACCATGCCTGGCTAATTTTTGTATTTTCAGTAGAGACGAGGTTTTAGCATGTCGGCCAGCTAGTCTTGAACTCCTGACCTCAAGTGACCTGCCCACCTTGGCCTCCCAAAGTGGCTTTAGGCTAAACTTAATTTAATAGTTCTGTAAGACATTTGTTTCTAGGGATGACGTTGAAGGAAAATAGAAATCTTTAAACATGAGTCATACCCAGCAGGTGGGGAAACTGGCCTAGCCTGAGGGGCCAACAGCCAATTTCAGTTCCCTTCTCACAGGCCTTTCAAAGATTCACAGGTAGATGGACTCCCCGGCAATGTTTGTGACTTTCACATTCTTCCATATTCTCCCTCTCTCTCTCTCCCTCTTTTTTTTTTTTTTTTTTTTTTTTTGGTGAGATAGAGTCTTGCTCTGTCACCCAGGCTGGAATGCAGTGGTGTGATCTCGGCTCACTGCAACCTCTGCCTCCCAAGTTCAAGCAATTCTCCCGCCTCAGCCTCCTGAGTAGCTGGAATTACAGGCGCCCACCACCACGCCTGGCTAATTTTTGTATTTTTAGTACAGACAGGGTTTCACCATGTGGGCCAGGCTGGTCTCGAACTCCTGACCTCAAGTGATTTACTCACCTCAGCCTCTCAAAGTGCTGGGGTTACAGGTGTGAGTCACCGCGCCCAGCCTCCCACTCCTTTCTCGCTCTGTCCTCTTTCTGCCATATACTTATAGCTGAATTCACATAAATTAAAAGTGTCCCTAATTTGACTTTACTATATTCCAGACATCGACAATGTCCGTCCATTTTCATATGTTCCATTTTCATTTCTAAGTATTTTCTTCTGAAGAGTCTTAGAGGTACAAATTACCAAATTGTAAACATTGTAGGCTGGGCGTGGTGGCTTCTGCCTATAATCCCAGTACTTTGGGAGGGTAAGGCGGTTGAGGGGATGCGGGGGTGTTACTTGAAGCCCAGAGTTAGAGACCGGCCTGGGCAACATAGCCCAGACCTAATCTCTACAAAAAATAAAATAAAATAAATTGAGGTGGGAGGATTTCTTGAGTCCAGGAGTTCGAGACCAGCTTGGGCAACATAGCAAGACCCCATCTCTAAGAAAACAAAAAACAAAGAGCATTGCGTTTAGGTGTCATTGGATTTTGTGATGAGGCTTCTCTGTTTCACCCTAAGGGAAAAACTGGAAGCGATTTGGTTACCCATGGAGGCATTAACATAGCACGAAAAAAAGTGACCGATATTCCAAACCAGCCACCTTTTCCAGATCAGAAGGTTCCAGTTAACCTGCTCATCATTAAATTAGTATGCTACAAGGCCAGGGGGTGGCTCACCCCTCTAATCCCAGTACTTTGGGAGGCCGAGGCGGGTGGATCACTTGAGGTCAGGAGTTCGAGACCAGCCTGGCCAACATGGCGGAACCCTATCTCTCCTAAAAGTACAAAAATTAGCTGGGTGTGGTGGCACATGCCTATAATCCCAGCTACTCAGGAGGCTGAGGCAGGAGAATCCCTTGAACCTGGGAGGTGGAGGTTGCAGTGAGCTGAGATCAAGCCACGGCACTCCAGCGTGGGCAACAGAGTGAGACTCTATCTCAAAAAACAAACAAGCAAACAAAAATGAGTATGTGACAACTCTTCTTGCATCTTTTCTGAAAATTCCTGCAGTCTTATCCCATATCTGCTGAAGGCAAAAGCAGACACTTGTGTGAAACTCAACTTCAGCACCATCTTCTGTGAAACCCAACTTCAGCACCATCTTCTTTTTTTTTTTCTCTTAAGACAGAGTCTTGCTCTGTTGCCCAGGCTGGAGTGTAGTGATGTGATCACAGCTCACTGTAGCCTCAACCTCTTGGTCTCAAGTGATCCTCCCACCTCACATCCAGCTAATTTTTAAATTTTTGTGAAGAGAAAAAAATTTGCCCAGGCTGGTCTCAAACTCCTGGGCTCAAGCGATCCTCCCACCTAGGTCTCCCAAAGTGCTGAGATTTACAGGTGTGTGTCAATTTCAGGTCTGACTGGATCCAGAAGTTCCAGTGAAGCCGATTTCTATCTCTAGTCTTTGTGATCCTTTCCTCTCCAGCAAGGCTTTTCCTTGCCATGACAAGACACCTGGCAGCATCTCCAGGCTTACTCAACCAGTACCCTTGATGGGAAAAGGGCTTTTCTTTCTTAATTTTCCAGCAAAAGCCTCAAGATTGACTCTGGAGTAAATTGCACATGGCCTCAAATTCTTTGCAGCTCCTTCCACTATGAGGTGGCATGTATTACTCCAATCCCTGCATCTGGGCTGGATTTGTGACTTGTTTTGAACAATAGAATGTGGTAAAAGTGACAGTGAAAATATATGAGTTTCAAGCCTAAGACAACATGCTTTTCAGCCTTTGCTCTGGATTTCTTTGAATGCTGCTGTCACATAAACAAGACTGAAATAGCCTACTAGAGGATGGGAAATTACATGGAGCAGAGACAAGCAGTCCCAGGTGTGGAACCCCTAGACCAGCCAGCTTACCAACCACCAGACATGAGAGTGAGACCATCCTAGATCACTCAGCTCCAGCCAAGCCACCAAGAGACCACACAGATCAGCTGAATTGGCCTAGGCCAGACGAACCACTCTGCCAACCCACAGAATTACTAAAAATAATAAATATTTGTTAGTGAAGACTTCAAGTTTGGGGATGTTTGTTATGCAGCAGAAGCTAACTGATACTCTCTTATTGGGTCAGCTTGGATCACTTTCCCACTCTGAAACACACAGTGAGCAGAGGGGTAGTGGACAGGCCTAGGCCATGTGTTTTTTCCTGGAGTTGGCCATTGGGGCCAGATCAATGAACTGAGAACTGGGGAGGTGTGGAGAAAAATCAGGGTGCTGTCACCAGAAAAAGGGAGAAAGAATGCCAAAGAGAATGAAACAAGAGACATCCACTGGAGTATTCTAACCCCATAATAGTAATTGATGAAAGTTTGAATTTATGGTCTCAATTCTAGTTCTCATTTGTAAAATAGACCCAAAGACAGTGCCACCCACTTTGATATTCAATTCAAAGAATCCTTATGATGTAGAAGTAAGGGCACTGGTGTGGGAGTCAGGTGGAACTGAGTTCAAGTTTTGGTTCCATCTGCCCATATTTGGATGCACACAGACACATTTTAGAATCCTTCTGAATTTCAGTTTCCTCATCTGTAAAATGGGTGATGATGTTAATACTGACCTTAAAAATTGGCCATGACACTTTGGGGGGCCAAGGCAGGAGGATCGCATGAGTCAAGGAGTTCAAGACCAGCCTGGGCAACATGGTGAGACCCCTGTGTCTACAGAACGTTAAAAAATTAGCTGGACATGATGGCATGCACCTGCAGTCCCAACTAGTTGGGAACCTGAGGTGGAAGTATCACTTGAGCCCAGGAGGTCGAAGCTGCAGTTAGCTGTGTTTGTGCCACTGCACTCCAGCCTGGGTGACAGAGCAAGACTCTGTCTCAAAACAAAAAAAACAAAACAACAACAACAAAAAAAAACAAAACAACAACAACAAAAAAAACTGGCTATGAGTTTTAGTAATAATGCATATGCAAAGCACAGCACTTGACACATAGCAAGGGCTTGAGAATGTGGACAACTGTTAAGCATGAGTTGAATCATGAACTGTGGATGCACCCATGTGCCAAGAAATCAGGTCTCAGTAAGTAGGTGACAGAATTTGCCACTGTGCCTATCTAGAGAGCAGGAAATATGATGGTTCAGGGCTTCTCTGCTGTGTTTCCATCCACTGCTGCAGAGTCTTTTCTTCCTTCTCCACCAGAAATATGCAAACGTCAAGTGATCCTTTCTTTAGGCATCAAAACACACAGGATCCTCTTGGCTTTGGGAATATAAAAGAGTCATTCTTTTTCTCCTTAGGATGAAACTGATGGAGGATTACTTGCAATAAAGGGAATCCTGGACGGGACATGGTTCTGTTCCTGCTGGTTGGGAGGTCGTGACAACTATGTCTATGGACACATAGTCACAGGTTGTGTGTGGCTGGGCTATAGTTTAGGGACATCTGTCTAACCATCCATGTATTTAGTAATGACTTAGTGACTTCTGGTGTGTTGATGCAGGTTTTTCTTTCCCTCAATGTTTTAGATTTCATGAAGCATTAAAATTAATTCAACAATTATTTATATATTGAGTGACTATCTATGCCAGGCACTGGATAGGTAACAAGGAACAAAGCAGACAAAAGCCCTGTCCACATTTTTGAGTGGCAGAAGGTAAAGTATTTGAGGGATTAACCTAGAATTGCCAACTTTTCATTTTACTAAGTTAGGACTTAAGGAGAGAAGAGAAGCTGCTTTGACTGTCATTAGTATCAGTTTTCCCCTAGAAGAAAATGGTTATTTTCATGTCCAACAGAGTGGAAGTATATATTCTTATTTTTTTTAGTGGCTTAAAACAATAAACATTTATTATCTCACGCAGTTTTTGTGGGTCAGAAGCCTAGAAGCAGCTTCACTGAGTGGCTCTAGCTCAAGATCTCTCATGAAGTTGCAGTCAAGATCTCAGCTGAGGCTGCATTATCTGAAGGCTTGACTGAGGCTGGCAGAAGTGATTCCAGTATGGCTCAGCACACACCGAGCACGTTAGTGCTGATTGTTGGCAGGCAGCTTCAGTTTTTCAGCATGTGGGCCTCCTCACAGGGGTCCTTGAGTGCCCTCACAACAGGACAGCTGTCTTCTTCTGGAGCAAATTATCCAAAAAGAACAGATTTTTGAAATAACTATACTGAAACCACATCCCATACAGATTTAAATTATTGGGATTCAGCTACCCAAACAAAAATGCTCTGGGGTGGGAAGAGAATGCTTTATTTTATGTATGTGTGTATGTATGTATGTATGTATAGATAGATAGATTCTCACTCTGTCATCCAGGCTTGAGTGCAGTGGTGCAATCACAGCTCACTGCAGCCTCAACCTCCTGGGCTCAAGGGATCCTCCCACCTCAGCCTCCTGAGTAGCTGGGATTCCAGGCACACACCACTGCACCCAGCTAATTTTTGTATTTTTTTGTAGAGACAGGTTCTGCCATGTTGCTTAGGTTGGTCTCAAACTCCTGAGCTCAAGTGATCTTCCTGCCTTGGCCTCCCAAAGTGATGGGATTACAGGCTTGAGCCACCACACCCAGCCGCAAACGCTTTGAATAGTGTTGGCAATCTCCCTCATCTTTTTACTGATGTAAAGGGATCATGTCCCTCAATATTTGCTTTTTTTTCTTTTTTATGCTAATGAAACACTTACATTTAGCAGGACACATGGAATCCAGGATAGACTACATTTCCCAGTCTCCATTGCTGGTCTGACATTATCTTACATTGTGAGCATCACACTTTGCTGAGTGTTTAAAGGTATATATTATTCACACAACTTGGCTCCTAAACTCAAACCAACTTCTTCATCAAATGCTCAACTGATCATTCTCCCTTAACATTATATTTACATTTTTCCCCAAACAGAGAGAAATGGAAGGAACTGTGTAGTGAACACCCATATACCCACA
Organism: Homo sapiens; assembly: GCF_000001405.40. Taxonomy (NCBI): domain Eukaryota; kingdom Metazoa; phylum Chordata; class Mammalia; order Primates; family Hominidae; genus Homo; species Homo sapiens. Next base: position 19,101,202 of record NC_000016.10, read on the forward strand.
ACCTAGATTCTACCATTAACGTTGAACTCAACTGGCCTTATCTCATGTCGATTCCTTTATCCACCCCCTCTCCACTCATCAATTCATCTTATTTTTTGATGCATGTTAAAAGCAATTGTTGAGGTCAGTATACTTCACCCGTAACCCCTTCAGCATGCACATCACTCGCTAGAATCCAATACGTGTTTATGATTTTTTGAGATCAAATCTAGATACCGTGAAACACACAAGTCTAAAGTGGACCATTCAATAAGTTTTGACAAATTGTAATTCAAACTCCTACACTGATAGAACAAAGGTAATTTGAAGTAAATACACATTTTATTTTCTATGTGCTGACTTAGAAATGTCCCTGACCTGTAAGATGAGACTCCACTGTAAATTGAGCTTTACAAAAAAAAAAATCCCATCATATGTCTTATTTTGTTCCTCTTGCCTCAAACCATGGAAAAAAAGCATCAGACATTTATTTGGAAAAACTTTCTTGAAGCAGTGTTTAGGGTGATTAAAGGTATAATGTAGGAAGCATAGGTTTGAATCTGGCTGCCTGATCTCATACAATGTATGTATCCTGGCTATGCCTTAGTTTCCCTGTCTGCAAAATGGGGATAAAGATAGAACCTACGGCCAGCAAGGTGGCTCATGCCTATAATCCCAGCACTTTGAGAGGCAAGGTAGGAGGATCACTTGAGTTCAGGAGTTTGAGACCAGTCTGAGCAACAGCGTGAGGCCTCTTCTCTTTAAAAAATTAAAAAATTAGTGGGGAGTGGTGGTGCATGTCCATAAAGTTGTTCTTTTTTTTTTTTTTTTTTTTTTGAGATAGAGTCTCGCTCTGTTGCCCAGGGTGGAGTGCAGTGGTGTGATGTCAGCTCACTGCAACCTGCACCTCCCAGTTCAAGTGATTCTCCTGCCTCAGTCTCCTGAATAGCTGGGATTACAGGCGCACGCCACAATGCCTGGCTAATTTTTGTATATTTAGTAGAGATGGGGTTTCACCATGTTAGTCAGGCTGGTCTTGAACTCCCGGCCTCGTGATCTGCCCGCCTAGGCCTCCCAAAGTGCTGGGATTACGTGTGAGCCACCGCACCTGGCCCATAACGTTGTTCTTTGCCGGGAGGGCTGAATGAGTTAAATCAAGTGCCTAATTAGAACACTGCCTGTCCCCTAGTAAATGTTCAAGACAGCTGGCTCTCATCACCACAATGCTAGCAGGAGACCAGGAAGAGGGGGTCTTGTGTTTGACATGTTAACTTTGTAGACAACGGCTTTCTGCCCTCGGTAGCTTTATGTCCTACTCACATCTGAGTTTCTTTGGTCCCGTTGGCCCTCCAGGCAGAAATTTAATGACTGTCAAAATTCTCACCATGACATCACCAGACAATGTCAGCGGGAAGTCGGCGTCCATAAAATGACTCGAACTAGAAGAACTGGACCAGGTGGGGGATCGGGTTCTCAGTCTTTAATTGTGTTGGCTTTATAGTGTAAATCTCATGGCCTTGGAGTTAATATCGTACCAGTTTATTGGCACCAAATTGCATTACAGACTCATTAGCTCTCTCATGGCCCTTCATCTCTGCCACACCAAAGCTTTCCTTTGACTGATGTTGGTTTCATTATTCATGACTCTTATAGAGACAGTGGCCTCTAAAATAGAGACCAGGGAAGAGCATTTTTCTTTCTTTCTTTTCTTTTCATTTTTTTTTTTTCAGACAGAGTTTAACTCTCATTGACCAGGCTGGAGTGCAATGGCACAATCTCCACTCACTGCAACCTCTCCCTCCTGGGTTCAAGTGATTCTCCTGCCTCAGCATCCCAAGTGGCTGGGATTACAGACATGCACCACTGCATCCAGCTAATTTTGTATTTTTAGTAGATATGGGATTTCTCCAAGTTGGTCAGGCTGGTCTCAAACTCCCGACTTCAGGTGATCCGCCCACCTTGGCCTCCCAAAGTGCTGGGATTATAGGTGTGAGGCACCGTGCCTAGCCGGAAGAGCATTTTTCTAATGAAAGGTTCTTTAGCAATCCAGGGCTACTTTGCTGGACTACTGAAATAAGATTCATTCCTTCTTTTGTTCTGTTGGTCTTATAGGTAATTGAGTACCTATAAGACAGACATGGACCCTGCTCTCAAAGCAACTTATAATATATTTGAAAATACACTTAATTAGAAATCACAATTAGCATGGGACTGATCCAACAGTGGCTCATGGAGCAGATACTGTTGGTTGCCTACTATGGCAAAGGGTGATGAGTGTCCCCCAATATTTATTCTCTTTCTTTCTTACAGTAATGAAACACTTATGTTTAGCAAGACACGTAGAATCTAGGATAATGAGTATATTTCCCAGCCTCCTTTGCTGTTATATGTGGTCATGTGTCTAAGTTACGAGATTTCTGCAAAAGATTTCCTTGCTGTAAAATAGAGATCCCGCTAAAAAAAGAGAGTCAACTCAATAAAGTACCAGGCATGGTGCTAGGTCCATTTTCTGATGGATGTTGCTATGTCTGGATGTGATGCCTAGATCCATGGCTGTCACTGTGTAACCAGGAGGAAAGTTAGTCTGAAGATATCAGAGCAGAAAGATGGAAGGAACTTGACATCATGGTTGAGCCATTTAATAAGCAAGCCTGGAGCCACTCCACCTCCAGATGTCCAGTTAGGTAAGGTTGTAACATGTCTTTGTTGTTTAAATTAGAAGAGTGAGGGCCTTCTGTTACTTGCAGACAAGAGCATCCTAACCAAACAACATGGTACACAGAGTCCATCGTGGCCTGCCTTGTGGCACACTCTCCAGTCTCATCTCTCAGTATTGCTTTCTCCAGTCCCAAACTTCAGACCCACTGCATTTCAAACCATGGTCTTTCATTTCTCCAGGATTCCATGCATGACGTGACTTCTGCCCAGGATGTCCTTCTCCATCTCTTTATCTAACAACGATCAATTCATCCTCCAAAATCAGCTTAGCAGACATCTCTTCCAGGAAGCCTTTTGTACCAGACCCAGCTTATGGGTCACCCCAGATCCATTTGGCCCCATCTGCACTCCTGGGCCTCAGCCACTTGCCTTGTTTCATGTGTGTGTGTGTGTGTCTGTGTGTGTGTCTCTGTGTGTGTGTGTTTTGAGGCAGGGTCTTGTTCTGTTGCCTAGGCTGGTGTGCAGTGGCATGATTAGGGCTCACTGCAGCCGCAGCCTCCCAGGGCTCAAGCAATCCTCCCACCTCAGCCACTGAGTAGCTGGGACTACAAGTGTACACCACCTCGCCTGGCTAATTTTTTTAAAATAATTTTTTGTAGAGACAGGGTCTCACTATGTTGTCCAGGCTAGCCTCAAATTCCTGGATTCAAGTGATCTTCCCGCCTCTGTCTCCCAAAGTGTTGGGATTCCAGGTGTGAACCATCGTACCTGGCCTGCCTTGTTTCTTAACAAGCGCAGCTCTAGCAAGGGATCATTCTATTTTCACAGCTGGAAAGAACTGGCTGCTGCCACTCCTGCCACAGACTAAGGACCTCTTTGTGTGGTGCTGACCGATAAGGAGAGACCACCCACATGTACAGGCAGGGACTTTCAGGGACGCTGGCTTCTGCATCAGCCGATGACAAGGCCCGGAGTGGGGGCAGTAAATATCCTGTGGGTATCCTTTGACCAACAAGAGACAGGAGATGGGAAGAATCATCAGCTCAATTGTTTGCCCTTTTTTCTCCCCAACTGTTTAGAGATTAAGAGGCTCTGTGCAGCCTCTTTGAAGGGGATGGAGGAACCAGCTGTGTTTGCTGCAAAGCTTCCTTGGGCTTGAACCACTCCCCATAAAACACTCATAGGCAAGCCATACCCTTAGGTTCTGTTTTCTGAGGATCTGGGCTGAAGAGCCTCCCCACCCCATGCTGCCACCATCCAACCAGTCTGGGTGGCAAGGAAGAGACACATTCGGACGATCTCAGACTCCAGCAGGGATTGTTAGAAGGATCACAGGGAACCCAGACAGCACTACTTACTCAAGCCAGAAAAAAGAGCTGTAAGGTCATTCAGGCCCCACGGCAGCTTTTGTGCCCCCAAATCAACTCCGATAGCCCAACATTCTTGGACTCAGCTGTTTGGTCACCTTGCTTCTTCCTACTCTCCCCTGACCCACCGAGGTTGCCATTGCCCCCTGGCCTTTGCCTACTCTATAGCTTCTGCTGATTTACGGCTTCTGCTTAATTCTGAATTCTCCTTCCTCAGGGCTTCTGTGTCCCATTCATTCAGACTCCCCAAGAGAGATCGGCATGGGTTGCTTGGTTGCCATTCAGTACTGGGTGGCATTGTTGGCAAAGTTGTGCATTGGGCTCCCTTGTTACTGGTGGTCCTGGTCCAGTCCCTTGAGAGTGTTTAGAAACATCTGCATCAACTTGACATTGCTGTGACATTTACAAGAGTGTGACTGACAGGCTCATCTTTCTAGGCACAGGTCAGTGTGGATAATCTCTAAATAAAGATAGGCCTGGTCAAATATTGAACATGCAAGGTGATTAACAATTTTTTTTTGTGTAGAGATGGGATCTTGCTCTTTTGCCCAGACTGATCTCGAATTCCTGGTCTCAAGCAATACTCCCACCTTGGCCTCCCAAAGTCCTGAGATTACAGGCGCCAGCCACCTCACCTGGCCAAAAGCAGATTTTTAATAAAATAATCGTCAAAAGTCTAAGTTGTCTGTGAATTGCACATGACATGAGCTATGTGATAGTCTTGCAGAGTAGAACCAACAGGAAATTTTAAATAACAAACCAGCAACAGGTCATTTATCACAGAGAGTCTGAGAATCACTGGGAAGGCTGCAGTAAAGGAATCTGAGCGGAACTTCCAGAAATAACTCTTAAGCCACAGAGCAGAAACTGGGCCACCAAGGAAGCCGCCGCCTCTGTCCCCACCAGGAAGCTGCCTGCAGAACCAGGGCCCCTGCTCCAGCTGCGGAGTTTCAGAACCACCCCACCTCTGCTGCCAGCCACACTAGCAAAGCGGGTGTCTCGGGTGGCTCCTGTCTTCATGCCAGGAAATGTGGGAATGTGTTTTGCTTCCCAGCTCCTGCTGTAGAAGCTCCCTAGAGGAAAGCTGAAATGAATGGCTAGTAAGTGCAACCACGGTGTCCATTCAAAAATTCTACACTTCCGTAACAATAGGACTGATGTCCTGTTCCCCCAAGCGGTCACATGCTCCTTGACCACAAGCATATGCACATTTTGTTTGTATTACCTGGAATGGTCTCCTTGAATTTCTGCTGGTCAAAATCCTATTCATTCATTCATTCATTCATTCATTCAACAAATCTCTGTAAAGTACCAGGCATGGCGTAGGCTACTCGGGATACCAAAATGAATATGGCAAAGTCCCTGACTTCAAGAGCCTCATCATCTGGTTAGGGAAATATACATGAACATAAACTACACTGCTCTTTTCCTTTCTGTCCTATTAAGCCCTTTACAATGTAAAAGAGTGAAGTACAGGGACGAAGAGTCCAGCTCTGTAGTCAGACTTGCCAGCTGTGTGACTTTTTGGAGACAGGTCTCTCCCTCTCACCCAGGCTGAAGTGCAGTGGTGCAATCATCAGGCTCACTGCAGCCTCAACCTCCCAGGCCCAAGTGATCCTCCTGCCTCAGCCTCCTGATCAGCTGGGACAATAGGCATACACCACCACACCCAGCTAATTTTTTTTTTTTTATGACAGGGTCTCACTATGTTGCTCAGGCTGGAGTGTGATTTTTATTTTTATTTATTTATTTTGAGATGGAGTCTTGCTCTGTCATCCAGGCTAAAGTGCAGTGGCACGATCTTGGCTCACTGCAACCTCCACCTCCTGGGTTCAAGTGATTCTCACGCCTCAGCCTCCTGAGTAGCTGGGATTACAGGCATGTGCCACCATGCCCAGCTAATTTTTATATCTTTAGTAGAGACAGGGTTTCACCATGTTGGCCAGGCTGTTCTCAAACTCATGACCCCAAGTGATCCACCCACCTTGGCCTCCCAAAGTGCTGGGATTACAGGCATGAGCCATTGCGCCCGGCCCCTGCAGTGTTTTCTAATAAGTTACTTAACCTCTCTCAGCCTCACTTTTCTTTTTTCTTTTCTTTGAGACGGAGTCTCGCACTGTCACCCGGGCTGGTGTGAGCGATCCCGGCCTGCTGCAACCTCTGCCTCCTGGGTTCAAGTGATTCTCCTACCTCAGCCTCCCGAGCAGCTAGGATTACAGGTGTGCACCACCACGCCCAGCTAATTTTTTGTATTTTTAGTAGAGACAGGGTTTCACTATGTTGGCCAGGCTGGTCCTCACTTTTCTCATATGTGAATGGCAATAATAACAGCACCTGCCTCATTGGGCTTGTTCTGAGCATTTCAAGAGATACTGCTGAGGAATCGCCACATCTAGGAGGCGTGTGATACAGGCATCAAATGGGCTATCGTTTCCTGTCCTTCAAAACCTGGTTACATGTTACCTGTCCATGAGCTCCCCCTGCTCCCACTGTGGGAAATGAATCACTTCTCCCTCTTTTCCTCTCATCAGTGCTCACATTCATCCTCTGTGAGACACACCTCCAAGACATCAGAAACTCTGGGAGGAGTGTCTGTATATATACTTGCTAAGCTATTGAAAACAAAAGCCATAGGAGTGACCTTTGTCAAATATTAAATGCTAAAGGAGTTTTGGTTTTTGGTTCCTTTTTTTTTTGGTTTGTTTTCAGACCGGGTCTTGCTCTGTGGCCCAGGCTGGAATGCAATGACGCAATCATGACTCACTGCAGCCTCAACCTCCTGGGCTCAAGTGAACCTCCCACCTCAGCCTCATGGGTAGGTGGTACTACAGGTGTGTGTCACACTCTGTTGCCCAGGTTGGAGTGCAGTGGCACGATTTCGGCTCATTGCAACCTCCGCCCCCCAGGTTCAAGCAATTCTCGTGCCTCAGCCTCCTGAGTAGCTGGGATTACAGGCGTGTGACACCATGCCCAGCTAATTTTTTGTATTTTTAGTAGAGACGGGGTTTCGCCATGTTGCCCAGGCTAGTCACGAATTCCTGAGCTCAGACAATCTGCCTGCCTTGGCTTCCCAAAGTGCTAGGATTACAGGCATGAGCCACTGTGCCCGGCCAACGGTGACAATTTTCTTAATCCACCTACACACTGTGTATGTACCATTTTCGTCTGTAAGCTCAAAGCCCTGTGTTTTCCTTCACATTTCCCTTGGCCTAGCACATGTTAAGAACCCACAAATATGAGCAGTAAATTAATGAATGAATACATTTGTATTTGCTCTGACACATATAGTAGATTTGCCAAGTGCAAAGTTCTGAGGCCTGTACCTTGAGCCCTTTAGAGGAAATGACCTATGGAAACAGATTACAGGCAGGAAAAATAGCAATAGTAATACGTCATTTACTCGGTGTAGCGGGGATGAATTATGGTCCTCCCAAATATATGTTTTCATCCTAACCTCTAGAACCTGTGAATGTGACCTTCTTTGAAAAAAAGCGTCTTTGTAGACATGATTTAAGAATCTTTAAATTAAGGATCCTTAAATTACAGATCTCCAGTTGAGATCAATGGGATAACCCCAGTGTCTTCTAAATCCAATGACAGGTGTCCTTATAAGAAACAGAAGGCCAGGCACGGTGGCTCACACTTGTAATCCTAGCTCTTTGGGAGGCCGAGACAGGAGGATTGCTTGAGTCCAGGAGTTCAAGAGCAGCCTGGGCAACACAGTGAGTGAGACCCCATCTCTACAAAAAATAAAAAATTAGCTGGGTGTGGTGGTGCACACCGTAGTCACAGCTATTCAAGGAGGCTAAGGCAGGAGGATCATTTGAGCCCAGGAGGTGAGGTCAAGGATGTGGAGAGCCATGATCACCCACTGTACTCCAGCCCAGCCTGGGTGACAGAATGAGAACCTGTTTCAAAAAAAGAAAAGAAAAGAAACAGAAAAGGAGAAGGCCATGCAAGATGTAGGCAGAGATGGGAGTCAGATAGCCACAAGCCAAGGGGCGCCTGGAGCCACCGGAAGCTGTAAGAGGCAAGGAGGGGTTCTCCCCTGGGGCCTCAAAAGGGAGCACAGCCCTGCAGACACCCTTTCAGATTCCTGCTTTTGAGAACTCTGAAAGAATACACTTCTGTTGCTTAAACCACCTGGTTTGTGGTATTTTGTGACAGTAGCCTCCAGGTACATTGAGCGTGTTTGTATGACCCTCGAGCTGAGATTAGTTTTTATATTTTTTTAGAGTTAGGGTCTCGTTCTGTTGTCCAGGCTGGAATGCAGTGGCATGATCATAGTTCACAGCTCACAGCAGCCTCGACATCTTAGACTCAAATGATCCTCCTGTCTTAGCTTCCTGAGTAGCTGGGACTACAGGTGTGCACCAACACACCCAGCTAGTTTTTTTGTTTTGTTTTGTTTTTTTCTAGAGACAGGGTCTCACTGTGTTGCCTAGGCTGGTCTTGAACTCCTGGGCTCAAGCAATCCTCCTGCCTTGGCCTCCCAAAGTGCTGGGATTACAGGCATGAACCGTTGTGCCCAGCAGGTTTTTATATTTTTAAACGGTTGAAAAAAATCAAAAGAAGTGTATTTCATGGCACACGAAAATCTTACAAAATTCAAATTTCAGCATCCATAAATAAATTTGATGGGAACAGCCCTATCCACTCACTGACAGATCATCTCTAGCTGCTGTAGTGGGTTGATTGTGTCTCCCTAAAAGGTAAGTTCAAATCCTAACTCCTGGACATGTGCAGGTGACCTTATTTGGGTCTTTGTAGAGGTCATCAAGTTAAGATGGATTAGGGTGGGCCCTAAATTCAATGAATAGTGTCCTTATATGAAAAAGGAGGGGAAGATTTGGATACAAAGACCTAGAAATATGCACAGGGAAGAAGGCCAAATAAAGACAGAGGTAGCTGGGTCCAGTGGCTTACTTCTGTAATCCCAGCACTTCGGGAGGCCGAGGCGGGTGGATCACCTGTGGTCGTGAGTTCAAGACTGGCCTGACTAACCTGGAGAAACCCCATCTCTACTAAAAATACAACATTAGCTGGGCGTGGTGGCACATGCCTGTAATCCCAGCTACTCGGGAAGCTGAGGCAGGAGAATCGCTTGAACTTGGGAGGCGGAGCTTGCGGTGAGCCGAGATCATGCCATTGCACTCCAGCCTGGGCAACATGAGCAAAACTACGTCTCAAAAAAAAAAAAAAAAAAAAAAAAAAAAAGACAGAGGTAGAGGAATGCAGCTATTAGTAACAAAAGTCATGGCAAAAACCGCAATTATTTTTGCACCAACCTAATGCAAGCCGAAGTTTGCCAAGCAACAGCCCCAAACCCAGCTATTTGGGGCTACAGCAGTGGACCTGAGTAGTTATAGTAGAGATTTTATGACACCCAAGCCTAAAATATTTACTCTGTGGCCCTTTACAAAAAGTGTGAGCCAGGCCAGGCACGGTGGCTCATGCCTGTAATCCCAGCACTTTGGGAAGCCAAGGCAGGAGGATCGCTTGAGGCCAGGAGTTCAAGACCAGCCTGGGCAACATAGTGAGACCCCATGTCTACAAAAAATTTAAAAATTAGCTAGGTGTGGTGGTGCATGCCTGTAATTCCAACTACTTGGAAGGCTGAGGCAGGAGGATCCCTTGAACCCAGAAACTCAAGGCTGCAGTGAGCTGTGATTGTGCTACTGTGCTCCAGGCTAGGCAACAGAGCAAGACCTATTTCTTTAAAAAAAAAAAAAATAGTGTTTGCTAACTCTGACCTAGAGCATTGCCATTATTTGTATAGTTGGAGATAGCATACCACTATATCTGCCAGGGGAAAAATAAACCACTCTGTTGGTAGCACTCCATTTTATAGATCGGGAGATAGAAGCAAAGATAGGTTAAGAGAGTTATCCAAAAGAGGTGGCCAGCTGTCATCTCTGCATGTCAAAACATCTCATCCATCTTTTTCCAGCCGCAGCAACATGACTTTCCTTGGGGGAGAGACACCCCTTCCCACAGTTCCCACAGTTTGAACAGGGCTGACTCCACCTCTTGGTTCCAGGGCTGGGTACCCAACTGTATTAGTCAGCTCAGGCTGCCTCTACAAATACCATAGATTGGGTGGCTCCAACAACAGAAATTTATTTTCTCATAGCTCTGGAGGTTAGAAAGTCCAAAATCAAGGTCTGGTAGCATTCCGCTTCTGGTGAGGGCTTTTCTCCAGGCTTGCAGATGGTCTTTCTTTGGTCCAACCACATGGAGAGAGAGCCGTCTCTCTTTCTTCCTCTTATAAGGTCACCAATCCTATCAGATTAGGACCCTATCTTTCTGACCTCATTTAACCTAAATTACTGCCGAAAAGCCCTATCTCCAAATACAGTCACATTGGCCGTTAAGGTTTCAACATAGATTTGGATTGGAGTTGGTGGGGGCACTACCTGGGCAATGCTAATCAGTGCATTCCCTTGCTTGGTGACTTTAGCATATGACCCAAAACTATCCCAAGTCATGGCATTTACCACAACTTTGAGAAAAGCAAGCCTCTCTGGCCAGGCGCGGTGGCTCACGCCTGTAATCCCAGCACTTTGGGAGGCTGAGGTGGGCAGATCACCTGAGGTCAGGAGTTCAAGACCAGCCTGGACAACATGGTGAAACCCCATCTCTACTAAAAATACAAAAATTAGCCAGGCGTGGTGGCGCATGCCTGTAATCCCAGCTACTCAGGAGGCTGAGGCATGAGAATCACTTGAACCCAGGAGGTGGAGGTTGCAGTGAGCTGAGATCGTGCCACTGCACTCCAGCCTGGGCAACAGAGTGAGACTCTGTCTTTAAAACAAACAAACAACAAACAAACAAACAAACAAAAACAGGAAAGGCTCTCTTTTCTTCTGCACTGAAGACAATGTGAGACTACAGCAGCCAAGGGCATATGGAGGACCTGTGGGGAGGACAGCCCACTTAAAAAGCAGAGAGCTAAGAAGTGAAGGGAGAACAGGTCTGCATAGCATTGAGGCACCTAGATTCAGCTGTACCTGAAATCCCCTCATGGATCTCAGTTAACATGATACAATAATGTGTGTGTGTGTGTGTGTCTATGCGTGCGTGCACTTAAGCCAGTTGGAGCTGTGTTTCTGTCACTTGCAAACCTAAGAATCTTGACTGGTAGATGATGATCTCATAGCTAATATTAGTAGATGGGATCTGAAGGCAGATCTGCTTAGCTCTCAGGGGCCCAATTTAGGATTTACTGGGAACAACCCAGAAGCCATCTTTTGAGTCCTGGTTCCCAGGTGGCAGCTGGGTTCTAACATGTTTTAATATATTCACCCTTGCTCTCTTTAAAGGTCAGTGCCAGCAAAGAAGGTGTAATGAGTGTGAATAAAGAAAGACAATTATTTAAATAGATCAGATTATTTCAGGAAGTGCTCCCTGTTATGAAACAAAACAAGCTTCCTAGGACTGAGGTTCCAATGTAGACCCAGACAAAGGACCCCCAAAATTCCCAGCAGATGAGGAAGAGACCTTCCCTGGGCCCCCTCCTGGGAGTTCCACCCCTTGGTTTCTGCCCAGCTCTACAAAGGCTGTGTAACCTTGTGGGGGAGGGGGGAAGGGGGGCAGCTGAACCTGCCTGAGCTGAACCTGTTTGTGCCCCTTTCCTCCACTGGGAAAATAATTTTATTTTAATTTCATTTCATTTTATTTATTTTATTTTTTCAGAGACAAGAGTCTTGCTCTGTCACTCAGGCTGGAGTGCAATGATGCTATCATAGCTCACTGCAGCCTCGAATTCCTGGCCTCACTCAAGCGATCTTCTCGCCGCCTCGGCTTCCCAAAGTGCTGGGATTACAGGGGTGAACCAGCATGTTCCGATGAAGTCTCAGGCCAAATGTCACCCCTGTCATCCTCTGGTTTCCACAGGGTAGCCAGCACCTTCTCACTCCCTCGGGCACTTTTGTTTATTTTAGAGCGTTTTCTTGCTGTGGAATCCTTCCCCCCACTTTTTTTTTTTTTTTTTTTTTTTTTGAGACGGAGTCTCACTCTGTCACCCAGGCTGGAGTACAGTGGCGCGATCTCGGCTCACGGCAGCCTCCGCCTCCCGGATTCAAGCGATTCTCCTGCCTGAACCTCCCGAACAGCTGGGATTACAGGCGCGTGCCACTACGCCTGGCTAATTTTTGTATTTTTAGTAGAGATGGGGGGCGGGGGGGGGGGTCTCACCATGTTGGCCAGGCTAGTCTCGAACTACTGACCTTAAATGATCCGCCCACTTCGGCCTCTCAAAGTGCTGGGATTACAGGCGTGAGACACTGCGCCCAGCCCCTTCCTTTTTTGATTCCCATTTTTACAAGGCTGTAAGCTTCACGAAGGACAGAAACCTTGTCCATCTTGTCAACTATGATTTCCCCAGCACTGTGGCTCCGACCTGGCACATGGTAGGTGCTCGGTGAATACTGGTTTGAACAGACGACTGCGGCAGACGGCAAGGGCCACTCCTGTGCCAGGGCCTGCCACGCCACCGCAGCTTGTGCGGTGGGGGTGGGGAGGACTGGACAGTCTGGCTGTGCGCCCTTTTCTCCTTTTCAACGTCCCAGTATAACTTCAAGGGAGCGCAACTCCAGAGGCTCCCTGGACGAAGCTACCGCCCCGGAATCAGGGCCTTCCCAATTCTGCCTTCGGGGAGGGAGGATGGGGGTGGGCCGCGGGAGGCCAGTTCCAAGAGCGTCCTGAAGTCCCTCCCGCCGCCCCGCGTCGCTTTAAGGCGGAGGCCCGGGAGGGGGCCGACCCGGCTCGCCAGCTCCACGCTCGGCTCCAGACTCCGGCATTTCCTCCCCGCTAGCTGGCGCGGCCTCGCCTCCCCCTCGGAAGAGGAAACTCCCGGGGTCCGAGTAACAGGGTCAGGCGCGGAGAGGAGCGGCGGGAGAGCCAGGAGGGCCGCCCAGGGTAGGAGGCGAGCCAGGCCGGGCCAGAAGCTGGCCGACGGCGGCGCGCGGGGGCGCCGGGCGGGGAGGGCCGCTGGGCCGGACTCAGCGCGCAGCCGGGGCAGGGCGCGGCCCGGGGCCCGAGAGCGCAGGGCGGGCCGCAGCTGGAAGGAACACTTGAGCTGGGAGAGGAGGCCGAGCTGGAGGGCGGCCTCCCTCGGGCCTGCGTTCGGGAAGCCGCCGCGGAGGAGGAGACGGGGACAGCGGGGCTGCCCGGGCGCTGTGCGCATGCTGGGCTTGGGTCGCCGCCGGGGCTTGCCCCCTGGGCTGCTCGGCCACCGCCGCCCCGGGCGCCCGGCATGTCGGTGCACTACACCCTCAATCTACGCGTCTTCTGGCCCCTGGTGACCGGCCTGTGCACCGCCCTGGTGTGCCTCTACCATGTCCTGCGGGGAAGCGGGGGCGCCCGGGCCGAGCCCGCCGACGGCGTGGATGGCGGCTTCCCGTTGCTTAAGGTGGCCGTCCTGCTCCTCCTCAGCTATGTCCTCCTGCGCTGTCGCCACGCTGTCCGGCAGCGCTTCCTGCCCGGGTCTCCCCGTCTGGAGGGTCACGCCGCCTTCTCCTCGAGACACTTCCGAGAGCCGGGCCTCAGCATCCTGCTGGAGAGTTACTACGAGCATGAGGTGCGCCTGTCTCCGCACGTGTTGGGCCACAGCAAGGCGCACGTGAGCCGGATCGTGGGCGAGCTGGTGCGGGCTGGCCGCGCCCGGGGGTCCCCCGGTCTCATTCCTGGGGGAGCGCTGGCCTTGGCCTTCCGCGGAGACTTCATCCAGGTGGGCAGCGCCTACGAGCAACATAAAATCCGCCGGCCCGACAGCTTCGACGTGCTGGTGCCACTGCGCCTCCCGCCGCTTGTGGCGCTGGAGCCACGGAGCCTGGGCGAGGAGCCAGCGCTGGCCCCGGCCTTCCGCGGCTGCTTCTTGTGCGCCCTCAAGGCACCACCCTCACCATCGGGGGCCTCGGGGGGCCACTGGCTTCGGGACTGCAAACCCTTTGCTGATGCCTTCTGCGTGGATGTGCGCGGGCGGCGTCACCTCTCTGCTACTCTGGTGCTGCGCTGGTTCCAGTCGCATCTGCAGCGCTCCTTGGCCACTGTGCGTTACAGCCTGGAGGGGCGCTGTCGGGTCACCTTGACCCCAGGTGGCCTGGAACAGCCCCCCACCTTACACATCTTGCCCTGCCGCACTGACTACGGCTGCTGCCGCCTTTCTATGGCTGTGCGTCTCATCCCCGCTGTCCATCTGGGAGATGGGGTCTTCCTTGTGGCGCCACCACCGCCACCCTTGCCCAGCGCGCCCCTGTTGGAGCTCCCTGAGGGCCTGCGTGCGGAGGCACTGTGGGGTGTGAACACAGCACGCCAGGAGCAGAAGCTGCTGAGTTGGCTGCAGGAACGGGCAGCTCCAGGTGCCTGCTACCTCAAGTGCCTGCAGTTGCTTAAGGCTCTGCGCGATCTGGGGGCCCGTGGGCTGGACTCAGCGGCCGCCACCCAGTGGGGACGCATCCTATCCTCATATGTGCTCAAGACAGTGCTGCTGGCAGTGCTGCTGCGCAAGGGGGCCCCTGGGCAAGGCTGGGACGAGGAGCACCTGGGAAGGTGTTTGGAGGAGTTGGTGCAGTTCCTTAGGGACTGCCTGCTGCGACGCCATACGCTCTTCCACTGCGTCCTGGGCCCTGGTGGGGCGGCTGCCGAGGTGGGTCCCCTGCCCAAGGCACTGAGGGAAGCCGCCCCAGTTGACCTCCTGGCCGCTTTCGACGGGCACGCCCGGGAACTTGCAGCAGCGCGGTTGCTGTCCACGTGGCAAAGGCTGCCCCAGCTTCTCCGGGCCTACGGGGGTCCCCGCTACCTTGCCAGGTGCCCCCCACCCCGGAGTCAGCGCACCCAGGGCTTCCTTGAAGGTGAACCGTAAACCCTGACAGCACCCCCACCTGACCAAATGCTCCTAAAGCCTTTCCCACTGGGTGGGGGTGGGAATGGCGGTGAAGCCAGTTAAATGCAAGATTGCAGAAGGCATTGGAAAATTTGGTGGCTGCCACAAGCTTTAGTGGCTTAAATATCACCTTCTCGCTTCACAGTCCAGTATAATATGACATCTTCACACCCACTAGAGTGTCCTGGGCAAACCATGGGAAGACATCCAACAGGAGACCCAAGAATTGGTTCAAATATTGTTCTGTGTAGACGGATTCTGTAGAAGGATGTGGCTTTTAGAGAAGTCCAGTAGAAGAAGCAAGAACTAGCTGCAGGGAAAGTTCCTTCTGTCGGTTTTTAGACACAGATCTCTCTGCCCAAATTAAAAAAAAACAAAACAAAACACTAAAGTTTTTGACACAATTACTTGCTAGGTACTGGGTTCCTGATTGTCTTTAAAAAGAAAAATCTGAATCTTTATTTGCAACTGGAATTGAAGTTCTATTTTAGGGGCTAATGTTTAGAGGAACATAATTTCCACTGTTCAAATTAATATTAATGTATTTTTAAAATGGTGCAATCACAGGTGTTTGACAAGATTGTCAACAAGTTAAG
The DNA here is from genome assembly GCF_000001405.40 of Homo sapiens. Lineage (NCBI taxonomy): Eukaryota > Metazoa > Chordata > Mammalia > Primates > Hominidae > Homo > Homo sapiens. Next base: position 19,116,687 of record NC_000016.10, read on the forward strand.
TCACATAGATGGAAAGGCAATCGAGAGTTGGTTAGAGAAGCTTCCAGAGAAAATAGCACTTTATATTGATCAATTCACTCATTTTGTGGTAATTGCTAGCACCAAGCATTGCATCTGAAAGGGAAGCCAGTTATATTTATTATTAAATGTACAACCTTGAAAAGCAGCCAGCATGCTTGCCTAACTAACATCGCCGCAGGCCACAAGCTGGGATATGTACCTGTCCGTCAACATCCATTCATTAAACTACCTACTACCAGCCAGAGATGTCTGGAACCAAAGTAGCAACCAAATACATATTCAAGACAACACTGGTGAAGGCATAAAACATGTTGGCTTTGGAGAAAGATGTGTTTTAGGCTTTGCCTGTAAAGGTGTTTCTCCAAGGCTGGCTGCTGGCTGGAGACAGAAAACTTTTTTGTTTTAAGGTTTTTAGCAAACTCCTTCACAAAGAGATTTCTTTCTGAGCTTAATGAGCTAATGAAGAGGAAATGCCTGCTGCTTAGCATGTGGTTTGTGCTGGGTCTCTAACCATTGATGGTTCTTCCTTGTCCAGGCAGTCTTACGTGGTCCAAGAGACCTGTTGATTCAGCACAGGTCTTGCAAAACATTTCACTTATAGTTCAGTATCTTGGGCTCTGTGCTTGAAGATCAGTTACTCCCTGGTCGTGGGCAGAGGAGACAAATTAGGAAAAGAGCAAGGGAGACAGCCCTTGACGGCAGTCTGTCTCTTTTCTCTTTAGGTGTCAGTATCACCAGGTTGGGTGTATTTTGCAGCTGGGAGGAGCCGGTCCTGGAATTCTTCCTTGTTCTCCCAAATTTATAACAGTCCTCAATTGCAGTTTAAGTTCAGCATGGCCCCTCATCTGCTTGCCTGATTGGAAATGCAGCCAGTCCAAGTGTTACAAATTGGGATTTTTTTGTTTTCTAAATAAAAACATGTACTTCCTCAGACTCTTAAAGCTAAAATTTGGAAGACAGAAATGCCTATGTGAATAGAATCATTGTTGAAGTTCTGAGCTCTTTTGAGGGAACTCTATAAGCCTTCTTTCTTTAGGGGATCCACTTGCCTGCTGTGGGAAATCATAGTGAGTGATTTACAGGAATCCTTCTCCTCCAAGCTGCATTGGCTTCTTATATCCTTTGCGACCTTGGGCTGAAAGAGAAACAGCTGCAAATGTTGTGCTGTCTCTTTGAGGTTGTCTTGGGGACAGTTCCCCGCAAAGGTCATTCCTAGCTTTTGAGGTCAATGTTGGGTCATAAGGTACTGCATTGTGCAAAGAAGTCAGTCTGCTAACTTTATGCAAAGATAGAAACTGCACGGTATTTTTTAAAATTAGTTTTTAAAATAAATGCCAAGAGTAGATCTTATATATATATATATGTATACATATTTTATATATATATATATTTCCATACTCAACCACAACTTCCTCTGTACTCATTGTTTACTACAGTGGGGGACATCAAGGGTTGGAAGGATTATAAAGCTTTAAGGCTGGGCGTGGTGGCTCACGCCTGTAATCCCAGCACTTTGGGAGGCGAGGTGGGCGGATCACCTGAGGTCAGGAGTTCAAGACCAGCCTAGCCAACATAGTGAAACTCTGTCTCTACTAAAAAATACAAAAATTAGCTGGGCGTGGTGGCGGGCGCCTGTAATCCCAGATACTCGGGAGGCTAAGGCAGGAGAATCACTTGAACCCGGGAGGTGAAGGTTGCAGAGAGCCAAGATCACACCACTGCACTCCAGCCTGGGTGACCGAGCGAGACTCCGTCTCAAAAAAAAAAAAAAAAAGCTTTAAAAAGCTGAATTTTAGAAATATTTCTAGCAGTGTCAGTGAGTTCCTCTTTTAATAGTGTTTTAAAGTATAAATCTGGTAACATACTGTTCTTGTAGTTTTTTGTTAGTTTTGTTTTTCAGGTTAATTACCCAAAGCCTCATCCATCCTCAAGGTTTTTAAATTTTATTTTTTTAAAATAAATTGTGCATTGTATTTGTGAATTTTTAAAATATTACTGTTTTATTTAAATGCCATGCTGAGCAATTGTTCTCTGTACATGGTAACCAAAACTTAGAGATTTCGATCAATTTTGATCAATGTTTAGTAAACCAAAACATGTACTGTGTACAACGGAAATAATATGGCATATTAGCCAGGCATGATGGTTGCCCAAGACAGTTAAATTAAGCTCAATTCTGTATTTTATTAGGGCTCTGTTATGTCCTTCATCTGAAATGTACACATTTTTGGTGTATGCTTGGTACTGGAGATTCATATATGCAAATATTCTCATGCAAGAAGTTCCACAGTAACAACAGCAAAAAGAAAAAATTAGTTGTCCAGCCAGTGCTGGAGGAAAATGTTTCTGGGGAAGATGACTCAGTCATTTTGTGGCGAGACACCCTTTGGTAACTCCCACTGACCAGTCTTGGGAGCCTTCCTGGAATGATCGTGGGCTGAGCGGAGATGTTTTTTGCAAAATGAAACTGAAGCTGAAAGAAAGGAGAATTCGAGTGAACCAAGAGAAATCCAAAGACCTGGGGAAGGAGGACTTAAGATGAAAGTGAAGCAAGAGAGGGAAGGGGAAATGAAGTGAAAATGGCGTGAGGGTGTGAGAGAGGTTTGGGTTAGGAAACATGTTTTTAGTGCTATTTCCAACCAGGGGTCGCAAACTCAGCAGCCTGTAGAAACAGGGGTGGGAGGTGGGGGGGAAGCTGTGCCCACCTTTAAAGAGGGGGCCATTGCTCAGCCATGCAGAAAAAAATGGGGCAACAAGCTGGAAATCAGGTTTTTTTTTTTTAAAGTGAAACTTGATGATTTTTAAACAAGTAATTAAAAAAATGTCCAAAACACCATGTGGGCCAAACATTTGTTTGAGCCTGGGGGCCACCAGTTTGCGACCACTGCCTTACGTAGTTAACACCCTGAGTATGTATACAGTCATATTTTTTGTTTTGGATATGGTAGTGTTATATATACTTGGGGGCGTGATATTTGAAGTCATCTTTATCTCTCAGAGTTAAGCTTTATTGTAGAAGAAAAAAAAAAAAGTTAACACAGCCATAGATAACACTTAACTCACAGTTCCCAGGAGGACACTTGATCTCGAAGCTGCTCTTTTTGAGTCAGATCCTACATCAAACCACTTAGGGCCAGTTTTTGGCATTTCCTTCCTGGTGATTTGGGGTAAACTTCTTTGCTCTGTCGGAGTTTGCAGATGAGTAATCAGAAGGATTGCAGAATAACTTGTTTCTTTGTATTTTATTCTTACATTTAAATTAATTTTGGGGGGTTAGTGGTATCCTAGCTCGTGCCTTTACAGGGATGATTGGTGGCTAGATTTGGGGTGCAAGCTTCTTAGGCTCATACCATTTCAACTACCAAGAACACAGGTTTTTGTTTTTGTTTTTTGAGACAGGGTCTCAGTCTGTTGCCCAGGCTGGAGTGCAGTGGCAAGATTGCAGCTCATTGCAGCCTTGACCTCCTGGGCTCAAGCGATCCTCCTGCCTCGGCCTCCCAACTAGCTGGGACCACAGGTATGTGCCACTACACCCAGCGAATTTTTAAATTATTTGTAGAGTCAGGGTCTCCCTATGTTGCCCAGGCTGGTCTTGAACTACTGGACTCAAGCCATCCTCCCACCTCGGCCTCCCAAAGTGTTGGGATTATAGGCGCGAGCCACCACACCTGGCCTAAAAGCGTCGTTCTGATCAGACTTCACCCCTGAATGTTTCTATCATTTTCTTTTCTTTTTTTTTTTTTTTCGAGACAGAGTTTTGCTCTTGTTTTACAGGCTGGGGTGCGGTGGGATGATCTTGGCTCACTGCAATCTCCTCCTCCCAGGTTCAAGTGATTCTTGGGCCTTAGCCTCCCGAGTAGCTGGGATTACAGGCACCTGCCACCACGCCTGGCTAATATATATATATATATATATATATTTTTTTTTTTTTTTTTTAGTAGAGATGGGGTTTCATCATGTTGGCCAGGCTGGTCTCGAACTCCTGACCTCAGGTGATCTACCTGCCTCGGCCTCCCAAAGTGCAGGGATTACAGGTGTGAGTGAGCCACCGCGGCCGGCCTCTATCATTTTCTGACTCAGCAGCTCCACCAAAATTGACATCCTAGCAAACACTGTGAAGGAATTAACCTAAGTGCTTCCAGAGCATCTCATGTAACCTCTATGGAGTAAGTCACTTTTTCTGTAACATGTGGCTTTTGACCTTGATGAAGACTTTGACTTCTCATCCCTGTCTACATGGAGGAAGATGATTCAGTGGTGGGGAAAATGAACCTCGGTAACATTTCCAATGTCCTTCAAGAGGGAAACAAGTTCAGTGTTATCATCGTGGCATTCGTTAGTTTTTTTTTTTTTAAATCACTTGTTTAGATACAACTTTATTTTTTTATACCTACATAGCACATGACTGGGGGGATAAAGCATGTATAAGTTGGGAGAGGGTAAAGAATGTGTGACTATGTATACAGAAAATAGACTAAAATGTGCAGCAAAATGATATATACTGTAATCTGGTTTTTGAAGTATCTACTATTCTGGAATATTGTTAAACAACTTTTTGCTTTTGAAAAAAAAAGGTGCCTTGATTCAGTTGCGTGACTTAGAACATTCATCCTATTTTATTGTGATTTTTAATGTCTTCTGACCCCAAACTGTGTTTTTGGTTGCAGTCTGGCGGCTGCAGGCATAGCGTCGGTTTTGTTCCAATAACAGAGACCAAAGAGTTAATCAGATATGGTTCAGCTGCTACAATTGTATGATTCAAAGGCAATTTAATCACCCCAAATTTCCATGGCCCCCACAGTCAAGACCTGCCATTCGTTTTCTCTTGCAGGTTGGAGTAAATTTGCACTTTGAATCATGTGGGTCATTTGGGGACCTTGTTCTTTTCTATTTTGCTTTATTAATAAAGGAACTTGTAGAAACCTCTGGACTGAATGTCAGATCTGGGGAGGGCTTTCGTCTTCCCGGAGGGCAGCCTGTGCCTGTGCTGGCTTGTAGTTCCTTGCACAAGCCTCAACTGCTTTGAGCATCTGGGTGTATGGGAAACTTTTCCCATGCATTAAGGCTGGGGATCATTCTTGTGTAGAATTAGCTCTGTATACAGGTGGGAAAAAAATGCTAGTTCACAATGCTACAGGTGTGCTCCCTGGAATCCTGAATCTTCAAGTCTTCCTGGCCTAGAACCTTCTGCCCCCACCTCTCCTCTCTGCCTGACTCTCCCACCCCTGCTCCCCCACACATACCCAAACACAATTTACGTCTTGGCCTGTGGCTCAAGAATTTTGTCCAGAAATCTCTTAGGCCCTCAGGCCCTTGCGAAATGGTAAACATTTGCTAATACGAAAAACCACCAGGCTTAGCAGGAGATAGAATCTTGGAGACTAAGGGTTGTTCAGAGCCCCAGAGCCAGGTAGAAGCCCAGGGAAACCTGCAGCCATGATGAAACAGTAGTTGTGGTCAGGCACGGTGGCTCACACCTGTAATCCCAGCACTTTGGGAGGCTGAGGCGGGCAGATCACGAGGTCAAGAGATCGAGACCATCCTGACCAACATGGTGAAACCCCCGTCTCTACTAAAAATACAAAAATTAGCTGAACGTGGTGGCATGTGCCTGTAGTCCCAGCTACTTGGGAGGCTGAGGCAGAAGAATCACTTGAACCCGGGAGGCAGAGGTTGCAGTGAGCCGAGATTGCACCACTGCACTCCAGCCTGGCGACAGAGTGAGACTCCATCTCAAAAAAAAAAAAAAAAAAAAAAGAAAAGAAACAGTAGTTGTGTAGGGCACTTGCCCAGGGGAATGTTGGTGGGGTGTGTTTCGCTTGGTTTTCAACAAATAATACTGTCCGACGGCATTGAGGACACACACACAGAAGTGGCCAAGACAGACATGTCTTCTCTCTTATGAGCTCACAGAGACAGGCAGACAGGCAATGAAAGAACCCATTACCGTACAGCGTGGTAGGTGCTGGGTAGGAGAAAGTTTTTCAAAACCAAACAAGGGTACCTCGTGCACTTTAGGGTTTTCAGGAAAGCTCCTTGGAAGAAGTGACATCTAAGTTGAGATCCAAAGATAGGTGGGAATTAGCCAGGTGAAGGGAGTTGGGCTGGAGAAGAATATATTGAACGCAGAGATGAAAGAACATTCCAGTTTGGCTGGAAAGTAGGGGCAGGTGGAGAGGAGGGGAGGAGGATTCAATGGAAAGGATGAGGTGGGAGGGAGTTTGAAGCCAGAGCTTCTCAGGCTGGAGTGTGCAGATCACCTGGGAGCCTTGTTAGAACGCAAGTTCTAGCTGGGCGCAGTAGCTCACATCTGTAATCCCAGCACTTTTGGAGGCCTCAGCGGGGGGATCACTTGAAGTCAGGAGTTTGAGACCAGCCTGGCCAACATGACAAAACCCCATCTCTACTAAAAATACAAAAATTAGCCAGGGGTGGTGCGCATGCCTATAGTCCCAGCTACTTTGGATGCTGAGGCCCGAGAATTGCTTGAGCTCGGGAGGCGGAGGTTGCACTGAGCTAAGATTGTACCACTGCACTCCAGCCTGGGCAACAGAGTGGCACTCTGTCTCAAAAAAGCAAAAACAAACAAAACAAACAAACCAAAAAAAACCCCCCAAAAAAACCCAAGTTCTGATTCAACAGGTCTTGCCTTCTTTTTTATTTATCTATTTTTCTGAGACAGGGCCTTGTTCTGTTGCCTAGGCTGGAGTGGAATGGCAGGATCATAGCTCACTGCAACCTCAACCTCCCAGGCTCAAGAGATCCTCCTGCCTCAGCCTCCTGACTAGCTGGGACTACAGGAATGCACAGCTAACTTAAAAAATTTTTTGTAGAGATGGAGTCTTGTTCTCTTGCCCAGGCTGGTCTCACACTCCTGGCCTCAAGCCATCCTCCTGCCTTGGCCTCCCAAAGCACTAGGAATACAGACGTAAGCCACCATGACTGGCAGGTCCTGAGATTTGGCCTCTTTAACAAGCTGCCAGGGAATGGTGATGCCACTGGTACAGAGTCCACACACACACACACACACGCACACACGCAGCTGCAGACCACACAGAGAGTTTGAACTGATCAGAGGGCACTGTTGAATCACTTTAGACAAGGAGTGGCAAGGTCACATTTGAATTTGGCTCACTCTGGCTAGTGTGGAGAGTGGATTATACAGGGGTTGGCAAACTACCACCTGAGTATTTATTTTTGTAAATAGTGTCATTGGTACACAGCCACGTCCATTAACATACTGTTTATGGCTGCTTTCGTGCTACCTGGGCAGAGCTGAATAACTGTGACAGAGGCCAAATGGCTCACAAAGCTGAAGATATTTACTTTATGGCCCTTTGTAGAAAAAGTTAGCCAAGCTCTGGAGCAAGACTATAAGGAATTGGATGCTGCAGTGGTCCAGGCCTGGGCAGGGGGCCAGAGGTAGGGACAGAGAGACAAGTTAGAGACAGACAGTGGCGTGCATTAATGCAAAGACTTGTCGGCAGGGCGTGGTGGCTCATGCCTGTAATCCTAGCACTTTGGGAGGCCAAAGCAGGCAGATCACTTGAGGTCAGGAGTTCGAGACCAGCCTGGGCAATACGGTGAAACTCCGTTTCTACCAAAAATACAAAAAGAAAAGAAAAGAAAAGAAAAAAAAAACAGGTGTGGTGATACATGCCTATAGTCCCAGCTACTCGGGAGGCTGAAGCAGGAGGATCACTTGAACCCAGGAGGCAGAGGTTACAGTGAGCTGGGATCACACCACCGCACTCCAGCCTGGGCAACAAAGTGAGACTCTATCTCAACAACAAAAGCAAAAAAGACTTGTCTTCAAATCTTGTGTTCTGCACTTCTTATCTACGTGTCTCTACAAGTTACCTAATCCTCTTTGTATCTTGATTCCCTCATCTGTAAAATGGGATTAATAATGGAACCTTGCCCATAGGAGTGATTGAGGATTAAGTGAGATTTTTGCATGCAAAGTGCTTGGCACAGATTAAGCGCCCAGTACGCGTCAGTGTAGAAGCAATTATTAGAATGGCCTGAAAATGCCATTCTAATAATCCCAGCACTTCGGGACGCTGAGGTGGGAGGATCACTTGAACGCAGGAGTTCGAGGCCAGCCTGCACCACATAGCGAGACCCCCATCTCTACAAATAATTAAAACTAGAGTGGCATTTTCACATAATCTGTGTCTCTAACCTCTTCCTCTGCTCACTTTGCTCAAGCTCATTCTTTCTCCTCTGCAGGGTCTGTTTCCCTGTCGTCCACCCCCGATCATCTCTCTGCTACCCAGTTTTTGTTCATCTCCTTCCTTGATGTCCAGGGCATTTTCCACTATGAAAAGGTTTTATTCGGGATACTATGGTAGACTGGTTACAACAATAGTCTCTGATCTCCAGTTTTCTTACACCTATGCCCTTTGCAAAGTGATTTTGCAATCTTTTCCATCAAGAAGGGTTGCCCTTTTGCCTACCCCTTACATCTGGAAGGGCTTTGTGAGTTTGTTTATTTATTTATTTATTTATTTATTTATTTATTGGAGATGGAGTCTCGCTCTGTCGCCCAGTCTGGAGTGTAGTGGCACTATCTCGGCTCACTGCAACCTCTTCCAGGTTCAAGCGATTCTCCTGCCTCAGCCTCCTGAGTAGCTGGGATTACAGGCGCCTACCATAACGCCTGGCTAATTTTTGTATTTTTAGTAGAGACAGGGTTTTGCCATGTTGGCCAGGCTGGTCTCCGACTCCTGACCTCAGGTGATCCGTCCACCTTGGCCTCAAAAAGTGCTGGGATTACAGGCGTGAACCACCGCGCCCAGCTGTAAGTTTCTTTGATCAATCGAATGTGGCAGAGGGACATGGTGCTAGTTCCTGGCCTAGGCCTCAAGAGGTCTTGTCTATTTCTTATTGTTCTCTTAGAAGGCCACTGCTACCATGTGAACGGCTCACCTGCTGGGGGATGAGCGATCACATGGCTCCTTCAACCCTGTCCCCAGAGCCGCCAGCCAGCCGACTGGGAGATATGGGAATGAGGACATCCTAGACCAGCCTCCTCACCTCCTCCCCAGTGCCCGAATAGACCTGACCACTGACTGATGGAAACACTCAAGTGAACTAGCCAAGATCAGCAGGTCCTGGCCCAGATCAGCAGAACCACCCGGCTGGCCCATAGACTCTGAGCAATAATAGACAGATACTTCGTGTTTTAAGCCACTGAGTTAGAGGTGGTTTATTGTTCAGCAACAACTAACTGATATGGATGCCTAGGAAAATCTGGCATAAAAAGGCTGCCACTGCAGTAAATAGAAGCAGTTCATTTTTCTGTTTGTTTGTTTGCTTGTTTAGAGATGGGGTCTTGCCCTGTTGCCCAGGCTGGAGTACAGTGTCACCATTATAGCTCACTGCAGATTCAAACTCATGGGCTCAAAAGATCCTCCCACCTTAGCTTCCCAAGTAGCTAGGACTACAGGCATGCACCACCATGCATTGCTAACTTTTTCAATTTGTATTTTTTTTTGGTCAAGACAGGATTTTGCTTGCAAGAAAACAAGCTCAGGGCTCCCACTGATTCTACATTATGACAAGTTGTATAATTATTTCATTATGTATTACAATAATAAAAAGAAAAATAAAGTGCACAATAAATGTCATGTACTTGAATCATCCAAACACCATCCTCCCCCCACACCCAGCCCATGAAAAAATTGTCTTCCATGAAACTGGTTCCTGGTGCCAAAAAGTTGGGGACTGCTGGATTAGGGACTCAGTAGACTTCCTCTGACATCTCATTGGCCAGAATAATGTCACATGACCATTCTTAGCTGCAAGGGAAGCTGGGAAAGAGAGCCTGGCACATGGCATACAGCAGCCCTGAGCAGTAGATGAAGAAAGAATGAGTATAGTGGGTAAATAAGAGTCTGTCAGAGGCCAGGCATGGCAGCTCACACCTGTAATCCCAGCACTTTGGGAGGCTGAGGCAGGTGGATCACCTGAGGTCAGGACTTTGAGACCAGCCTGACCAACCTGGCAAAACCCCATCTCTACTAAAAATACAAAAATTAGCCAGGCATGGTAGCGTGCACCTGTAGTCCCAGCTACTCAGGAGGCTGAGATGGGAGAATTGCTTGAACCCAGGAGGCAGAGGTTGCAGTGAACCGAGATAAGCACCATTGCACTCTAGCCTGTGTGACAGAGTGAGACTCCATCTCGAAGAAAAAAAAAAGTCTGCCAGAGAAATACCACAAACACACAGCTGAAGACTCTGTCAAAGAAGTGAGAAGTAATTAGAGAATTTACCATTCTGTAATTATTCAGTTAATACTTGCGTACTTGCGTTAAGTTTTAGGATTTAGTAAATGCCCCATAAGTGTTAGGATTGACATCTCAGCTCCACCTGTCACTGGGTGTATTCTTCTGGGCAAATCAATTAACCTGTCTGGACATCAATCCCTTCATTTGCAAAATGAAGGAGATAATCTCTCCTCTTATAGGTTCCTTGGAAGAGTCAAAAAGTAAAATGGAGAAACTGAGAAGTGTTATCTAAATGTCGACTGTGTTCTTTTAGGAATGCACCAGCATTTCTGGAACCACAGGAAGGTGAGTCCATTTCTTAAGGAATCACTCTTAGGCACTCTGCCAGATGTCTCCCTGCCACCAAACTTCCTTTCCCACAGGACTGTGAATGGGTCTGCGGTTGTGACTTTTTGTTGTAGTTGCGTCCCCAGAAGAGAGATACAGTGAGAGCATCAACCACATGCTTATCTCATTCTTACTTCTAAAGTGTGTCATCTTTCTCCCCAGTCTGATTTTCATTGCTTGAGTTCCTGGGCAGAAAGCTTAGGCTAGTTGTTCTCAATCCTGGCTTCATAACAATGGGTAAGGGGCTTTGTAAAAATACTCATGCTTGGGACCCCACCTAAGACCAGAGAGATCAGAACTTAGGAGGATGCAGCTAAGGCATGGGAGCTGTTTACATCTCCCTGGACAATTTTAGAGTGCAGCTGGGGTTGTGAACCAGTGACCTAGGTCAGATGGCCCTTCTGGAACCTGCAGTGCTCAGTAGAGTACCTGCAATCTCTCCACTAGATGTTGTGGAAGCACCAGCTGGTTTGCATGAGGTTTGCTACGTGGCTGAGACAGAAAGGTTAAGGGTGGTGATGGTGGTGCTGGGGGACCAAATCCTAGGAGAGAGCTCTTCAGCTGAGAGACACAAGGCAAAATATAATTGCTAAGTGGGCAATGGGGCTTCATCCATTTGGCAGTTCCCCTTTTCCCCAACCCCAAGGAGAAGGAAACAGTTAAACCAAAAAAAGAGGCATCAGAGTCATCCTGAAACTTCTCAGTAATGAAACGCCTCAATATTCAGAGGGAGAGTGCCCTGTTCTTTCTTGCTCTGTCGCCCAGGCTGGAGTGCAGTGGGGCAGTCATAGCTCACTGCAGCCTGAAATCCTGGGCTGAAGCAATCCTCCTGCCTCAGGTTCCTGAGTAATTGGGACTCCAGGTGCTGCCACAACGCCTGGCTTTTTATTTTATTTTATTTTTATTTTTAAAGATGGGGGTCTTACTCGGTTGCCCATAATGTTCTCAAATTCCTGGCCTCAAGGGATACTCCATCTCGGCCTCCCAAAGTACTAGGATTACAGGTGTGAGCCACCATGCCTGGCTGCCCCACTTCTTTTAATCTTGTAGCCTGCAGATAACATATGTCAGATACAGCCTGTCTTCACAAAATGCTGGCTCTTTTCATGAATATTCAATGGTTTTGCCTACATTATCTCAATCTCTCTCCCCAACTCATCTTTAGGTGTAGTGGCTGGCACTTAAAAAAAATAAAGTCTATCAAGACACCTTCTAATGAAGCCAGGGAAAAAAAAGACCCCTAGGAGTCCCACTGCGTGCCAGACTCAGGCTAAATGCTTTTAAGGACCAAATCTCTCAAATGATTTTTATCTTCATGGTTTATTCAATCATTAGTCTCCTCAAATTAGCAGCTATGCCTCTGATGGGCAACTGTCGATCCTTATCAAAATGAAAGCATTAAAACATATTTCAACCTTGGAGACAAATGGTTGTGGCATTTGAAGAAGAGAAGCCTTCAGGATCTTGCATGGCAGAAAACTGCAGGCTAGAAACCCTGCTCCAGATTTTAAGCAATGGACTTGTGATGATTCTTTTTTCTCTGATAAATACCTGGTTTTCAAAAGCAGTCTAATTAGTATGGATCTCCACTTTGCAAGGCTTAAAAGTGTATTTGGGCTTCCTCTCACTAAACCAGTCTCGTGGGACCACCCAGAGTCTAAGCTCTCCCCTTCCAGATGCTGAATATGCATGAGTAACCCTCTATCTCCCAGTCCCCTGCAGTTAGGCAGGGCCAAGTGACTGGTTCACCAATGGGCAAGGAGCAAAAGTGATGTGTGCACGATCCTACAGAGGCAATAAAAGCCATGTGTTAAAGAGGCGGGTGGGTCACCTGAGGTCAAGAGTTCGGGACTAGCCTGGCCAACGTAGTGAAACCCCATCTCTACTAAAAATACAAAAAATTAGCCAGGCGTGGTGGTGGGTGACTGTAATTCCAGTTACTCGGGAGGCTGAGGCAGGAGAATTGGTTGAACCCAGGAGGCAGAGGTTGCAGTGAGCTGAGATTGCGCCACTGCACTCCAGCCTGGGCAAAAAGAGCAAATCTCAAAAAACAAAAACAAAAAACAGACAAACAAACAAACAAAACCATGAAACTGATGATCCGCAGCTTCCAAATAAGATCTTAGGAGTTGGATGAATGGGCTCAAGCATGAGCTTTAAGAGGCAAAATGGCGGAGTTTAACTGGTATATGACCTTGTAGAGACATTAGGCTGGTAAGGGAAGAACACCTCATATAACTCCAGTAAGCACACTGCACATTCCACTGCCACCCCCACAAATGTTAGCAGGCCACTGCACATACGGATAGCCCACTCCAAGGGAAGGATCAGGGGAGAAGGGATGCGAGACCCTGGAAGTAGGCCAACATATAAAACCCTCTGTCAAAGGTCAAATGGGACACTTGAGAGGTTAAGTATCACCTCCTAGGACTATTGCCACGATCTCTGTCTTGTAGGGTTTCATGCACTTGGCCCTGCTCCAAGGGTACTCGCCTTCCTTTAATTCCTGCTCTAAAGCTTTTTAAGAAACTTTCACTCCTGCTCTGAAACTCGCCTGTCTCTCCTTCTGCCTTCTGCCCCTCAGCTGAATTCTTTCTCTTGAGGAGGCAGGAATTGAGGTTGTGGCAGACCCGTATGGATTTGCCAGGGTAACACCAGGATGCTGAAGAGAGTGCCTATCATAACCCCATTTTGGAAGACCCCATTGGGACCCTACTGAATAATGATTGAATGCTAACTATGTGCCAGGCCCTGTGCTGGCACAGGGGATAATAGAGTGGTTAGCAGAGCAAACACCATCTTATTGGCCTGCAGTTTACAGTCTGCTGGAAGAGGCAGCCACTTGCCAATAAGCACGCCAGTGAGCACTAAATAACTAACAGAGGGCCAGGCATAGTGGCTCATGCCTGTAATCCTACTTCTTTGGAGGCCAAGGTGGGTGGATCACTTGAGCCCAAGAGTTCAAGACCAGCCTGGACAACATGGCAAAACCCCATTCTATAAGGAACATAAAAATTAGCCGGGCATGGTGGCACACACCTGTAGTTGCAACTACTTGGGAGGCTGAGGGGGGAGAATTGCCCGACCCGGGGAGGTCGAGGCTGCAGTGAGCCGTGATCGTGCACTTCAGCCTGAGTGACAGAGTGGTGAGACCCTGTCTCAAAAAACAAACAAACAAAAAACGAAACTAACAGAGGTAAATGCTTTGAAGGAAAGAAACCAGTTTTTATGACACTGTGAGTCAAAGGGACCTAGTGCAGCATGGGGGAATTAGGGAAGGCTTCTCTGAAATCTTGAAGCTCAGCACACTAGCCCATGGGGGTCTGTTTCAGGGTGTCACCTTCGGGAGCACTTACAGAGTGAAGCTCTGTGACAAATGCTGGACACACACAGTTCTCCTTTGATCATTGCAATAGTCCTAGGAGGTAATACTATTATAATAGGAGCCCCAATGTACAGAGGTGGAAACTGAGGCTCAGAGGGACGAGATCATATGCCCCCAGGGCATTTAACAAGGAAGTGCAAACAGGGATTTGAACCCTCATCTGCTGACTCCAAAATTAACGCTCACTGCATTTCCTTGGCCCTTGCAAAGCCAGCCAAGGAAGTTAGTCATACAGGAAGTAGCCCCTCAGAAGTCCCACAGCAGGAGATCAAAATGAAACAAGCAAGCAGATGTTTACAAGCTGCCTGGAAAAGCCACCCACCACAAGAGCAGGGAATCATTCTCCCTCTACCCCAACCCCTCCTTCAAAGCTCCTAAAAAGCTTCCTTTTTCATTTTTACAGAGTCCCCTCTCCACCCCCTTTTCCCCCAGAGGACTGACTTCATCCTTTCAGCAGATGGGAAGGCGTGGGCTGCCGGCCCTACAGTAGCACAATCACCAATGATGACTTCCCTCCAATCTTAACCCAGATGAAAATGACAGAGACACACCAGCTCTTTCTTCTCTTGGCTTTTCCCGAAGCTTCCCTTTCCATTAGGCCACTGGGGGTTGGCGCCCGAAGCTTCCCTTTCTCACCAGAATAGAAGCAGGAAGTCTTGGGGTAGCTGCGTTGAAATGTTGGCTGGTACGAGCATGTTGTTTTGTTTTTATAGAAGGACTAAACAGATCCCCCACACAGACACAATACACATTCAGAGGCATGATTCCCATATAGATACACATGTGCACACATGCACGCATAGATATACATGCTTGTGAGTCACACACATTCACTCATAGCTAACACTTGTATAGCACTTACTGTGTTCCAGACAGTATCCTAGGTCAGGGCAAACTGTGGACCATGGACCAAATCCTGCCTGCAGCCTCTTCGTGTAAATAAATTTTATTGGAACACAGCGGCTCTGTGTTTAGAGAGAGTCAGGCCAAGGAACAAGTGACCCAGATAGGTCAGAAAGTGACTCTGGGAATCTAGAAGGGTGTGAGCCAGGCCTGGATTGGTTTTGCAAGAATGAAAATGGCTTTCTTGTTTGTTTGTTTGTTTATCATAGAAGTGATATATGCTCACTGTAAAAAGTTCAAGTATACAGAAATGTCTAGGAAAGAAGTAAAGATCTTTGGACACCCCTAGAAACTCAGGCCAAAGCTTCCCCACTTAGCAATCAGGAGTGGGAGAGAGGGGTTGCCCATCCACCCCTGCCTATCCCTTCAGGACAAAAACATCAATTCCCATGACCTCATCTGCCTGCCTTGAGACAGTGGGTGTTGGGGACAATGGCAGGATGTGGACTTCCAATGTAGCAATCTGACATCAGCCTTAGCCTGGAGCTGGGTAGTGCCCATGATCAAAGCCCCTGGAAGGGACCAGTTCAGCTTGTATCAGAGCCATCCTTGGGGTGACTAATAATAATGATTTTGATTGAACATTCACTACTACCAGACACCACTCAAAAGATGAAATTAACTCATTGAATCCTTGTGACCATCCTAGGAGTTAGGTACCCTAATGCTCTTCTTACAGAAGATGAAGCAGGCTCAGAGAGGTAAAGTAATTTCCCCAAGGTCACACAGCCAGGAAACAGCAGAGCCAGAACTGATGTCCCAGTGATCTTGTGCCAGAGCCATGTGCTCTTCCTCACAAGGCTGATGTGATGTTTGGAGGCTGGAGGCTGGAGTATTTAGAATCCTCAGTATACAATTGAGGAAATGAGGTTCTGAAAGGTTGAGTGACTTGCCTAAGGTCATACAGCCAACAAGCAGGAGCTCCAGGAAAGAAGTTCAGGGTCATGTGACTTCAGAGCTGGTTCTTAGTGCTGGGTTTCCCCAACTCCAGCCCTTGGGGAGTATCTTTGCCACCTCACGGTACCTCCTGCAAGACAATTTGTTTACTCTTTCTTCTTTTTTTATTTTTTGAGATGGAGTCTCACTTTGCCGCCCAGGCTGGAGTGCAATGGCGTGATCTCAGCTCACTGCAACCTCCGCCTCCCAGGTTCAAGCAATTCTCCTGCCCCAGCCTCCCAAGTAGCTGGGATTACAGGCCCCCCCACCACGCCTGGCTAAGTTTTGTATTTTTAGTAGAGACGGGGTTTTGTCACGTAGGCCAGGCTGGTCTTAAACTCCTGACCTCAGGTGATCCACCCGCCTTGGCCTCCTAAAATGCTGGGATTACATGCGTGAGTCACTGCGCCCGGGCTGTTTACTCCTTAACACTGCTGCCATGGACTTATGTGTCCCTCATAAATGCATGTGCTGAAACCTAATCGCCAATGTGAGGATACAAGGCGCTCTTGAAAGGTGATTAGGTCATGGGGGAAGAGTTCTCATGAAGGGATTAGTGGCCTTCTGTAAGAGGCATCAGAGAGCTCCCTCACCCCTTCTGCCACGTGAGGACACAGCGAGAAGGCACCATCTGTGAAACAGGAAGTGGGCCCTCCGCAGACAACAAATCTACCGGCACATTGATCTTGGACCTCCCGGCCTTTAGAACTGTGAGGAATACATTTCTGTTTTGTTGTTGTTGTTTTTTTTTTTTTGATGGAGTCTCGCTCTGTTGCCCAGGTTGGAGTGCAATGGCAAGATCTTGGCTCACTGCGACCTCTGTCTCGCGGGTTCAAGCCATTCTCCTGCCTCAGCCTCCTGAGTAGCTGGGATTACAGACGTGTGCCATCATGCCTGGCTAATTTTTGTATTTTTAGTAGAGATGGGGTTTCACCATGTTGGCCAGGCTGGTCTTGAACTCCTGACCTCAGGTGATCCACCCCCCTCGGCCTGCCAAAGTGCTGGGATTACAGGTGTGAGCCACTGCGCCTGGCTGAGAAATATTCTGTGTTTATAAGCCACCCAGTTTAGGGTATCTTGTTATAGCAGCTCACATGGACTAAGATAGTTGCTTGTTGTTGTTTTTTTTTTCTCTAGCCTTATTCCAAACTCTATCTGTGAAATTATTGGTTTAATGTGCTAGTTATACATATTTTTCTACTACATTAAATACCTACTAAGCTAAAACATGTATGTCATGTGTTCCATGAATGGTACATGTGCTCAGCTATAAAAAAACACACTAGTTTCTTGGACCAGACATAAATCCCACCCTTAAGGAAGTTTTGGGTGAATTGGGGAGATGGACAGTGTTATGGGCTTAATTGTGTCCCCTCCCTGCCATTCGTATATTGAAGTCCTAAGCCCCAGCACCTTAGAATGTAATCATATTTGGAAGTAAGGGTTTTCAATAGGTGATTAAGTTAAAATGCAGCACCATCATAGCTTGCCGCAGTCTCAAACTGCTGGGCTCAAGCAATCCTCCTACCTCAGCCTCAAAAGTGGTTGGGACCACAGGCACACAGCACCATACTCAGCTAATTTTTAAAAATTTTTTGTAGAGATAGTGTCTCACTATGTTGCCCAGGCTGGTCTTGAACAACTAGCCTCAAATGATCTCCCATCTTTGGCCTCCCAAAGGGCTGGGATTACAGGTGTGAGCCACAGTGCCCAGACTCCAACTTTTTATTATTTATTTTTATTTTTTTGAGATGGAGTCTTGTTCTGTTGCCCGGACTGGAGTACAGTGGTGCGATCTCAGCTCACTGCAACCTCCGCCTCCTGGGTTCAAGCAATTCTCTTGCCTCAGCCTCTTGAGTAGCTGGGATTGCAGGTGCCCACCACCATGCCCAGCTAATTTTTATATTTTTAGTGGAGACAGAGTTTCACCATGTTGGCCAAGCTGGTCTCGAACTCCTGACCTCAAATGATCCACCTGCCTCGGCCTCCCAAAGTGCTGGGATTACAGATGTGAGCCACCACGCCCAGTCTCCAACTTCTTTTTGGTGTGTGAAAGAAACTTTTATCTTACTTAGCCCTGTTATTTTGTTATAAGGAGAGGGACCTAATCCTAATTCTAACTGATTTCAGCTGCTTATAAAACTGGGAAAATATCACATTCAAATCCAATTTTCTGTCTTTACTTGAAAAATAAGATCGGTCACACTGTGCCCATGTTCCCATGTGGCAGTGGCGAGGCAGGGGCTCAGGAGGGGCTGTCTGCTCCATCTCCAGTTCACATAGTCCTCATGAATCACAATCTATATGTGATATCCACCTGACTTGCTGGTTTATCTTGTCTGCCTGCCCCTGTAGGCATTTGAGTTTGTGACCCCTGACTCATTTTCTCTGAGCCTCAATTTCCTCACTGACAAAATAGGGCTAATTTTAGAGTCTCCTTGTTAGGCATTTTTTTCTTTTTTTGAGACAGAGTGTCACTCTGTCACCCAGGCTGGAGTGCAGTGGCACAGTCTCGGCTCACTGCAACCCCCACCTCCCAGGCTCAAGTGATCCTCCTACCTCAGCCTCCCGAGTAGCTGGGATTACAGGCACGCACGACCACACCTGGCTAATTTTTGTATTTTTAGTAGAGACGGGGTTTCACCACGTTGGCCAGGCTGGTCTCAAACTCCTGACCTCAAGTGATCTGCCTGCCTGGGCCTCCCAAAGTGCTGGGATTACAGGCATAGACCACCACGCTCGGCCTCCTTGTTAGGCTTTTGCGAAGATGAGATGAGTTGCTAGATGCAAAGTGATATTTACAAGTCTCAGGAGTGAGGGCCACTGCTATCATTGTTACTGTTATTATCATTATCACCATCATTACCAGTATGGAAAGGAATTTGCCTTTTTTGGTGGTTGATCCAAAATCAGAAGGAGAGAAAGCAGGGGAACAGCTCAGATGCTAGCAAGAGTTTCTAGAGTGTGTTCATGCCTGCGGATGACTTTTCTTTTCCGCCCAGGGACAGAGTTTCCGATGTTCATTTATTTAATCCCTCTTGGAAAGTGTTAGCAGCTCGTTGCATCTGTAAAGGATGGAGGTGCCTTTGATCACTTCAATCAACTCACAGCTTCTCCCTTCCCAAAGGCAAGAGGCACCCTTGGCTTCCTCCTGCAAGGGCTCTGGGTACAAGCCTGAGCTTGCTGCCACCGTTAGTCTCCCACTGTGCTGGGGCTGAGGGAGGGGGCTGCCGGGCCCACGGTGGAGTTTGGGGGGATTTCAGGTTAACCCACAGTATATGGGAGGGTGGGTTTCTTTTCCTTTGTGCCGTCATTTTTCCAAGGCGGCAATCAAAGGAGAGCAACCTGTGGTATAATTCAAGGCTGGCAAAGAGACAGACAAAGATGATGGCAGAGGTGCCTCCCCTGCAGCCTGTGGATCCATACTGCACTCACGTCCTCACTCTGAAGGTGGCCTCCTATGAACACCTGCAGCTCAGGCCCGGGAGTTCTTATCTGTTTGTGACAGGACATTCCACCCACATGTAGGACAAGGCAGACATTGCTGGAGTGTTTGAGCCGCAGGGAGCAGCGCTCAACCAACCATGGATGGGACTGGTGGATAATCGCCCAGCTCCCTTCCCTTTCCATGGGACAGCTCTGGGATGCATGCTTTGCCCTGGCCCCAGCAGAGCTGAACCTCAGTTGCCACCTGCCCCCCAGCCCCCTCCGTAGGAACATGCCTGGGGACACACCCTTCCTTGGCTGCCTTCCCGTTCCCATCCCTGTCTCTCACTGTCCCCTCCCTCCTGGTGTTTCCTGAATCACTGTGCAAATAAACTACTCACACCCCAGCTCCTGTTTCAGGGTCCACTTCTTGAGGGGTGTAAGCTAATCAGTCTGTGCAGTTTGGTTCTGGAGGTCACTGAAAAGACTCACTCCTCCCTCTTTCTACCCTGAAGACGGAAAGCTCCCTTTCCCCATCCAGATGTGAACTCTGACTGCAGTGAAGTGAGACCTTGGGTGGGGGGCAGGAGAGGGACCCAAGGGTTGACAAGAGTAAGGAATGGTAGAAGAAAGGGCTTGGGGTGCTCCAGTGTGCCCCGAGAACTGAGGAGGAGGCCCATGCCATACCCACAAACTTTTCATTAGTTAAGTGAAGTATGGATGGAATGATCTTTGGATGCCATTCGAGCCTGCTAGCCAAGTTGTTCCTGTCTGTACCACCCCACCCAGCCAGTGTACAGCAGGGAGTGGAGGTAGCAGTCATACAGTATGGTGGTTAGGAGCTCAAGCTCTGGGTTTAAATAAACCTGGGCTCAGCTGCTGGCTTTCCTACTCATAAGCTGTGTGATCTTTAGCAAGTCACTTAACCTCTCTGAGCCTCAGTTGATATTCCAGCAACACTGCAATGAGCCTTCCTGCACATGTGCCCTTGGGCAACAGGCAGGAGCTTCTCTAGGACATATCCCTGGTGACCAGACGTGCTGAGTCGTAGGGTCTGGACAACTTCTGCATTTATTCATGAGGGCTGGCGCGCTTGGCAGTGATTAAAAACGTGGACTCACATCAGCAAGCGGTGTGTGCTTCTCGGGTGCTCTGATACATCCCTTACAAACACAAACGGAATTACAGTATGCAATCAACTTGCTTTTTTTTTTTTCACCACGTATACGTATTGGAGATCTTTCCATATCTAGCCACCTCAATATGCCTCATTTTAAAAACCATTTTATTGAATCATAATTATAGAAAATTGCATAGCAGGATGAACTTTTACAGTGTGAAAAACACTTGAGTAATCAGTACTGAAATCCAAAACCAGAATGTTACCTCTATTCCAGAACCCCCCTGCTGGTCCCTCCCCTCCCTCAACCACAACGGATTTATAAATATGTACTCTTGGCGTATGTGTGTCTAGCTTCTTTGGCTAAGAACTAGTTTATGAGATTTATGGATGTTGTTGCATGTAGTGACATTTTGGCAATGCCTGGAGACATTTTTGGTTGCCCCGACTTGCAGAGGGAAGTGCTACTGGCATCTTGTGGGTGGAGGCTTCAAAACGTCCTCCACCCCCCACTCAGGACAGCCCCCACTACAAAAATAATCTGGCCCCCAAGTGTCAGTAGTGCCTAGCTTGGGAAATCCTGTTATACACTGTGTGAGGGACTTAGGGGTTTGTTCTAAGAGTACTGGAGAAACCACGGCCTTTGTTCAGCTTTTAAATACTGCAAACTATTTTCCAAAGTGGCTGTGTCCTCTTTCTTTGTGAATACCTGCATTCTTTCCCATCATGTGGGTGTATCATTTTACCAGTTCCCATCCATTAATTTTATATTGTTTCCAGTCTTTTGGCCATTACACCAGTGCCAAAATGAGAATCCTTGTAACAGTCTATAGCAGGCTTGTCCAACCCACAGCCTGTGGGCTGCATGCAGCCCAGGATGGTTTTGAATGTGGCCCAACACAAATTTGTAAACTTTCTTAAAACATTATGAGATATATTTATTTATTTATTTTTAGCTCATCAGCTTTCATTAGTATTTGTGTATTTTATGTGTGGCCCAAGACAATTCTTCTTCCAGTGTGGCCCAGGGAAGCCAAAAGATTGAACACCCATGGTCTACAGTATTTGGAAAGAATATCAGCCAGGCGCAGTGGCTCAGGCCTGTATCCTAGCACTTTGGGAGGCCGAGGCAGGCAGATCACTTGAGGTCAGGAGTTTGAGACCAGCCTGGCCAACATGGTGAACCCCCATCTCTACTAAAAGCACAAAAATTTGCTGGGCATGGTGGCATTTGCCTGTAATCCCAGCTACTTGGGAGGCTGAGGCAGAAGAATCGTTTGAACCCGGGAGGCGGAGGTTGTGGTGAGCCAAGATTGTGCCATGGCACTCTAGCCTGGGCCACAGAGTGAGACTCCATCTCAAAAAAAAAAAAAAAGAAAAAGAATATCATATTTGGATATAAGTGTATGCACGTGTGTGTGCACACACACACACACACACACACACCCCATTTTCTGGAGACCCCAGACAATGGGACACGACTAAATTTGATTTACATGTAAACTTCCTTCATTCCCTGCATGTTTAATATTGAACTTGCTTGCAGAAATAGCTCTCATCATCTTGGCTTCTGCCCCGGCTTCACATCTCGTGCATGTGGACACACGATCTGGAAAGATAAACAGGAAATCCCTCCCGGCATGGGAAAATGGAGGAGGCCTCTGTTCCTCTGAGAGCTGGGACTCAAAAAAGCTAAGTGTCAGCCTGGTTGGGGCCAAGGGGACTCCCTGCCTGCAAACAGGACTGGGCAGCTCTGGGGAAGATGTTGCAATTTTTTTTTCCTCTAAATGCTTCATGTGAACTAATTCCACTTTGAAATTAATCTCTGGCATCTAGTTGCCTTCTATTTTTTTCTTTAAAACAATATTTTAACCTAAATTTATAGATCTGGACCTGCCTCTGTGCCTTTTATCTTTGTCTAAAATTCAAGTAATGGGTAATACTTTGATTTCAAATGCATTAAACTATAACCACATAATATGTATTGATCATTTTTAACCTCGCCTGTTTTTCAAGCAGCTAGATTTAACAATTTCTCTAAAGTTAACTCTAAATGTTACAGGAACAGTAAAGTCAATAGAACAGAAATTTAAAAATACATATCATATAAAGGAAGGCTAAACCCAGATTCATGCAGTTACTCTTAATAAGAATTAGATTTAGCTCTGAGCTTTCTGGCAAAGCAATAAGGAAAACGCAATGCATCACCCAATATCTTGTTTTCTTGTCAAAGGAAAACTGCACATCTTTAGCTGAGATAATTATTTTCTTGATCTTAAGTTCTGAAATCAGCAGATGTGAACATTTAAAATTTATCCTTCCGGTCTATGTTTTCATCTCTGCTCTTCTTACTTACCCTGGATGGAATATAGGTGCCATGTTGTCACCCCTGTACTGAATTGATAGCTGCCTGGTTGACCGCTTTCTATGTGCCTGGCACTAGGCTGTGTGCTTTACCCTTGGAATATCAACTGTTATTATCCCACGTTACTGCTACAGGAATCGAGGTTCAGAGAGGTTAAGTAACAGCCTCCAACTCATACTTGGCAAGTACTGGAGTTGACAGGTAGGCAGGGCAGGGATTTTTGTCCTCTGAGAAAGAAAATAACTTGTCCAACTTCACACAGCTGGAAAACGCCAAAGCTGGGATTCAAACTAGAGAATTTAGAGATCTTACATGTCTTTAGTACCTACTAAATGCCAGGACACTTTGAGGAATGATGAGGAAGTGTAGGTCAAGGTTAAGAGAGTAGCTGACAGATCTGGGCTCAGTTCTGCCTCTTAATTGACCCTGGGCAATTTCTTAATGCCTCTGAACCTCAGTTTATTCACCTGCAAAATGGGTAGATTATAGCCTAACCTCAGAGGGTGTTATGGGAATTCGGTGAGTTGATGCCTGGGGAGGATTTAGCACAGAGCCTAATGAGGAGGGTGCCCATCAATGTCAGCTCCCATCAATGTCAACATCTTGCTGGTCAATATCAGCAAGAATCCTCGATGAGGCAAAAATCACCAGCTCTGTGCTTCAGGTGGAATCTATTTCTCTTTCTTCTCCTTTCTTCTTTCTTCTCCCCAGCCCTGCACTCCCCCAGCTCTCTGATCATCCTGAAGGGCTGAAGAAAACAACCAGGGAAAAGCTGGAGTTTAATAAATAAGCTCCCTTCGAAATGACCAGAGGGCCCCAGGCATGAGCTGTCTGCAGTGGTTTTCACAGCAAGCTTCACAGCAATACCTTAGGTTTTTATTTATATTACATTTCCCTGTTTACAAAGCCCTCATCTGCCTGCCAGTTACCTCCCTGAACTTCTCCTGCAGTTCTGAGAGGGGGTAGGGATTTCCATTCCCATTGAAAGGAGGCCCAGAGAGGTTAGTGACTTCCCCCAAAGTCACCCAGCAGAGCAGAACTCACATCTTCTGCCTCTAAGTTCAGAGATTTCTTCATAGCATCCTGCTGCAGGACAGCAGTTAATGAAACCGTTTCCGGAAATAATTAAGAGTTAGAGCTGGGAAAAACATATTTTGAATTGGCCAAGAGGGAATTGAAAAACTGCACATGTCAAATCTCTGTTTTTTTCTCCTGATGTGGCTTTTTGCCCCTCATCCCCTGTTCCTTTTGTCCCATGTTTCTCTGACTGCCTTCACTCTCTCACACATAAGCAAAGCAGCAGACTGGTTCATTCATTCATTCATTCATTCATTCACTGTTATGGACTGAATTACATTCCCTAAAATTTCTATGTTGATATTTTAAACCCCAATGTCTCAGAATTGTGACTGTATTTGGAGATAGAACATTTAAGAGGTAATTAATGTAAAATGAGGTCACATGGTTGGGCCCTAATCCAATATGACTGGTGTCCTCATAAGAATAGACTAGGACTCAGACAGTACAGGAGCAAGGGACGACCATGTGAGGACACAGCGGGACGGTGGCCACCTGCAAGCCCCAGAGAGAGACCTCAGGAGAAACCAAACCTGCCGACACCTTGATCTCAGACTTCCAGCCTCCAGAGCTATGAGAAATAAGTGTCTTCTGGGTAAGGCACCCAGGCTGTGATATTTACTTACGGCTGCCAGGACACTTCTTATTCCTTCGGATATACTTTTATACACATCTCACTTCCTGAAGATCTTGGCTGAACTGTCACCCAGCGAGGCTTCCCTGACACCTTCTTTAAAATTGCAATCACACTGCCCACCTTGTTTCATACTCCCAAATTTCCTCATCTGCTTCATTTTTCTCGTAGTACTGATCACTATCTGAATACCCATATATTTGCTTATATATATACATATATATACCCACACACATATATATATACACATATATATATATATATATTTTTTTTTTTTTGGAGACAGAGTTTTGCTCTGTCACCCAGGCTGGAGTGCAGTGGTGCGATCTTGGCTCACCGCAAGCTCTGCCTCCTGGGTTCAAGTGATTCTCCTGCCCCAGCATCCTGAATAGCTGGGACTACAGGCGCCTGCCACCACGCCCAGCTGATTTTTGTATTTTTTAGTAGAGACAGGGTTTTGCCAAGTTGGAGAGCCTGGTCTCAACTCCTGACCTCAGGTGATCCGCCTGCCTCAGCCTCCCAAAGTGCTGGGATTACAGGCGTGAGCCACCACACCCAGCCACTTTTTTGTGTTTTCATTTCCCCTGCCCCAACACTGGTAGATAATTATAATGAGGGCAGGGAGTGTCTGTCTGTTTTGTTCACTGTAATTAACGTACAGTGTTTGCATCTGTAGTGTCTAGAACAAGGTCTTGCTCACAGTAGGTAATTAATTAAGTGTACCTTGAATGAATGAAGTCGTGCACCCACTCATTCAAGCAACAAACAGTAATGGTGCTGTGGCTTAGTGCCAGGCACTACGCCGGGGGCTGGGATATACCTGGAGACTCATACTGGACTGGGAGATGCTAGATACCAGCGCCCACATCATACTCATGCTTGCAACTTCTGTGTCTATTCCAGGCTTGGCCTAGGGATTGCTGTAGTTTTTCCTTGGCCTAGGGACTGCTGTATTTTTTTTTTCTGACAACCCTACACACGGATTTGCTTCACTTATGCAACCTTCAGAGTAGATACCTGGAAAACATTCGCACTGATTTTTAAACAACTTTTAATTTTTTTTGAGACAGAGTCTCGCTGTGTTGCCCAGGCAGGAGTGCAGTGGCGTCGTCTTGGCTCACTGCAGCCTCCACCTCCCAGGTTCAAGCAATTCTCCTGCCTCAGCCTCCTGAGTAGCTGGGACCACAGACATGTGCCACCATGCCTGGGTAATTTTTGTATTTTTAGTAGAGATGGCGTTTCACCATGTTGGCCAAACTGGTCTTGAACTCCTGACCTCAGGTGATCCACCCACCTTGGCCTCCCGAAGTGCTGGGATTACAGGTGTGAGCCACCGCGCCCAGCCAACTTTTAATTTTTAAATAATTTTAGATTTCCAGAAAAGTTGCAGAGATAGTACAGAGAATTCCAGTATACGCTTCACCCACTTATCCTAATGTTAACATTAAACAAAACCAAGGTGAATTTGTCCGACCAAAGAAATTCAGGCTGACAGATGTTAATACATACAACCTCTGCATTCTTGGTCCCCAGAACAGGGTAAAGGAGAGCTGACAGCTGCACTTGGGTTCTTGAATACAGTGGTCACTTCTGCTATAGCCCATTGGTTAGAACCAGTTACGAGACTTCACCTCACTGCAAGGGGGCTGTGAAATGCAGCTTTCCTTTGGCCCAAAAAAGAAGGAAACGAAAGAGGACTTGGAGGCCAGGTGCCGTGGCTCACGCCTTTCATCCCAGCACTTTGGGAGGTCAAGGTGGGCGATTCCTTGAGCCCAGGAGTTCAAGACCAGCCTGGCCACATAGCAAGACCTCGTCTCTGTAAAAATTAACTCGAAGTGCTGGTGTGCACCTGTGGTCCCAGCTACTTGGGAAGCTGAAGTGGGAGGATCACTGGAACCCAGGAAGTCAAGGCTGCATTGAGGCATGACTGCACCACTACACTCCAGCCTAGATGACAGGGTAAGACTGTCTCAAAAAAAAAAAAAAAAAAAGAGGACTTGGTGGACACATGACATTGTGTGCTATGTGTTCAATTCCTTCCCTTTAAGTGGAATTTATCAGTGATATGTGGCTAAACTCCTCCAAGGTGGAGAGAGATCCTCCATTCCTGTCCACTTGCCTCAACTCCCAGCATAGGTTGGCACACACACACAAAGGTACATTGTCAGGGCTTGCGGACTGCATAAATATCTGAATAAATCAACGAATGATCATCTGACTTTTCGCCTGGCTTTGGGCAGCGCACACTCTGAGTCATATTTAATTCCCTCACTCCCAGGCTGAACTCTTTAAAAGATCCTAATTAGATTCTTAGAAGAAATAATACCCATCAGACAAACAAATGACAGGAGGTTGCCTGTGGAGCTAAACTCCCGGCTGGGAAAATGTAATAAGCGGGCCTATCCCTCTGGGGACTAGACAGATATGGGAAAAAAGGTCATGCCAATTCTTAGCAGGCGCACTGCCCATAAATAGTGTCCTTCAGGGATCAATGCCCCGTTTGCCGTTAGTCTGACGAGGAAGAGGGAACACTTTTATGTGACTATAAGGACGTACTTTGTTTCTGAAGAAATTAAGCTCCTGAGTGTTCTGGATTGTTAACAAGGGTGTTTTTATAACCGAAAAGGCTGTATTACGAGGAATATTTCAGAACGATCTCTATTCTGCACCTTGCAAAGCAAGCCTTCCTGGGAAGGCATAAGACACTTTTATATTCTTGCCTATTTATTATTCTCCTTGCGAATATACATGGTTTGTCACAGTATCTTATTCAGTCTCAAAAGGAACCTCTGAATTTTTCTAGAACAACCAGCTCACTTTGTGGATGAGGAAATGAAGGACCAGATAAACATGTTTAATTTTGCACGATTTAATATCTGGCTGAGTGGGTTGGGCACTGCACAACTCTAGAAGGTGCTATGAATACGGGCTGCTATATGAATGGCACCTCCTGGGATTGTACAACTTAATGGTCCTATATGCTTCCATTGTGAAGAAAGAATGTTCTCAAATTGCTATGATTAAAAAATGATTTTTTGTTGCTTTGAATGAAAAAATGTATACTAATTTCAAGTATCATTTGATTAGATGATTTCGAGAACATTAGCATAGCTTTGCAAAGTAAGATTCTCAAACTCGAAGAGTTCCATATTTTTTGTGCTCTTTCTGAAAGTCAATATTCCATTGTAGCTAAGAGCTCAGACTCTGGAATCAGGCAGAAATGTGATTTGACCATTAATTAGCTGTGACCTTGGGCAAATCACTTTAGCTCTCTAATATCAGGCTCTTTCTTTATAATATGAACATAATATTATCTTATCACTGGGTTGGAAAATGTGACCTACAAGTGACCCATTCCCCCTACTTTTTTGTCTACTCTGAATTTGTTCCAATTAGGAGTGGGCTTGCTCTAGACTATGGATGATGGTTGGTCGATAAGCCAATCAATTGCTCAATTCCATTCCCTGCTTTCCCAGACTCCTTTGCACCTAGGGATGGTCCTGTGATCCTGTTTCGGCCAGTGGGAGTGTTGCTGTCATTTCCAGGAGATTCCATTACACTTAAGCTTGTTTCATTCTTTTACAGAGTTGTGTAGGTCCTGAAGGCTGAATACAATAGGGAAGAGCTACCAACTGGGTCCAATTGAGTCCAATCTGCCAAGCTCTGAATCAGAAATCAGAAACCCAGGTTCTCCCTCTACCTGTGCCAATGGTCCTGTTGTGTGACCCTGGGCTAGCCTCTTTCCCACTGGGATCTCAGTTTTCTCATCTGTAAAGTGTAGGAGTTCGATGGTGCCTGAGAGGTTATTTCTTTATTCATTTATTTAGGCAGAGAGGACTCTTCAGATTGCCTAGCTGGCCACTCTCTGCCTGTTATCTTTTTAGCTTCTCTGCAAGGAGAAGGTGCTAATTGGCTCCATCAGAGTCCTAGACACTCCTTGGGCCATGCATCCCTAGTGTCACTGTGTGGCAAAGGCTGCAGCTCTGCTCTTCTTCCCCTGTTACAGGCTGGGCAGTGCTCTGATCTAACGGCCTGCCTGAGCTCTTGCACATTGCCTTACATGTGAGCCATTGGGTTGGGTTGTGTATTAAGTTTGGTAAGACTCCAAGATTTATATTCATTAATTGGGAGGTGGAGTGGGACTAGAAAAAGGGTTTTAGATTACAGCCTAAACCAAGGGCTCT
The DNA here is from genome assembly GCF_000001405.40 of Homo sapiens. Lineage (NCBI taxonomy): Eukaryota > Metazoa > Chordata > Mammalia > Primates > Hominidae > Homo > Homo sapiens. The sequence goes on from NC_000016.10 coordinate 19,145,358, forward strand.
AATCTAACTCTTTTTTTTTTTTTTTTAAGAGATAGGGTCTCGCTTTGTCGCCCAGGCTGGAATGCAGTGGTGTGAGCCTAGCTCATTGCAGCCTCGAACTCCTGAGCTCAAGTGATATTCTAACTTTTTAAAGGAAGCTCTACATTGGTGACTATTAGGTCCAGATTCAACTATTAATAAAAAGGTGTTTTGATTCCAATGTAGCTGCTGCTTCTTGCATATAGCTCCCTAAGGAACTTTGGGAGTGGGGTGGAGTGAACAGGAGGGTGTTAGGAGATGGACAACAAGATTCAGGAATTGCTGGATCCCTGGTCTCAATGACATCAAAAAGATGAGCAAAATCACAACCCAAGCTAATCCCTACTTAACTTTAAACAAATATTTCTGAAACACCCAATTTCTGGCACGTCACAGCCAGCTCTGATGTTCTAAGATACAAAATTCTACTACCTTGGTTGGGACCAACATTGAACTCCAAATTCCCATCCTCCTGGTGATTTGTGGTTTCCTTTCCTGAGACCTGAATACCAGTGGTGGCTCCATGGGGACGGCACTGGGAGGTTTAACATTCCCCATCCCCCAATTTCTATCAGTCTGCCAATGTTTAATATAGACACCTGGCATTTTCTTATTCTGATGGTGTAGTAAAGGTCCTCACTTTCAAGTCTTCCTCCCTACTAGAGTCTCAACTCTAAGCCCCTTCTTGGGTCTCCTCCTCAGAGCTACCCTTCCTGAGTAGCCCCCAAAGATTTATACTTTCTAAAACAGCAGAATGGGTTCTATTCAGACAATACTTTGGTGAAAAGTAAACATCAGACTGGCACAGCTGAATCCTGGCCCTGGCTTCTAACAGCTTTGGGGGGTTAGCTCTACAAAGGCTACAGTTTATCTAAGGCACTAGGAACCCCAGGGCATTGTCAGGCCTTGCACTTTTAAAGTGGAACAGACTATTGTTGAAGACACAGGCAGGTGTTTTTAAATTGGTTGTGCACAATGTACTCTTTTTCTTTTTCCCAGGCGGGATTTAAAGAAAAAGAGAATGGCCGGGCACGGTGGCTCATGCCTATAACCCCAGCACTTTGGGAGGCTGAGGCAGGCGGATCACCTGAGGTCAGGAGTTTGAGACCAGCCTGGCCAACAGGGTAAAACCGTGTCTCTATCAAAAATACAAAAATGAGCCGGGCGTGGTAGCGTGTGCCTCTAATCCCAGCTACCTGGGAGACTGAGGCAGGAGAATCGCTGGAACCTGGGAGGCGGAGGCTGCAGTGAGCCGAGATTGCACCACTGCACTCCAGCCTGGATGACAGAGCGAGACTCCGTCTCAAAAAAATAAAATAAAATAAAATAAAATAAAAATAAAGAGAAAAGGAAGTGGGCTAGTTTACAGAAACCCCAGTGGGTGAATGGGTGGGACAAGAAGAACTCGATTCATTATCTGGTCCAGGTAGTTATTATGCCAACCTCTATAGTAGATGTTCAGAAAACAGTGGTGAAGAAAAGGACAGTCCTTGCCCTTGCAGGGTAGTGGCCTATGGGTGAAACAGACGAGTAACTAAATTACAGGCTAGCCTCGGCCAATGCCTCTCATAACATAATGTTCTTGTGAACCACCTGGGATAGTTCTAAGATGCAGATTCTGATTCAGTAGATTTGGGTTAGGGCCTGAGATTCTGCATTTCTAACAAGCTCCCAGGTGATGCTGATGGTCCAAGAACCATACTTTGGTTGGCAAGGGGCCAGGTATTAAAAGCATGGGCAGCCAGGTGGAGTGTTGCATGCCTGTAGTCCCAGCTACTCAGGAGGCTGAGGTGGGAGGTTTGTTTAAGCTGGGGAGTTCGAGGCTACAGTGAGCTATGATCGCCCCACTGCACTCCAGTCTGTTTCTAAAAAAAAAAAAAAAAAAGGCTTAACGTGACTTGGGTTTGGCAGAGGCTCAGCTCTTTTTGCTCCTTCTGTTTCTTATTCATGCCTGCTGTCACGTTGCTCTGGAAGGGACATGTGTAAGAATCTGTGTGGAACTATTCTGTTCAATTTGGTAGCTGCAGGTGGCTAATCAGCACTTGCAATGTGCCTAGTGCCACATGTTGAAATGATAATATGTTGCATATACTGGGTTAAAGAAATGTATAATAAAATGAAATATGCAATAAAGTATGTTATTAAAACTAATTTCACTGTTTCCTTTTATCTCTTTTAAAAATGTGGCTACTAGAAAATTTTAAACTAACTATGTGGCTCACATTATGTTTTTATTGGCCATCACGGGTTTGGAACCTCATTCTGTTCCTGTCTGATCCCGCTGCTGGAGGCTGGGGTGGTGTCATTGGGAAGGGGACCTATGCTAGGGTATCCTCCCAGGGGCTGGAACAGCTAGGAGAGCAGCCATGGAACAGAACCAATAGCTGAATTTGAAGAAGTGAGGAGATCAGTCACTATACCACCAGAAATTCCTATAGATGCTGTGTAGCAGTTAGCTGCTGCTGCGTAAGAAACCAACCCCAACTTAGTTGCCTAAAACAGCAACCACACATTATCGTTCATGTGCCTATGGGTCAGTTGGACTGTTTTGCTGATTTAAATCTGACTGGATTGATATTTGACTGGGCCTCTTCATTGGCCTCTGGTTTCATTAGTCTCTGGTGGGGCTTAGAAATCAGTAACGATGTATTTATTATTATTTTAATTTTCTTTATTTCAATAGATTTTGGGGTACCAGTGGTTTTTGGTTACATGGATGAATTCTATAGTGGTGAATTCTGAAATTTTAATGCACCCATCACCTGCGTAGTTTATATTGTATCCACTATGTAGTTTTTTTACTCTACACCCCCAACTCTCTCCCTTTTGAGTACCCAAACCCCATTACTGTGCTCTGTATGGCTTTGCATCCCACAGCTTAGCTCCCACTTATAAATGAGAACATACGGTATTTGGTTTTCCATTCCTGAGTTACTTTGCTTAGAATAACGGCCTCTAGCTCCATCCAAGTTGCTGCAAAAGACGTTATTTTGTCCCTTTTTATGGCTGAGTAGTATTCCATGGAGTAGATATACCACATTTTCTTTATCCACTCATTGGTCAACAGGCATTTAGGTTGGTTCCATATCTTTCCAGTTATGAATTGGGCTGCAATAACCATATGTGCGCATGTGTCTTTTTCATATGACTTCTTTTCCTTTGCTAGATACCCAGTAGTGGGATTGCTGGACCGAATGGTAGATCTACTTTTAGTTCTTTAAGGAATCTCCATACTGTTTTCCATAGAGGTTGTACTAATTTACATAGAAATCAGTAATTTTTAAGAGCTCACCCAGGTGATTCTAAGGCAGCCAGAATGGAGGACCATTGATTCAGACCCTAGAGCAGTGGTTCTCAGTCTTGAGCATGCATCAAAATCCCTTGCAGGGCTTATTAAAACATAGATTGCTGGGTTCCAGCCCCAGAGATTGTGACTCAGAAGGCTTGGGTTAGGTGCAAAGAATCTGCATTTTTTATAAGATCCCAGATGATGCTGATGCTGCTGGTCTGGAGACCATACTTTTGGGAACTACTGCACAGAGAGAAAATAGTCATGAGGCAACGATAAAAGGAGATTTCTATAAGATAATGAGGAAGCAAAGTATCTATTGGGCAGGGAGGAGGAAAAAGAGAGAAGAAATGAGGTAAGAGATTAGATTCAAGAACCCTCACTCCCTATTTCCTGGAGGAGGTAGCAAGGACAAGTGTGTTGTAGAAATCTCCAGAGAGGTTTAGCGGGATCTGAGAGAGTTGGGGGTGGTGTCCAGCTTTCCATGGCACAACCTAGAGAGAGGTTTAGTATGTGGCTCACACCTGTAATCCCAGCACCTTGGGAGGCTGAGGCAAGAGAATTGCTTGAGGCCAGGAGTTCAAGACCAGCCTGGGCAAGAGAATGAGACCCCATCTCTACAATAAATAAATTAAAACAAAATTAGCTAGGCGTGGTAGTGTGCACCTGTGGTCCTAGCTACTTGGGAGGCTGAGATGGGAGGATGGCTTACACCAGGAGTTTGAGGCTGCAAAACTCTCTCTCTAAACAAATTTTATGTTTGATATGGTTTGGCTCTGTGTCCCTACCCAAATCTCATCTTGAATTGTAATTCCCATGTGTCAAGGGAGGGACCTGTAGTCCCCAGGTGTCAAGGGAGGGAGGTGATTGGATCATGGGGGCAGTTTCCCCCATGCTGTTCTAGTGATAGTGAGTTTGTTCTTACAAGATCTCATGGTTTTACATGTGGTTAGAAATTCTTCCTTCACTCTTCTCTCTTCTGCCACCATGTGAAGGTCCTTGCTTCCCCTTCCCCTTTCACCATCATTGTAAGTTTCCTGAGGCCTCCTCAACCATGTTAGAACTGTGAGTCAATTAAACCTCTTTCCTTTATAAATCACCCAGTCTCGGGTATTTCTTTATAGCAGTGTATCAATGAACGAATACAATATTTAAAAAGAAAAGAAAAAAGGTGAGAGATTGCAGGTCTCAGAGTAATGTGCTTTGGCAGGGCACCACATTCAAGATGGTGTGGGAATGGGAGATGAACAGAGGGAAGATGTGGAGTGGAGGTGAACCTAAGGACAGCCTCCTGGACCCCGGACTGGTGCTGAACTCCCCAACCCCAGGGGCTTACAACACTCCTCACATTCCAGACCCAGATGAGAAGAATTATGGAAATAAAAAATCTTGCTCATTTTGCACAACTGAATCATAGGGGATAAGTGTCAAGTTTGCTATGGAGTATTTCACAGTTGACTAAGTTGCACCAAAAGGTTTTGGTAAATAAAGATGATCTGTCTGAGACTAGAAAGGGTCTGTGCCTTATAAGGCTTGGGTTTGCAGGGGAGGGGTTGGTAGGAGGCTCAGATATACCTATAAGGATCCCAAGTAAGACCTGATAGGCAGTTAGGTGGGGGTAGACATGGCTTTCTCGAAGAAGCTGGCTGAACTGACAGCATTAGAGTCAACTTGCAATCAAGGGGACCAGCCCCATTTACTAACTACACGGTTACTCACTGCAGCATTTTCTTTGGAGGTGGGAATTGAGAGGCAGGAAATGTCTCTCTGGGTCACTCCAGATCCAGGGGAAAGGCTTACAGTTTTTGGCTGAACTTACTCCAATGTGAAGATTGAAGGGTATGCACTTGGGTGTTGGATGCCATTCTTTCTGAGACTGTGGTGGGGGATCCACTCTCCTCATCAGGGAGGTCTGGTGGTCAGGGAGGCAAAATGTGGTCCATCAGTGAAGACAGCCCAACCACAAAGAGTCACTGTTTTGTTTTGTTTTGTTTTTTTCTCCAAGACGGAGTCTTGCTCTGTCGCCCAGGCTGGAGTGCAGTGGCACGATCTCGGCTCACTGCAACCTCTGCCTCCCAGGTTTAAATGATTCTCCTGCCTCAGCCTCCGGAGTAGCTGGGATTACATGTGCACGCACCATGCCCAGCTAATTTTTGTATTTTCAGTAGAGATGGGGTTTCACCATGTTGGCCAGGCTGGTCTCAAACTCCTGACCTCGTGATCCGCCCACCTCTGCCTCACAAAGTGCTGGGATTACAGGCGTGAGCCACAGCCCGGCCCCACAGAGTCACTATTAACTCAGGGTATGACAGTCAGGAGACACTTCCCCCTTCCGAAAGCCCAACACCGCTCTTTTAATTCAGCTCTCTCTTTATCATCCTTCCCCTTCTCCCGGTTTCCGTGCATGGTATACAGGCCCTCTACCAGAGGGGTGAAGCCTACAAAGCCGTGAATGCTGGGCAATGGGAGCATGAAAGCTTCTTTTTTAAATTTTGAGACGGGGTCTTGCCCTGTCATCCGGGCTGGAGTGCAGTGGCACAATCACAGTTCACTGCAGGCTTAACCTCCTGGGCTTAAGCAATTCTCCCTCCTCAGCCTCCCAAATAGCTGGGATTACAGGTGCCTGCCACCATGCCAGCTTTTTTTTCTTTTTTTTTCCTTCTTTCTTTTTTTTTTCTTCTTTTTTTTTTGTAGAGACTTGGTCTCTCTATGTTGCCCAGGGAAGTTAAACTCCTAGTCTCAAGCAATCTTCCTGCCTTGGCCTCCTGAAGTGCTGGGATTACAGGCATGAGGCACTGTGCCTGGCCAGTGCTTGGAAACTTCTGAGCTGAGCAGTGGCATGGTTTGTATTCTCCATATCCTGCCCCCAGGGCAGTGCTGGCTCATAGAAATTCATGCTCATTGCACCTTGTGGAATAAATGATCCAAGCAACGTTTTAGGAAGACCTGGGAAAGTTTCCTCTATTTTAGTGCATTCTCTTCTCCAGTGACCTAAAACGATTTCTGACCCATCCTGTCTCTGAAGGATGGTTTATGCTTCTTCATTTTTACTGATCTCCTGTTTGGCTTATTCACTAAGATGAGTGGCTTGAGCTTCATTGGTCTTAACTCTGAACCCACAGATATCTAGAACAATGGGGAATCAGTTAGGCTTTGACACTGAGCCCCACCAAAAATGCCTTGGTTGGCCTATCTTTGACATTTTTTTCATGATAACTTTCAAGGTTCATCAATTTTAACATAATTTGACTATTGCAAAAGGAATCAAAATGCAGCTCAAGATATAGTGTCTTCATTTGCCCTGTGTTGAGACTTCAGGGGTTAGAAATAGAATGATCAGGCCAGGAGAGGTGGATCACTCCTATAATCCCAGCACTTTGGGAGGCTGAGGTGAGAGGATCACTTGAGTCCAGGAGTTTGAGACCAGCCTGTGCAATATAGCAAGACCCTGTCTTGACAAAACAAAAACAAAAACAACAACAACAAAAAACCCAACCAGGTTTGGTGGCATAAACCTATAGTCCCAGCTACTTGGGAGGCTGAGGCAGGAGGATTGCTTGAGTCTGACAAGTTGAGGCTGTAGTGAGCTGTGATTGCACAACTGCACTCCAGCCTGAGTGACAGAGTGAGACCCTGTCTCAAAGAAAACCCCAAACTGAACAAACAAAATAAATAGAATGATCAAATGTTTTTTGGTGTAGCAGAAACCCTCTGTCAGATCTGGATTCAAATCCTACTCTGTCACTTACTAGCCGTCTGGCCTCATTTTTTTTTTTTTTTTAAACGGGAATAGTAGTTTTTTTCTGTCTCTGTGCCTGGCTTGCAGAGTTGGTGTGAGAATGGAAAGGCATACCTATATGCAAAAATCTTAAGGCAGTGTTTTGTCAAATAGTAAGGGTTCAATAGACGAAAATTGGTTTTGCTTTGTTTTGTTTTGAGACAGGGTCTCACTCTGTTGCCCACGCTGGAGTGCAGTGGCACGATCTTGGCTCACTGCAACCTCTGCCTCCTGGGCTCAAGCCATCCTCCCACCTCAGCCTCCTGAGTAGCTGGGACTACAGTTGCATGCCACCATGCCCGGCGAATTTTTGTATTTTTTGGAGATGGGATTTTGCCATGTTGCCCAGGATGGTCTCAAATTCTGAGCTCAAGTGACCCACCCACCACGGCCTCCCAAGGTGCTAGGACTATGGGCGTGAGCCACCGTGCCCAGCAAAAATCGTTATTATTAAACACCACGAAGTGGTGGCAGCCCTTGTGATTGGGGCTCCATCCTGGATGCTACTCTCTTCATTGTCTTCCACCCAAGTCCCACAAAGAATACTGGAGTTATTTCTGGGCAAGGATGAGAGTAAACACCATGAGACACTTTAAGAATATACTATTTATTTAAATTTAATTTTTAAGTTTTTGAGAGACAGAGTCTGACTCTGTTACCTAGGCTGGAGTACAGTGGTGGCACCATAGCTCACTGCAGCCTTCAACTCCCAGGCTCAAGCCATCCTCCTGCCTCAGCCCCCGAGTAGCTGGGACTGCAGATGCACCCCACAATGCCCAGCTAAAGAATAAACTCTTAAACATGTGAATTTCTTTTCCTCACAGAGTTCTCTAGCCTCAAAGATATTTGGATTTAAACTTGCAGAGGGAAGTGGCTGTCTTGATCTTTTGTTTTTTTTTGTTTCCGATTTTAGTTCTTAATTCTGTGTAAGCGGGTGTGCTGTGGATGAAGGAAGAGGTAGTGCAGGAGTGACTCAGAGGAGGAGGGGAGAAGGTACTGTTGTCCCCTAGGTGGGACAAGGAGGAAGAAATTTATGTCATGAGGACAGGACTGGTGATGTGAGCACAGGACCTGGGCAATGGCGCAAGTCCAGTGCTCAGAGGGATCCCCTACTTGGTTTGATGCATTGCTGTGGTCATCTTGCAAACCTTAATAATTTTGAATTAGGGGTCTTGAATTTTCTTCTTGCACAGGATCCTGCTAATTTTTTGTAGCCAGATCTGCACAAGCGTAAGTCTGAGAAGTGGAAGGGAACTGGCGTTGAGCTGCCTACCATGTGGGTCATCCAGGGACCATCACCTTTGCAACACATGCCCTCCCAGAGTCCTCAACACGTGTATGTCCCCTTGAATGGAGACAGAAGACTTGGATGGGTACAAGGCTCACTTTAACCAGAGGTCTTGCTATAACCAGGGCACTGCCCCATGAGCATCTGTTAAACTGTCACTTACAATACCAACTGCCCTTATCCCCAGAGTATCTTGCCCCATTATGATTTTTCTGCACATTGGAATAACATAAGTTACCTGATGTTTCTGTCTCATCATTTTATTTCCTTTTGTGGGAACTATCCATCTCTTGTTCTACATGTTTCTAGTGGGGCTACAAATCTTGGTGCACTACCCCTCGCCATAGGCACGGACACGTGACACAGGCTGGGCCAATTGCAGTGCTACATCCTCCTTTGCACCTGCCATTGATCCAGGGTAGCACTTTAAGGGCTACCAAAGTTGAGATTACCTCCATCCTCCTTTGATTGCATTGAAATGGAAATTGCAGGTCACTACAAGACAGGCGAATCAGAGCATTTTACTCTTCCTCAATCCCCAGTAGTCACAATGCAAGACTTTGCTTTCACTATTCCTGTTTTCTATGTGAATGTGGCATTTGTCAGTTGCTTTGATGGGCAATGGTCCTTGGAGCTGGTGCAGTTCACTCAGTGATGAGGTCAGACAACGATGGCTCTGCAAACATGAACAGAAAATCATTTCAAAAGTCAGAATGTTATGGCCCCTTTTATTGCCTTACACAAGGCAGAAATCAGGCCATTTGGAAGTATTCATTAATTTATTTATAAACTTCATTTATATTTTTGAGACACTGAAGGGACCTTTTACATTGATCTTTCATAGAAACATCTAAAAAGGAAGGAAGCATAATTCTCAAAGACAATTTGACAGAGGATCCTTTCAACATAGAATTAAAAAAAATTTAGCAAGAGCTTTTCATTTTTTTCTTTTTAAAAACACCTTTGTTGACATATAATTTACATACCATAAAATTCGCCCATTTTAAGTGCACAATTTAATGATCTACATTGATTCACAAAGTCATGCAACCATCACCATAGTACAGTTTTGGAACGTTTCCATCACCACCGCTATCCCCCCAATCTTTTGTGCTGTCTACATTCATTCCCCATTTCCCATTCCCAGCCCTGGGAAACCACTAGTTTATCTTGTGTCTTTATAGATTTCCCTTTTCTGGACATTTCATATAAATGGAGCCATACAATATGTGCGGGTTTTCTTAATTTTTATTTTTCGAGGCGGGGGCAGTGGTGCAGCTGGCTTCTTTCACTTAGTATGATGTGTTTCAGGTAATCTAAGTTGTAGCATGCATTAGTAGTTCCTTCCCTTTTATTGCAGAAAAGCGTTCCATTGTATGACTATACCACATTTTGTTTATCCATTAGCCTATCAATGGACTTCTGGATTGTTTCCACTTGTTGACAATTATGAATAATGCTGTTGTGAACATTGGCATGTAAATCTTTGTGCAGAGTGATGGCTCTTTAGACAATACTGAATTCTTCCTCACCTAGAGAAACAAGCTCTTCCTGGAATAGTACATAGGTAGGCCTCATTGAGCCTTATTTGAGAACAATGGATAAAGTGTTAAAACTCTTCTGCTACTCTTGAGAAGGCAAAATTGTTATGGGAGTGTCAGAAGATCTCAGGCTTTACTTAGGACATTTTCCCATGTTTCTCTTAACAAAGAGGGACAAGACCCAAGTAGGGCCAATTGGGTTTTTTCTGGATAGATATAGATGGATGTCTGCAAAAATATCTTTTCTCATTGGGATTGCTGTGCTAAGAAATTGTAGAGCTGACATCCATTAGTGCAATTTGTCCACTTTTGTGGAAGGAGACTGTCAACAGAATTCATTCATTCATTGATTCATTCATTCATCTGACAATATTATTGGGTAGCTTCTACATGTTAGGCACTGTTCTAGATATTAGTGATTCAACTGTGGAAGAAATAAAACCCCTGTGCTCAAAGAGTTTACTTCTAGTTGATGAAACATACTACAAAAAAATATAAAAAATATATTTTTATATGATATGTCACATGGTGATATGTATTATGGAGAAAAATTAGGCAAAGCAGGGGAACTGGGAGCTCCTAGGCAAGAATAAAGGTTGCTATTTTAAAGAGAAAAGTCAAAGAAGATTGGACTGAGAAGGTCAAGTATTATTTAATGCTGTTTAACAAATTACCATACATTTAGCTGCTAAAAGAACAGATATTTATTAACTTACAGTTTCTGTGGTCCAGGAGTTGGGCATAGCTTAGCTCAATCTTCTACTTTAGGATCTCTCACAAGTCTTTAATCAAGGTGCTGGCTGGGCTGTGTTCTTATCTGAAGGCTCAATGAGGGAAGGATCAGCTTCCAAGCTCACGTGGTTGTTCACAGAATTTCAGTTCCTCTAGGTCTGCTGGATTGAGGGTCTCAGTTCCTAGCTAGACACCCTCATTTCTTTGCCATGTGGGTCTCTCCAACATGCCAACTTGCTTCCCCAAAGCCAGCAAGGGAGGGAATCTGCTGCCAAGACAGAAGTTACTGCCTTACGTAGCCTAATCACAGAAGTGACATCCATCACCTGTGATAGGTCCTGCCCACACTCAATGGGAGGAGATTACACAGGGGTGTTAATACCAGGAGGAGGATCACTGTGGGCCATCTTAAAAGCTGCCTGTTATAGAGATGAAGGAGTGAGCCATGGGGGATTTCAGAGGGGTGAGTGAAACAGGCAGAAAGTTCAAGTGCAGAGGCCCTGGGCTGGGAGCTTGCCTGGTGCTCGAGGAACAGCAAGGAGGCTGGTGTGGCTGGAATGGAGTGAGGGGATGGTAGTAAAGATGAGAACAAAGAGGTAGATGATGGAGGGCCAGGTTATGTGGAATCTTTTTGACTTTACTTTAACTGAGTAAATTACTCAGTTAAAGTAAATTTACTGAAGGGCTTTGAGTAGAGGAATGACATAGTATGACTTACTGTTTCTACAGCTCATGTGGGCTGCTGGTTGAGAATAGAGTATCAGGTAGGAGTTGGTGATGGAGAAAATGGAGAGTCCAGTTAGGAAGCTACTGAAATAATCCAGGGGAAAGATAATGGGACCTCAACATCTCTCATGGGACCTCATGGGAAATGATGATAAATTGTCAGATTCTGGGTATATTTGGAATGTAAAGAGGACAAGATTTAACAGGGCTTTTCTGATTGGGTGTAGGGTACAAGAGAATCTATATCTATATTTTTATATCTATATCTCAAGGATGGCTCCAAGGGTTCTGACTTGAGTAACTTGGAGAGGGAAGACAGTGGAAGAAGCAGGTTTAGGGGATTAAGGGGCAGGTGAGAAATTTGGTCTTGGAATACAAAACTTGTTATGCTTCTTAGACAGGGGTTGGAATTTTTTTTTTCTGTAAAGGGTCAGATAGCAAATATTTTGGGCTTTGCAAGCCATACAGTCTCTGTCACAACAACTCAACCCTGCCACTGCTGCATGAAAACTCCCGTAGAAAATGTGTGTTCCCAATAAAACTGTATTTACAAAAAAAAGTGAGAAACTGTGTTTAAGCATAATTTGAAAATCCTTTCTTAAACATGCAGCTGGAGAAGAAACGGCAGTTATATATGGTGCCTTGGAGTTCAGAGAAGGCATCCGGGCTGGGAACACATTTTGGAGATTTGTGTAGATAGGCCAAAGGAAAAATGAGAAGTGGAGAGGCAGAGAACCAGCTTCATGGTTTGAGCTCCTGAGTCCAGATCTATCAGAAACTCAGGTACATCAGTAAGTCATGTAGATTCTAGCTGGGCAGCTACATGCCCAGCCATAACTCTATTTCCATAAGAGAAAGGAAGATGGACTTTGGTGGGTACCTTGCATTTTCTGCTAGATAACAGGGCTCTAGAAGGCAGGCAGTTGGTCAAGGCAGAAGGAGAGAAAGACAGAACACCTTGTTAATGTTGGTGTTGGCATGACTAATGGGTGCCCTCAATCATGACAGGCCCCAGACCATCACATGAGACCTGATCATTCAGAGGAAGGGGAACTACATGGCAGAGTGGGTACCACATGCCAGACACTATGCCAGCAGCTTCCAACTCCTTCACTTCATCTTGCATGTCATACGTCCCAGGAAAGCAGATTACATGCCCACTTACTGATGAAGAAACCGAGGCTCAGAAAACTGGTGAGCAACATAGTCCCTATTTGAACTGAGGTCTCTGTGACTCCACATTCTTTCAACTGTGTCCCACCTGCTTTGGGACAGGGTCTGTCTGCCTTCTGGTCCTTTTCATGCTCCCTATGGAAGTGGGCTGAGCCCTCATGTGTGTGCAGGGGTAAATGCATCTATTCTAGATCCTTGCTACTTAATCTGTGGTCTGTGGACTAGCAGCATCAGCATCACATAGAGCTTGTAAGCAATGCAGAAACTCCCAGCAATCCCATTACTGGGTATATACCCAAAGGAAAATAAATCATTCTACCGAAAAGGCACTCGTATCTTCATGGCAGCGCTATTTACAGTAGTTAAGACAGGGGATCAACCTAAGTGCCCATCAGTGGTGGATTGAAAAAGAAAGTGTGGGAAATATACACCACAGAATACTATGCAGCCACAAAAAGAATAAAATAACATCCTCGGCAGCAATAGGGATGCAGCTGGGGGCCATTATCCTAAGTGAATTAATGCAGAAACAGAAAACCAAACACAGAATGTTCTTACTTATAAGTGGGAGCTAAACACTGGGTACACATGGACATAAATATGGGAACAATAAGCACTGGAGACCCCAAAAGGGAGGAGAAGGAAGGGGGGCAATGGTTGAAAAACAACCTATTGGGTACTGTGTTTACTATCTGGGCAACGGGATCATTATAAGCCCAAACCTCAGCATCATACAATATACCTATGTAACAAAACTGCACAGGTACACTCAAACCTAAATTAAAAAAAAAATAGCTTTTAAAAACGCAGAATCTCAGGCCATGGCCCAGACTTATTGACTCTTTCACAAGATTCCCTGAGTGAAATGCACAGTAAATTTGAAAGCTTCATGGTTCTCACACTTCAGCCAGCATTAGAATCACCTGGAAGATTTCTTGGCCCCTAGAGGCTCTGATTCAGTCCGTATAGGAAGGACCTGGGATTCTGCATTTCTGACAAGGTCCCAGGTGATGCTGATGCTGCTGGTCCAGGGACCATGCTTTGAGAACCACTGGTCTACAGAGTACCAGGTGCCAGGGATCTGGGCTCAGCAAGCCAAAATCCCTGTCTCAAAGTTGCTCACAGCCTCATGCCCTCCTCCCTGCCTCTAAAGGAAACACCACATCAGATCCAACGCTTCTTCCCTTTTCATGAGTCCCAGGAAAGCAGATTTCACATGCCGCCTCTTGTAACCACATCAGAGCTACCAATGCTTATGCCTACCCTGAAGCTCTCTTTGGTTTCTGCAGGTAAATCCTACCTCTCTTCATCCTAGCAGCGGCAGAGAGAGGGAACAGGTGGTCACCAGCTTCCTGCTAATAACCCTTCATATGTTTGCAGCCCATTATTAAATTGCCCTCACATTTTCCTTCTTGAAGATTACATAATTAGCTACCCTTTTCTGAATCATGGGGTGGAGAGGGTTTGGCTGACTGTAGCTACCAGACTCAGACAGGAACCATCTGTAGTGGAAATTCTTGAACCAGTGTGGAGGCTGGAGGTAGGATGGCACGGGGGCTTCAGAGGGTTTCAAAGGCGAGACCATCAGACTCCTTCCCCTAAGCAAGATCCTTAGGAGTGATATCAGCAGACAGCATGCAAGATGAAGAGATGTCTGGTAGGAGGCAGGGACTGGCTGGAGGTCAAGCATCATGGGTGAGTCAAACATCTTCAGGGCTTTATGGGCACCATTAGGCCAATCCTCCCGCTCTGTGCAATCTCCCACTCTGACCTGTTTTAGCCAATGGAACATCCTTTGGGGTAGGGGGCCGCGGGTGCAGCCTGGCTGGTGGTGGGCATCGTCCTAGGTAGGAAGTGTGTGCACATCACCAAAATGATGTCCCAGCATGCTAAGGTCAAGGTCAAAGTTTAGACCACCTGCATCAGCATCTCTAGGGAAGCTCGTTAGGAAATGCAAATCCCCAAACCTCACTTCTAAATCTACTGCATCACAATCTCTGGGTGAGGAGTCTGAAAATAAGGAGTTCCAGAATATAGCACAGCTCCCTACTCTCTATGCACAGTCAAGTTTGATGAATGGCTGTCCTCCTGTCTGATGTGTTGTTCTGTCTTTTCAACCTTTCTTTCTTGTTTTTTTTTTTTTTTTTGACAGGGTCTCACTCTGTTACCCAAGCTGGAGTGCAGTGGCACAATCTTGGCTCACTGCAGCCTCAACCTCCCAGGCTCAAGTAATCCTCCCACCTCAGCCTCCCAAGTTGCTGGGAAAACAGGTGCACACCACCACACCCGGCTAATTTCGTATTTTTTGTAGAGACAGAATTTCATTATGTTGCCCAGGCTGGTCTTGAACTTCTGGGCTCAAGTGATCTATCTGCCTCCGCCTTCCAAAGTGCTGGGATTACAGGTGTGAGCCACAAAGAAAACAAGAAAATTGTTCAGAGAAAATAAAGTACCAGTATAATGGCTAGTAATAATATAACCTGTCTGTGTGATGTGTTTATATTTTCAAAATAACAAATAGTACTAGCTAGCATTTATTGAGTAAATAAATGGTAGCAGGCGCTGTGCTAAGGGATAAATCTAGATTGGCCCACTCAATCTTTACTTCCACTAAACGGTGGCTGTTATTATCCTGTTCACTGAGGAGGAAGCTGAGCCACACAGAGAAGCATGTCCAAGGTCACACAGCTAGTAAGTGGCAGGCTGACTCCGAAGTCCAGGATTTTAACTTCCATGTTATCCCTTCTTCCTCCCTAACATGATCTTCTCTTCCAACTATAAAATAAAAAAAAGAGGGGGCCAGGTATATCAGCTCATGCCTGTAATCCCAACACTTTGGGAGACCGAGGCAGGAGAATCGCTTGAGCCCAGGAGTTCGAGACCAGCCTGGGCAACATAGCAAGGCCTCATCTCTGCAAAAAAAACTGAAAATTAGCCAGGCATGGTGGCGTGTGCTTGTAGTCTGAACTACTTGAGAGACTGATATGGGAGGATCACTTGAGCCCTGGAGATCAAGGCTATAGTGAGTTGTGACTGTACCACTGCACTCCAGCCTGGGTGACAGAGTGAGACCCTGTCTTGAAAAGAAAAGAAAATGAAAAGAAATAAAAATAAACTTATGCTTTTAAGCAGAAGAAACAGAGAACTACTACTCGTGAACTACATGTCAGTGTTTCAAGTATATTTTCCTCTTTTGCTTTATCTTTCACCAGCCTGGTAGGGGAGTATACCCATTCTGCAGATGAGGAAAACTGAGGCTCACAGAGGTGAAGTGACTTACTTGAGGTCACACAGCTATCACGTAAGCAAGGCTGGACTAGAAGTTGGATTTTTTTTTTTTTTTTTTGAGACGGAGTCTTGCTCTGTCACCAGGCTAGAGTGCAGTGGAGCGATCTGGGCTCACTGCAATCTCCGCCTCCCGGGTTCAAGTGATTTCCCTGCCTCAGCCTCCTGAGTAGCTGGGACTACAGGTGTGCACCACCATACCCAGCTAATTTTCTGTATTTTGGTAGAGACGGGGTTTCACCATGTTGGCCAGGATGGTCTTGATCTCCTAACCTCGTGATCTGCCCACCTCGGCCTCCCAAAGTGCTGGGATTACAGGCATGCGCCACGGCGCCTGGCCCAAGTCAGATCTCTTGCTATCAAACCACACAGCCCGTGGGGAGGATGGAGATGAAAGGAGTCGGACTTCCATGTGGGGTTACTTGGTTATGTCTGCTCTTGGGATCATAGTTAACAAGAGGCTGCCATTCCTATTTCAGACTAAGCTATTTAATTAGCCTGGGGCCTTCTTACTTTCCTGGCATTCAAAAACACTGCCCAGGGTTACAGGTATAGCTAAAATAAGATCTGAATAGCATGTTTGGGAAGCTGTATAATTAAAACTGACTTAGGAGACAAGTGCCATCAGCCTGTATTGCAGAAATAGAAAGTCACCTAACCAGAATCTGTGTTGTTCGTATGGATGCGAGGGGCTGCTTTTGCAATTCTGGTGCTTTTTAATTATAATAGGTATTTTCAGGACCGTAGTTTGCTTTGGCACCTCTAACTACCTATCTAAGGATCCTGAAGAGAAGACCATTATTATATGCTTGTCTCTGCCATCCAGGGCTGGGTGGGTGGGTGTTCAAGGGAAGAAGGTGAAAGGCCTGGTTCCTTTTAGAAGCTGGAGATAAAAATGAGCCCCTGGATACCTTCAGGAAGTGACGGAGGCCTCATTCCCTGCTCATCAGCTCTGAATGTCATTCTGTGTTAAGAGGGGTTGAATTCCAGAACCATCTAAACTTCCCATTGCACATCTCTGCCTGAGTGTTCCAATGTGATCTCATCGTGGCCATGTTTTTTGTTTTTGTCTCCCAGCAGCTGTTCTTAGAGAACTAACTCCTCCCCTCTCTGCAGCCCTTGTGGGATCACAGCTCATGGTGCTCACACATCCCTGTCCACCTGGTCACTTGGTCCAGGCCAACTGAAGCAGAGTACAGGGTCCTCTGGACAACAATAGGCATGAGACCTAAGTAGGGCCCGAAGTTTTCCATTAGATTTGGTATAAATATCTCTTTTCTTGCCGGGCACAGTGGTTCATGCCTGTAATCCCAGTGCTTTGGGAGGTTAAGGTGGGAGGATTGCTTGAGGCCAGGAGTTTGAGACCAGCCTCAGCAACATAGCGAGACTCCATGACTACAAAATAAAAATTTTAAATTAGCCAGGTGTGGTGGCAGCACCTATAATCCCAGCTACCCAGGAGGCTGAGGCGGGAGGATTGCCTGAGCCCAGGAGTTGGAGGCGGCAGTGAGCCATGATTGCATCACTGCACTCTAGCCTGGGCAACAGAGTGAGACTCTGCCTCAAAAAAAAAAAAAAAAAAGGAGTCTCTGGGCAGATCACCTGAGGTCAGGAGTTCGAGACCAGCCTGCCCAACGTGGTGAATCCTCGTCTGTACTGAAAATACAAAAATTAGCCAGGCATGGTGGCACAAGCCTGTAATCCCAGCTACTTGGGGGGTGAAGGCAGGAGAATTGCTTGAATCTGGGAGGTGGAGGTTGCAGTGAGCTGAGGTCATGCCACTGCACTCCAGCCTGGGCAACAGAGCAAGACTCTATCTCAAAAAAAAAAAAAAGTCTTTTCTTTTTGGAGCATAAACTGTAAGAATATAAACTTAAGATCACTAGTGGCCATTTCCTGCCATGTAAAGCAAACCTACTCTAGGAAGAAAATATAAAAACCCTGATTTTCAGAGAGATGCTGTAAAGAGGTGGGATATATATATAGAGAGTGAGCTCTTATGACTTCAGTTGCATCCCTATTTCCAGCCATGCCCACAGGATTTGCTCTTGGACTTTCCAGTTAATGAGCCCATAAATACTTTTCTGCCCAAGTTGGATTGAATTGGACTTCTTCCAGGAACCCTAGATAATACATATCTGAGACTCATATCCAGACACAAACTCCTCCTCCTCCTGCAGCACACCTGCATCTCTCTAGCCTTCCTTGCCTTCCATGACCTCATCACCTCTCACTCTGGTACTGCCATTGGCTCACTGCCATTATCTTGGTTCAGACTCGCATTACTTCTCACCTAGATTGTTGCAACCATCTCCTCACTGGCCTCCCTGCCTCCAGGCTTGTCTGCTCCATGTCCAAAGACAGCCAGGTGGACAGACAGACAGACATGCACACAGCCCTGCCAAAATCTTTCTGATCACAATCCTCTCTGCTTTTCCATGGGGTAACTTAGGAGGCCGCCTGACATGTGGCATCTGCTACCTGTGGAGCCACACCTGGCACCCACCTCTCCCTAGTTCCCATTCTCACCTCTAAGCTAATGCAGAAGCTACCTTCAGGGCTTTCTTACTACTTTCTGTGTCATGAAACCCTGGGCAGTCCATCAAAGCCTATAGAGCCCTCTTGGAATAATGTTTTTAGAATCGTAGAATAGAATACATAGATTGATAATGAAATTATAATGAACACTGATATACAGTTATCAAAATATTTAAACAAATTTAAATATGGTCATGTCTTTGCTTCTTTGTTAACACATTAAATAGACAATTTAGAGGTGGGCCTAATAACTATTTGTAATTTTCAAGCAGTAAAGAACATAAATGAAATTTCAAGTCATTTGCAACAACTGCAAGTGTAATGAGATAGACTACACATGATCTTTGTTGGTGACAAAGTCCTGAGTAAGTGCTAAGCTTGTTTTGGTTGGTTGCCTGCAGTCATAATGGAAGGAAACACTAAATTTCAGAAGGAGGTTGGTGACAATGGTGATGCAACTTTTTTTCTTTCTAAGTTCATGGACCTTCCAAATAAGCCCCACTCCCCATCTTTGGTTCTTTGGGACTCAGCTTAATGTCAGCCCCTCTGGGAAACCTTCTGTGATCCTTCATCACACGAGGTTGGGGCCCCTCACCTGTAACCCCACAGTCCCCTGAGCCTCCCTTTATCACACCACAGGTCACATATAATTCCATGCATTTGTCTACCTCCCTGATTGGGGCCTTCTTCATTGAGATCTGTAAAGGTGCCAGCTTTGCAGGCACAGCCTTGATCTGAGTCCAAGTTACATTGAAAAGCTGGACTTCATGTCCCCGTGAAAGGCAGGAGAGGCTTGCAAAGCAGTGGGATCCTGGAACTCATTGACACTCCCCTGATGAAGGACTTAAACTGATTTCTCGTCCATTCTTTCATCTGACGATGGTGCAGCCATGATGAGTTGAGACTTTATTGCTAACCAGACCTGCATTTTTGTCCTGTCCCTGTCTCTTGTCACCTGTTTACCTTGGGCAACTCACTTTGCTTCTCGTCTCAGGATTTCAGTTTCCTCACCCGTAAACTGGGGACCATGACAGTACCCACCTTGTAAGGCTCCAGTAGGGATGAAACAAAAACAAATGTGAAGGGCTTAACACTCAATCATAATAACCAGTTGTCTGAGAGTTGAAAGTGTCCATGTTAGCTGTTGTTGCAACCCATTTGCTCATTCAACAAGCATTTATCAAACACCTATTTTGCCAGGTGCTTTGCATACATTTAAAGCATTTCATAATACCAGAGGCAGGTTCTATTATCCGCATTTTAAATAACCTCTTCTTTTGCTCGAGAGGTGCTTAGTATTCTTGGACAGTTTCAGGTCATAAGGGATTAAGGTACCAAAAAATTCTGGGGACGGGGTCATCCCCCTCCTCCAAGATCAGGCATTATTAGGCAACATGGTGCAGGGGCTAGGGAAAGGATTCAGGTTTAGGTTTGAATCCCAGCTCCTGGAAGCCACACACACCCTGCAGGGCAGACACATTTGACGGCAATAATTGAACTTAGCTTACCCTGCGAACGACCCTATGGTCTAAGAAGAATGTGTATTCACAGTTCAGAGCTAAGGAATCCGGGAGTGGCCAACCTGGAGATTCACTCCTTATCTATGAAGGATGTCTGGGTCCCCTGCCTATCCCTTGGAATGCAGGCTGTACAGGCAATTGAGGCCCTTGGTTTTGGGTTAAAGAGCCAAAACCCTTGGTTAAAGGGCCAAAAGGAAGTTGCTTAGATAGAAGGTGCTAAGCGAAAATGCTATATAAACTGCATGCTTTTTATATAAACATGTTTTTTATATAAACAATCGAGGCCCTTTGTTTTGGGTTAAAGGGCCAAAAGGAAGTTGCTAGGTGGAGGGTGCTAAGTGAAAATGCTACATAAACTGCATGCTTTTATATAAACAGTAGAGGTTCTCCTGTCCAGCCAGCTGCCACTGGATTGTCCCTGTATGTAAGTTCCCTCAATAAACCCTGTGTCTCGTTCACTGTCTCTAGGTCTCTTTTTTGGCCTCCTGGACATGGTACTATTCCTAAAGGAGTTAACAGTGGCCTGGCATGACACGCCTTGGGCAAATGACTTCATCTCTTTTTTTTTTTTTCGAGATGGGGTCTTACTCTGTCATGTAGGCTAGAGTGCAGTGGTGTGATCTCAGCTCACTATAGCCTCAATCTCCTGGGCTCAAGCGATTCTCCAGCCTCAGTCTCCCAAGTAGCTGGGACTACAGGTGTGAGCCACCAATGCCGGGCTAATTTTTGTATTTTGTAAAGAAACTTTTTGTAGGCTGGTCTTGAACTCCTGGCCTCAAGTGATCCACCCACTTTGGCCTCCCAAAGTGCTGGGATTACAGGCATGAGCCACCATGCCTGGCCAACTTCACCTCTTAATGCCTCTTTTTTTCTCACCTAAAGAGTGGGATAGTACTTGTGCCTACCTCATGGTAATCAGAGAATTAAAAGATCAAAATTTGTGTAAAGGGCTGAAAACAGTGCCTGGTACACAGACCTCAAAAAGGGTTAACTTTTTTTTTTTGAGATGGTATCTCATTCTGTCACCCAGGCTGGAGTGCAGTGGCACGATCTCAGCTCACTGCAACCTCCGCCTCCCAGGTTCAAGTGATTCTCCTAGCCTCAGCCTCCTGAGTAGTTGGGATTACAGGCACCTGCCACCATGCCCGGCTATTTTTTGTATTTTTAGTAGAGACGGAGTTTCGCCATGTTGGCCAGGCTGATCTCGAACTCCTGACCTCAGGTGAAAAAGGGTTAACTATTTTTACTTATGGGAACACCTAGCAAATTCCTCGAACTCCCTCAAGTGCCCCCAAGGAGCACCCGTTCCAATAGGCATCCTCCTCTGTGAGGCTCACTCCCCACCTGGCATGCCTTGCCATCAGTGCTGGAGAAAGATTGTGGATAAATACCACAAAGTGGTTAGGAGTGGCCACTTTGGGTTCACTGCTGGACTTGTGGGTTCAAATGTCAGTGCCCTGGGCTACCAGCTGTCAGGCCTTCATAGAGGCTTTACCTGTCTGGGCTGCAGTCCCTCATAAATTGGAGATAATCATAGCACCTCCCTCAGGAAGCAGAGTGAATAAGGCAACAAAAACAATTACTGAGTGCCTACTCTGGCTGGACAGGTGCTACCTAATAGGAGTGATCAAGGTACTGCAGGTTGAAATGAAATAACGCTTGTGAAGTGTTGAGGCGTGTATGCCTGCAGAATCATAAGCACTCAATATGCGTTACGTGCTATATGCTACAAACTAAATATATCATACTAAAAAATGTATAGGTCTGCTAGATTTTTAGACAAAAAATATATGCATCTGAATATCCATCTTTTGTTACTCCCATATTCATTTTCTCATTTATTCCCACAAATCAGCCCTGGAGGATAGGCAGGGTGGAGATTTTCTCCTGTTTTTACTGAGGAAAAAGAGGCACTGGGAGGTTAAAATTAAAATGCTGATAAGCTGGTGTCCGGCAACAGGAGATGACTGGGCATATTAAAAAGAAAACCGGCCCGGCGCAGTGGCTCACGCCCCTAATCCCAGCACTTTGGGAGGCCGAGGCAGGCAGATCACTTGAGGCCAGGAGTTCGAGACCAGCCTGGCCCACATGGTGAAACCCTTTCTCTACCAAAAATACAAAAATTAGTGGGCGTGGTGGCATGTGCCTGTAGTCCCAGCTACTCGGGAGGCTGAGACACGAGAATCCCTTGAACCTGGGAGGCGGAGGTTTCAGTGAGCCAAGATTACCCCAGTGCACTCCAGCCTGGGTGACAGAGTGACACCCTGTGTCAAAAATAAAATAAAATAAAATAAAATAAAATAAAATAAAATAAAATAAAATAAAATAAAATAAAATAAGAAATCCAGCGGAGGGCAATGTTCCACCTCGAATCTCTGAGTGGAGAGCCAGAGGCCTTGGGCTGGGAGGTTTGATGGAGGCCTCTGGGTCCAGGGCGCCCCAGCCACGAGGACAGGCAGGAGGGCGGCGGTGGACACGCCCCGGGGCGCACGCTCGCTGGCGGCCGCCTGCCCGTGGGCAGAGGAGCGCACGAGGCCGGGCACGACGCTGGGTGGCGCTGCCGGGCCGCCCCGCGCTAGACCTGTTGCGTCCAGGGCGCAACTCCGGCAGGTTTAGGGTAAAGGGGCGCTCCGCTCTCTCCGCGCGCCCCCTGCAGCCCTGGACGCAGCACCTCCGTTTGGGACGCCCTACGCCCACCTTAACTTGAGGCTCCCATCCACGCAGCCTCTGCAAGCCTCACCGCAACCGTGCTAGGCGCGTCGGGTGGGGCGGGAATAAAGTTTTTCCAACCCAGTTTGGGGAGAGGGCTGGATGGGAAGGACCCTCCCTGCTGCAGACTTCATGGCAGGCTGCACTGTGTCCCCTCGGCTCCACGGCTGCCCCGGGGGCGCTGCTTTCGGTAGGTGCCAGCCCCCGTGCCAGCAGGATGGGCTGACCTGTGTACCGCCCCCTCCCACCCCCTTCCCCATTCCCATCCCCTCCCCCGCCTCCTGCGCGCTCCGGCCCCGGCGTCTCCGGCCCCGCCTGCGCTGGGGTCGCTGCAGTCCCCGCAGCTGCCCCGGGCTGCTTGCCCAGGCGCCCCGGCCTTATTCCAGCCTGGGGAGCGCCTCGGTGGGGAGCACGGGACAGCGAGGGAGGCCGAGGCGGGGGCCCTGGGCGCCCGATATCTCCGAACCGGGGAGGCGGCCCCGATTCCGAGAGCCGGAACGCAGGGAAAGGCAAGGACGGGGCGGCCGGCGGAGGGGCGGGCGCCGCTCATCAGCCACGCCAGTCACGTCTGGGGCCACCGGCTGCCTTTTTCTTCCTTTCCCCCTTTGCTTTCTTCCCCCTCCGCTGTTGGCGAGGGCAAAGTGGCCGTGGCGGCGCCATGCCCGGGCCGGAGTGAGTGCGCGCGGGCGAAAATGGCGTACATCCAGGTAGGGCTGAGGCTGGGGGCAAGGTCCGGGGTGCGGGTAGGGGGTGCCGCGCCCCCTCCGGCTGGGAGCGCGCGGAAGGGAGGGCCCACGGCTAGGCTCCCACAAACTTGCTTCGAGAAAAAGGGTGCCCGTGCGCGGGCAACCTGTGCAGCAACAGGGGTGCGCCCCGGGAGGAGAGACTGGGGACCCCCAAACCCCGGGATGGAGGGTCCTATGTGTACTCTGCAACGCGCGCCCTTGCCTCTTGGGGAGGGAATGGGGGGTGGGGCGGACTTTTCTTCTCCCCTGCCCCCTCCCTCTCCTTGGCACCCCACCCCAGGGGAGGGGCCGTGGGGAGGGCGGCCCGGGGCGCGCCAGCCACCCGGCCCGCCAGCTGCCGTTGCCGTGGTGACGGCTCCGGCTAATTGGCCGGCGGAGCGAGCCTGAGGCAGCTGTTCCGACCAGGAGGGACAAGGACGTCGTCTCTCCTGGGCACTGGGTGCTGAGGGGTGGGGGACACCCAGAGGCCAGAGGCGCGCTGGTGAAGAGAAGGGAGCCTGTTACTTTACTCCGCTGCATTGGGGTCTGGGAGATGTGGACCCTCTTCACCTTGAAGAAACGTCCCCCAAGAATCCTTGGGCTGAAATAATTCTGAAATAATTTCTAAGCAGCCTTTTTTGGGGGGAGGGGGCGGAGGGGTGGGCCGGGCTTCTTGGTGAAAAGACCTTTCTCCTCTGCAAGAAGGGAAGTGACCGCAGGTCAGCGCCAAGGTCAAGCAGGCAGACCCGCAGTGAGACCCGTTGAGCTGCTTGCTTCTGGCGCTGGCGCCTCTGAGCTGGGCAGAGAAGCTTACAGACTCCCACGTCCAGGGTGCATCTTGGCTCACATCTTGTCCCCTCAGCCACAGCTGGGGGTGCTGCTGGTCCTCCCATTCCCCTCTGGGTCACATATCCCCTCATCGTGTCCTCAGACGCTTCAGCCTGCCGGGAACTCTGTGCTGTGTCACCTGGCGGAGCCTCTTCCATTCATCTCCTGCCTTAGATTCCCTGAATTGGCTTCCCTTTCGTGGAATCGCCAGTTTCTCTTCAAGTTCAATGAAGGTCACATTACTGTCCACCCACTGTGTGCTGAATGTTGTCCAGGGGCTATTGAGTAGTCGCCCAACAAACACTTGGGCGACCGCCTACTAAGTGCTGGCACTGGGGATACAGTGATGAAAACAGCACAGTTCCTGCCCCTCTGGGTGCGCAATTTAGTGAGAAATGAACATGATTACCGGCTCCTGGAGTTCTTAATGGCCGCCTTCAGCACAGAGAAATTAAGTGACTTGCCCAAGGCCACATAGCTGCTTAGGGGTCAAGGTGGGATCTCAAGAGGGGACTGTGGTAGATATGTTAAGCATCTCATATGGCGATGACCCAGTGATGTTGGTTTTCCTTCTAGAACAAGGTGTTAAACTTTGTTGTCCTGTAAAGTGCCAGATACTATTTTTTTTCTCTTGGAGGCTCACATGGTCTCTGTCACAACTATTCCACTCTGACTATAGCACCAAAACTGCTATGGACAGTAGTAAATGAGTGGGCGTGGCTGTGTTCCAATAAAACTTTATTTGCAGGCACCAAAATTTGAATTTTGTATACTTTGCACGAGTCAAGAGGCATTCATCTTTTTTTTTTTTCAACCTTTTAAAAACTCACAAATTATTCTTAGCTCAAGGGCTGTAGCAAAACAGGCTGCGGGGCTGGTTTTGATCTGCGAGCCTTAGTTTGCCAACCTCTGTTTAGAATGCATGGGTTGTCTTTCTTCCTCTTTCTTTCTGGTGTGAATTGGTTCTCTTCCATCGGTGTCAAACACGTGAGCCCAGGAGACCCAATGCCAGAAAGACTCAGCATGCCTGGGAATGTCAGGGCACCCTCTTTCATCTTCTTTGCTTTCTCTCTGCTCCTTGACACTCATCTTGCACCTGGGCTTTGAGAAAGTTGGGGAGGCTGTTTTTCAGCAGGGCCATGAGGTGACCTTGTCTCTGTTCACTTTGGTTTCATAAATGGCCTCTTTTGACCACCACATGTCTAGGAAATGCTTCCCTGTATTCAGAAAATGGTCATAGATTATTATGAAAAAGTATCACTTTATCCTAACATTCTAAAGCACTTTTTCATGCAAGCCCTATGAGGGTATAATATTTTGCTGTTTTGTGCCCTGCTGTACCTGCCGGGACAATACCCAGTGCCTACTGGGTTCCACTAGGTCTTGACAATCACCTAATTCTCATCACAGAAAGGGTGCATTTTATTTTTCAGCTGGACCGCACGCAAGTATTTGCATAGTCAGTGTCCTGTCCCACCTCAACAGCACGCCTTTGAGGTATAGAGTAGCCTTTCCACTAAAGAAGAGGTAACCGAGGCTCAGAGAGGCCCCCTGTCTTGCCCAAGTCACATGATCAGTCGATGGTGAGACTAGGACTCTAGTACTTCCTGGCTCAGCTTGTTGCGTGGCCCCTCAGCACCTTTGGGTCTTGTTCTGTGTATGGTTTGAGTTTTGGCTTTAGAGAGTTTGTGATAAGTGCCTTTGACTATTTCCCAAGCTGTTGCTATTCCCTTACCACTTCGAGGATTTCAATTTTTTCACAAGCCACGTACCACCTATACTATGATGATGATGATGATGATGATGATGATGATGATGATTATGATTATTATTTTAGACAGGGTCTCACTCTGTCGCCCAGGCTGGAGTGCAGTGGTGCGATCTCGGCTCACTGCAACCTCTGCTTCCCAGGTTCAAGTGATTCTCCTGCCTCAGCCTCCCCAGCAGCTGGGATTACAGGCGCCTGCCACCACGCCTGGCTAATTTTTTGTATTTTTAGAAAAGAGGGGGTTTCACCATGTTGGCCAGGCTGGTCTCAAACTCCTGACCTCAGGTGATCCACCCGCCTTGGCCTCCCAAAGTACTGTGATTATAGGCATCAGCCACCACGCCCAGCCCTACCTATGCTATTATTAACTTAATTTTTTTTCTATAAATGGGCTCATTTTTATTTTTACTTTAAAAAAATCATATGAAAAGGAAACATTATGTCACTAATATCATAGGAAACCAAGATCATGTGACATCGCAGAAGGCAACTAGAAGAATAAACCCAATGGGAATAATGCCACATTACTGAATTCTAGGTGGACGTGGCTGTCTCCAAGCCTCTGGACAAGATCTACTTTCTTTGTTTAAAAGAAAGGGGATGGGGGAGGGTGGAAATTGGTAAGTGGTAAAAGATGTTAACATGTAGTGGTACCAAATTGAGACTTTCTCCTCCTTAAAGGAGAATCGGAAAAAAGATAATAACTTTCTCCCTCTTGATTCAAAGTTCTGAGTTTGAGTCCCACCTCAGTTCACCTCTGGGACATGCCCGAGGTTGGGATGCAGTACTTCTAACCTATCTAGCCTACTTGGCCCATTTGGAAAACCACCTTAAAGAGAAGGAGGGAGTCTGTGCCTTGAGAACCCAGGAGACGAAGATGGGGAGGCGGGGTGGGGCCACAACAGGAAGGGAGGACCTCCTTCCTCAAGAGGACCAGATTAGGGCTTCCTTTTTAGTTCCCTCTATTTGTGGGTGGTGATAGGAAACACCCCACCATCACCATTGGAGCAGAATTGGAAGGTAGGGCCTCCGGGAGGGCGGGGGAGCCAAGTAACATCCACTGTGTGCCTGCCTGCATGTTAGCTAATCATGTCCTTTTGGGTTGGCTACATGGCTATTTCTGTATAGGAAGGTTTGCTCTTCTCCTGAAGTGTGGCTGCATTGGATAGCATGACTATCTATCCGCCCGCTCTGATTCATAACAGCATACGGTGCAAATCAAATCGAAATGCTAAAGTTTCCCATTTATTTGGTGTTGGTTAACCAGGAGGCTACCAGCAGCCCTGAAAATAGCAACACCTTGTTAGGATGTTAGGAAGTCAGCTCCCTTCCCAGGATGGTAAGTGGAAATATGCAGGGCTTTTTTTTTTTTTTGTAAAATTTTTTTGAGTTGCTGGAATATTGCTAAACTGGTCTTGTCTCTCTTTCTTTAACCCCTTCGTTCCCTTACGCCCTTGGCTTCATCGTGGATCTTAAAAGGGCAGTTGGAACCATTAAACGAGGTGGGTTCATTTGATGATTTGTTTGGTCTGGTTTCTAATCAAGAAATGCCTGACTTTCATTTTGGAGTCTTATGTGGGGCTGTGGGGATATTGAATATTCAACAATAACCTGGTGTTAATAACGGCACAGTTTCCATTCCTTTCTACCGAAAGGAGATCCCGGTTTTGAAAAGACACCAGTTGACAAGACAAGTTTCCCTCTCCACCCCTACTTATTCCGTTTGATTATCTCTGTCTGTTTCATGTCACCGAGATTTTTTAAAAATATTTTTTCCCCTGCTTTCAAGAAGACACAGTAATATTCATTGTGTTTCGAACATATCGTATAGCCCTTATGATGTTGTATAAACCACCCACATGTCAAGAAAGACGTTCACATAAACTACAAAAGAAAATACCTGCAAATGTTTTGCTTGCTACTAACGGCTCCAGCGAGTTGATGTTTGCTATCTTTGTGCCTGCAGTTGGTAAATAGAAATGGAAAACATTTTGTTCTAAGTGCTGAGCAGCAGAGCCAGAACTCCTGAATGTCTATTTCTCATCCGAGATCGGCTGCTTGTAATTTTGGGTGTTGTTTCTCCTCTTCCTCTTCCCCACCCTGCCCACCTCCCCTCTCCCCCATCCCCCCGCCCACCTCCCCCAATGGCCTCAGGGTTTTCTTTCTAGAATCTCTGGTCTGCTGCTGTGCAGATGGACCTGCCGGCACTGCTGTCAGAAGTGCTACGAGTCCAGCTGTTGCCAGTCAAGTGAGGATGAAGTTGAAATTCTGGGACCTTTCCCTGCTCAGACCCCTCCCTGGCTGTAAGTAAAACTGCTCTGAACTTCTCTGAAATCAATTTCAAGACTTTTCCTTTTTAATGAGAAGGCGGGTTGGGGGTCTGGGCCACGGGAGGGAGGATTTGGGGGCATGAAAGAGAAGCAGGCTGAGTTTCCAGGGACAACTTTGCTGCAGACTGGGGATATGTTCTGTACCCCTCATTTTGTTCGGCAAGCTGGCGAGACCAGCTGGTGGTGTGGTTTTAGTTCACCTAGTGGCACATCGGGCCTTCTGAGATACGAACCGTGTAATGCTAAGCGTGTGGGCGTTTTTAGTCACGTGGAGCGTGGTTCCGAGCAGAAAAGGAGATCTGTGAGCCGAGCCTCTATATTCTTCAGGGGCTGACCGCATTCTGAGGGTTTCCATCCAAGTCAGCGTGACAAGATTCCCTAGCACTTAGCCCAGGGCCTGCACATAGTAAAAGCTCGATAAATATCCATTGCATGGATGGGTAGACGGAATGAACAAACAAGTGCCTTTTTGCTGCTCCGAACAAGAACTTCAGAAACAGGGAAGCAGAAAAGCACCTCCAGGCTCCATCCTGTCCTCCAACGCTGTTTATGTTCTCTCTGGCATCTTTCGTTTTATTTCTAATTTGCTCTCCTCCCGCGCCTGCATACAACATCTCCATCTGCCAGTCGCTCAGATATTTTGGGAACGCAGTTTTGAAGCTTCTCAGCCACGTGCCTGGTCCACCTCTCCGTGACTGAGAGAGGGACGTGGTCAGAGAGCCTGGGTACAGTCAAGAAGGTCGGGGCTGGGAAGGATCAAGAAGTCATCAAGTGAGCTTGTCATGCTTCGGAGGGGCAGGCCCAGAGAGGGAGACAGACAGCGGCCAGGACCCACAGCTGGAGCCTGGCAGAGTGGAAGGAGGCAGCGCTGTTTCAGCTCAGTCCTTGGCCTGAGATTCCAAAAGTCTCTGGTGTCCCATCTTTCCCTCCAAGCTGGGGGCTCATGCCTCAGGCCTCTCATTTTCTCTTCTTAGAAGCAAGTATCAAATATTTCCATAGCAAAATGGTTCTGTATCCAGGCTCTGTGGTCTCAACTACTATTTCGAGTTCTGTGACCTTGGGCAAGTGGTTTGATCTCTGTGTGCCTTGATTTCCCATCTGTGAAATGGGATGATAAAAAGAATAGTATTTCTCTCAGAGTTGTCGAAGGGAGTCAATGAATTTGGAATGTGGAAAAGTAGTTAGGAATGCTTGATACTTTGTTGGTGATCATACATGTAAGTAACTCTGGCTGGGCGCAGTGGCTCATGCCTGTAATCCCAGCATTTTGGGAGGCTGAGGGCAGGCGGATCACTTGAGCTCAGGATTTCGAGACCAGCCTGGGCCACATAGTGAGACCCCCCCCATGCCCCATCTCGACAAAACATCAAAAAATTAGCCGGATGTGGTGATGTGTGCCTGTGGCCCCAGCTACTCTGGAGGCTGAGGTGGGAGGATCGCTTGAGCCTAGGAGGTTGAGGCTACAGTGAGCTGTGATTGCGCCACTGCACTCCAGCCTGGGAAAGAATGAGACCCTGTCTCAAAAATAAATACATAAATAAATAAATGAGATATGCATATAATATGCTTAGCACAGAGCAAAAGTTTTATAAGCATTTATTTCTGTCAGTATTAGGTTTCAATAGAGATTAATTAAACTGATACAAACACAATGTTAAAGAACTCTTCCATTATTCATTATTCATAAGTTGTGGCCTGAATCCTACAGGTGTGTGTAGAGTTGAGATTTTTGGTGAAAGCAACTCATTAATCAAGAGATAATTCACAGCCGGGTGCCGTGGCTCTCATCTGTAATCCCAGTGCTTTGGGAGACTGAGGTGGGAGGACTGCTTGAGGTCAGGAGTTTAAGACCAGCCTGGGCAACACGATGAGACCCCTATCTCTACAAAAATTTAAAAAATTAGCTGGGCACGTTGGTGCCTAGAGTTCCAGTTCTTCGGGAGGCTGAGTTGGAAGGATCGTTTGAGCCTGGAAAGTCAGGGCTGCAGTGAGCTATAATCACGCCACTGCAGTCCAGCTTGCGCAACAGAGCAAGACTTCAAAAAAAAAAAAAAAAAAAAAAGGATTCTACTGGTCTATGTAGCAGAAGTTAGTTCAGTCCATCTGATGTCCTTAAAGCTATGCTCACAAGAATGCTATCTCCATGTGGGCAGGGAGTTTTGCCTGCCTTGTTCACTCAGAAAAAGTTGTTGACTGACAGACTATCCTGCAGGCAGAACTTGCATCCTGAAAGTGCCAATCATCAGTTGAAAAGTTAATCTCAGTTCCTTTTGTAGTTATTTCTTAAGTACAGTGTGCCAGGCGCTGTGGTATACACAGGGCTAGATAGGGTCCTGTGACCATGCTCAGGGAATTTTCAGTCTCACGTAGGAGGTAAGGCAGGTATGTAAGTCAGGTTGCCCCCTAGAGTTGTGCATTTACACCCTGCATTCCATATATGACAGTCCTGCATAAGACCTTGTTATGAAAGAATCAGGAATGATGGCTTCAGGCATAGCTGGATCCAGGAGCAGAAATCATGTCATCAGAGCCTTTCTCTCTCTCTCTTTCTTTCTCTGTTTCTTCTGTATTGGCCTCATTGTTAAGCTTGTTTTCTCCATGTGGCAGCACTAGACTTGCATTCTGTTGCGGTTGCATAAAAAACGAACAAACAAACAAAACAAAACCAGGAAAGACTCTTATTAGCCTGGCTCGGGTTATGTACCAATCACTTTCACTTGGAGGAAATGGTGCTAGAATCATGCCAGTTACCTGCCCACCCAGGAAACCAGGGAGATGGTCATTTCCACCAGAAACACAGGAACTGAACTATTAGACCAGGGGTTGGCAAACTTTTAAAGGACCAAATAATAAATATATTAGCCTCATGGGCCATATGGTCTCTGTTGCAGCTACTTATTTCTACCATTGTTATGCAGAAGCAGCTGTAGACAGTAAATGAACGGGCACGTCTGTGTTTCATTAACACTTCATTTACAAAATCAGGCAGTGAATTTGGCTTTGTAGTTTGCAGACCCCTGTAATAGACAATTGGGGTATTGTGACTAGAGGGGAGGAAATTGACTAGAGAGGTGGGCAGACATCACCCCTTGTAGAGATAGGCGTCTCATTGTGTTGCCCAGGCTGGTCTTAAACTCCTGACCTCAAGCAGTCCTCCCACCTCAGCCTCCCAAAGCACTGGGATTACAGGTGAGAGCCGCGGCAACCGGCTGTGAATTATCGCTTGATTAATGAGTTGCTTTCACCAAAAATCTCAACTCCACACACACCTGTAGGATTCAGGCCACAACTACATCTAGGAAGAGCTGGGGGAGCCTGCAAGCTTAGGCTGAGTTGGGTCTTGAATGCCAGAGTAAGGAATCTGGATTTTCTTCGATACCAGCGGAGACCCCTCACAGGTGTTGAGTATCACAGCCAGGTACCTGTTTGCCCCCTAGATATCCAAATGTTGAGTGTTACAGATGCACAGCCTAGGTTCTCATGTTGAGCTGGAGGACAGTTGCGTTTTGCCTTGACTGCTGCTAACCCTTTGTGTAAGCAGGGGCAAGGGGGCTGGGACCCTCTGGGAAGATACTTCTTTTGGTTTTGCCACTAGTAGAGAAGTGGACTGGAACTTTCCCAGCAGGGCCAATACACCACAAAATTCCAGGTGGCGCCATTCACATGGTGGCCATTATGAATGGCACCACCTAGGGTTGTGCAGTCTACAGACTGAACAGCTGTGCGTGACCTTTGTGCTTCCCAGGATGAATGAGGTCTCTTCTGAACACTGGGCAGTGCTTAATACAGTTTTGACACTCAGCATAATGCAAAACGGTAAGAGAAATCTGTAAAGGGAAGATGGCTAAATCATTCAGAAAGTAAATTTACAGCTTTGTGTTTTCCCCAGATTTATTTACCAAGTGGGCAGCTGCATGTTATCAAACAGACAGGAAGTAGAAATGTCAAGTGTATGGGCTTTGCAGTGCTGTTCCTACTGCGACATTTGAGCCAAGAACCATGGGACTTGCCTCTGTGGACTGGCATGTGGCAGATGAGCTGGCCCTTTGTGTGTGCTCTGCGTGTGATCTTGGGGATACATTAATTGTCACATATGCTCATGTCCTGTGGGCCCCCAACTTTTCTTGGCTGGGCTGGGCTGGTGAAGATTAGGAAAACTGCACAATCTGACTGGTGCTTTTTGAAGCAATGCCAGAAAGACCCTCATTGAAGAGTGAATTAAAGTCAAGTTGGTTGATTGTTTGTCGAACAAGCACATATTGAATGCCTACAATGTGCAGAGCTCTTACAGCCCTCTCAGAGATGCCCCACTTGGCGATTGGGAGTGTGTGCCATTTAGAGTTTAGCATTACTGGCTTAGCTGGGGTTCTGCCTTTTAACAGTGGTGCAAATTAGTTATTCATCCTTCTCCCAACCTGTATTAGTTTGTTTTCTGTTGTGATAAAGGGATACCCAAGACTGGGTAAGGTTCAAGTGATTCTCCTTTTTTTTTTTTTGAGACGGAGTCTAGCTCTGTCGCCCAGGCTGGAGTGCAGTGGTGCAATCTCGCTCACTGCAAGCTCTGCCTCCCGGGTTCATGCCATTCTCTTGCCTCAGCCTCCCGAGTAGCTGGGACTACAGGCGTCCGCCACCACGCCCGGCTAATTTTTTGTATTTTTTTTAGTAGAGATGGGGTTTCACCGTGTTAGCTAGGATGGTCTCGATGTCCTGACCTCGTGATCCACCCGCCTCAGCCTCCCAAAATGCTGGGATTACAGACGTGAGCCACCGTGCCCGCCCAGTTTCAAGTGATTCTCATGCCTCAGCCTCCCAAGTAGCTGGGACTGCAAGTGCATGCCACCACGTCAGGTTAATTTTTGTACTTTTAATAGAGATGGGGTTTCGCCATGTCGGCCGGGTTGGTCTCGAACCCCTGACCTCAAGTGATCCACCCACCTCAGCCTCCCAAAGTCCTGGGATTACAGGCATGAGCCACCATGCCTAGCTCCTGATAACACTTTTGAAGAACATCAGATCAGTCTCATCTCATGCACAGGATGCGTCTGAAGACCTCACAGCATTCAAAACTTGCATTTTTCAAGACGAGTTTTCCCATAGGCTTTAATGTCAAGTTGGGGGGTATGCAGCCTCGGAAGGCATAAATCTACAGCCATTATGGCTTAGGGGCATGTTATTAGCAGCATCAGTCTCAAAACGACGTCACCAGCTGTTTTTCTACCTCCTTTCCCATCCCTCCAGCATCCTTACCTAGCTTTATGAGTATTGGGGGGGATCTTAAAGCCACCCCAGTTGTAATAATATCAACTAAGCTGGGCATGGAGGCATGCATCTATAGTCCCAGCTACTCAAGAGGCTGAGGGCGGGAGGATCACTTTGAGCCCAGGAGTTCGAGTCCAGCCTGGGCAACATAGTGAGACCCTGTTTCTTAAAAAAAAAAACAATGAATTGATCGATCAATCAATAAAAAATGTTTCAAGATGTATTGAGCAGCTGTTTACTACGCAACCAAGCACTGTTCTAAGCATTTTATTTATTTTTGAGACAGGGTCTCTTGCTGTGTCACCCAGGCTGGAGTACAGTGGCACAATCATAGCCCACTGCAGCCTCAAACTCCTGGGCTCAAGCAGTCCTCCCGCCTTAGCCTCCCAAGTAACTATGACTACAAACACAGACCACCATGCCCAGCTAATTTAAAAAATTTTTTTGTAGAAACAGAGTTCTGCCATGTTGCCCAGGCTGATCTCAAACTTTCGAGCTCAAGTGATCCTCCTGCCTTAGCTTCCCAAAGTTTACATTCTTCACAAAGTTTACAGCTGTGGGCCACCATGCCCAGCCAACTTTCAGTAGAGATGGGTCCTGCTGTGTTGCCCAGGCTGGTCTCAAACTCCTGGCCTCAAGGGATCCTCCTGCCTTGGCCTCCCAAAATGCTGGGATTATATGTGTGAGCCACCATGCTCGGCCTCTACGCATTTTATATGTGTTAACTCATTCAGTGTTTACAACCACCGTATAATGTGGGTACTGTCAATATTTCCACTTTACAGATGGGGAAATGGAGGTACGGGAGGGGAAAGGGACTTGCCCCAGCACCCAGCCAGGGTTCAGCCCCAGCGGTTCTCTCAATGACTACCCTGTATCGTCTTCCTTCTCCATCCACCCCTACATCCTCCTTCCCAATTTCTCAGCAGTTCTTTATTGGGAGCACATTGAGTCACGGCTGCTGCTAATTTATAGCTATTTCTTTACATCAAACTTCTGTTCAGAAATTGTTGATTTTCAGGGCCATTTCTGCCGCGCAAAGAACCCTTGAGTGACATTGTTATAGGATATTTTTAAAAGATCTTAAATTATAGACACAGTGACTGTTGAAATACCAGGACACTTGTAACCAAAAGCAGAAGTTCGGATGCCTATAAAACAACCAGACGGTTCACTCCAGGCTGGAGATTGACAGGTCTCGGGCTTCACTGAGCCAAAGTGGCGCCCCCACGTGGCGACAGCTTAACTTTACACAGCTCTCCACCCAACCCCAGCTTTGAAATTATGCAAGTTCTTGACAGATTGTTCTAAATTGGGGAATATTTCTTCATATCATTTCACATTTTGTGCAAAAAGCAAGACGTTGTTGAGAGTTTAAGGACACCACACTGTCAAATTTGCATTATTCCATGTTGCATAAAATGAGTCTGAGAGCGGTTTCATCGTGGGTCTTAACCCCCAAGGGACAGAGATGCCAGTCCCCGGGGATTCCTGGACAGCTACTGAGACCTCTTCCCTTCCTATAGGATGGCCAGCCGGAGCAGTGACAAGGATGGTGACTCTGTCCACACGGCCAGCGAAGTCCCGCTGACCCCACGGACCAATTCCCCGGATGGAAGACGCTCGTCCTCAGACACATCCAAGTCTACATACAGCCTGACGCGGAGGATTTCGAGTAAGTATCTCTGCTTTACCTTTCTGGGGGCCCTGGCTGGCTTTCCCAGACACTCTCCCACGGAGAGTCATGAAGGGCAGTGTTATTGCTGGGGGAGGGCGGCAGAGTGGGATGACAGTCCAGGAGACAGGGCGAGAGAGAGATAATGACGGTGTGACAGAGGAGGGCATCACACCTGATTGCTGCTGAGTTTAATCAAAAGCAATCATTTTGATTGATTTTTGCTTTATTAATTTTAAGTTTGATTGAATTGGCTGAATTGATTAACATTGTCAGTGTATATCATTTCAGATTCTGAAAGATGAGTGTGGCTATATTATATAGCAGGGTTTGTCAATTCTGGTGACTTTGGGAGCTAGGCGGGTTGCATCAGTGGCCAAGTGCAGAGGTTGCATAGAGATAAACATTGCCTGAGTGCAGTGACAAATGGCAGCTGCCGCTCTGTCTGGAGAGTTACTAGGGCAGGGTGGGGACTTCGGTCAATTGAAAAGCAAATGCCCCATTGAAAGGGGGCCAGGGTGTCTGCTACTCAGCTCTGGCCAATGGTAGCTGTATGGGATTGGGGGCTCCGTATTGTCTGATCTTTGTAAAGAGATATTGGCAATCTGGGTTTTTTTATGTGAAACATTCTTACTTTCAAGCCTAAACAAAATGTATGTGTGGCCATCAAATTTGACCACCCAATTTGTCCACTCTGTTGTGTGGCGTATGTGTTTGACCAAACAGCATGATTTGGGTGAGGAGGAAAAAGGAGGACAAACACCCAGAGGCTCCCAACCTCCTTCTGCTCCACAAAAGTATCTCTGCTCTGTGTGAACCGATGTCTGAAATTCACCAGACAGAGGGAAAAGCTTCAAATGCATGAAACAAATCCATTCAGGTGGAGATCATTGGTGTCCAACCTTTCCTGGGGATAGAGGGAAAAGAAAAAAGTAGAAAAAAAAAGAGTTCAAGGGCATGAAATAGTGAAACAGAGGGAGCACTGGATTTCTTTAGGCCTCAGTCTTCCCATTTGTAAAATGAGAGGGCTGGTCTAGAGCTGCGCTGTCTGGTATAACAATCACTAGACACACGTAGCTGTTGAGCACGTAAATGGTGTGAGACTGAATCTTACTGATGTTCTGTAAGTGCAAAATACATACTGGACTTTCAGGACAGTGAGGAAAAAAAAAAAAAAAGTCTGGGCGCGGTGGCTCATGCCTGTAATCCCAGCACTTTGGGAGGCCGAGGCGGGAGGATCACCTGAGGTCAGGACTTCGAGACCAGCCTGGCTAACATGGTGAAACCCCATCTCTACTAAAAATACAAAATTAGACGGGCATGGTAGCGCATGCCTGTAATCCCAGCTACCTGGGAGGCTGAGGCAGGAGAATCGGTTGAACCCGGGAGGTGGAGGTTGCAGTGAGCCGAGATTGCACCACTACACTCCAGCTCAGGCAACAAAAATGAAACTCTGTCTCAAAAAAAAAAAAAAAAAGAGAGAGAGGATTTAAAGTATCTCACTAAAATATTTTTATATTGGTTCCATGTTGAAATGAGTATACATTGGATATAGTGGGTTAAATAAAATAAAATATTAAAATTAATTTTGCAGGCTGGGCGCGGTGGCTCACGCCTGTAATCCCAGCACTTTGGGAGGCCGAGGCAGGCAGATAGCTTGAGGCCAGGAGTTCAAGACCATCCTGGCCAACATGATGAAATTCCATCTCTATTAAAAATGCAAAAATGGGCCAGGTGTGGTGGTATACAACTGTAGTCCCAGCTACTTGAGAGGCTGAGCCATGAGATTCACTTGCACCTGGAAGGTGGAGGTTGCAGTGAGCCGAGATCCGCCACTGCACTCCAGCCTGGACGATAGAGCAAGACTCTGTCTCAAAATAAATAAATAAAATTAAATGAATTTTGCCCTTTTATTTGCATATTTTAAAAGTCGTGGCTGCCAGAACATTTTAAGTTACATGTGTGGCTTGCATTTCTGGCTTGCGTTATCTTTCTATGGACAGTGTGGGCCTAGGTAATTTCTAAGTCTCATGCCCAGCTCTGAACACAGGTTATCTCCATTTAGCATACATCTATCAGAGTACCTCCCATGCCTCTGGCAAATGTCTCATAAAGACAACTGTTTGGGCAATTAGCAAGAATGCCATGAGCTCATTGCTAGAAGAGAGGGATGTGCAAAGGTTGGAATAATGAACTTGGGATCAATGCATTCTGCTGGTTCATGGAAGGGAGAGAGGCGGCCCGTAAGCGGTGAGGTTTGAATATGAACCTTGAAGAAGTACAGTCGTTCCCATTTATTGGTCTGTGCCTACGGGCACATTCTGTGCCATGCTCTTTTCATGCCCTGGCTCAGTGAATCTTCACCACATTCTTTGAGGTAGGTGCCGTTATTGACTCTATTTTACTGATGGGAAAACAGAGTCCCAGAGAGTCAAAAGAATATGCCCGGAGTCACATGGCTCACTGGTAATGAGTACACGAGTAGTGAGTAAGTGGCTGAGATGGAATTCCACCCAGGCACTCTGGTCCCAGAGCTCACTCTCTTAAAGTGGAGACATCGTAGGATAATGGTTAGAGCCAGACTCTGGGGTCAGCTAGACCAGCCTGACCCCTGGCTCCTACACTTGCAAGTGTGTGACCTTCAGAAAGTTACTTAAAGCTTCTGTTTCCTCGTCTATAAAGTGGGGATAATAGTAATTATCTAATAATTCAAGGGGATGTGAAGATTGTGATTGCACATATGCGATGATGTAGTGTACACAGTCCATTAGAGCAGTGCCTGGCACTTAGCTGCTGTGATGATGGCAAGGTGTCAATAGTGCCACCAAACTATCTGTCACAGAATCAGTGAGTATTTCAGAGTGTGGAGAAAGATGGCAAAGGTCATTCTGAAGCAGAGTAAACAATGCAAGAATCTGCTTACCTGCAAAGTGGCCCAGGTCTGCCCCGTATGTGGCTGTCTTCATTGTTATTTCTGGTGGCTCTCAGGTCTTGAGTCAAGACGTCCCAGCTCTCCACTCATCGATATTAAACCCATCGAGTTTGGCGTTCTCAGCGCCAAGAAGGAGCCCATCCAACCTTCGGTGCTCAGACGGACCTATAACCCCGACGACTATTTCAGGAAGTTCGAACCCCACCTGTACTCCCTCGACTCCAACAGCGACGATGTGGACTCTCTGACAGACGAGGAGATCCTGTCCAAGTACCAGCTGGGCATGCTGCACTTCAGCACTCAGTACGACCTGCTGCACAACCACCTCACCGTGCGCGTGATCGAGGCCAGGGACCTGCCACCTCCCATCTCCCACGATGGCTCGCGCCAGGACATGGCGCACTCCAACCCCTACGTCAAGATCTGTCTCCTGCCAGACCAGAAGAACTCAAAGCAGACCGGGGTCAAACGCAAGACCCAGAAGCCCGTGTTTGAGGAGCGCTACACCTTCGAGATCCCCTTCCTGGAGGCCCAGAGGAGGACCCTGCTCCTGACCGTGGTGGATTTTGATAAGTTCTCCCGCCACTGTGTCATTGGGAAAGTTTCTGTGCCTTTGTGTGAAGTTGACCTGGTCAAGGGCGGGCACTGGTGGAAGGCGCTGATTCCCAGTTCTCAGGTAAGGGATGGGTTTGTGGTGTTTCCTCCTGGGAGCTTTTTTAAAAAGTGATTATTTTTATTTTATTTTACTGTTTAAAAGGCTTTTTTGGATTTTTAAAACTTTTTATTTTGAAATAATTTTTGACTCACAAGAGGTTGCAAAAATAGCAGAGAGTTCCTGTGTCCTCTTGATCCAGCATGATAGCATCTTACGCAACCAGGAAATAGATGTTGGTAACTAACCTAGAGCTTACTCAGATTTCAGTAGTTTTTTTTTTTTTTTGAGACGCTCTGTCACCCAGGCTGGAGCGCCGTGGCGTGATCTTGGCTCACTGCAAACTCCACCTCCCAGGTTCACGCCATTCTCCTGCCTCAGCCTCCTGAGTAGCTGGGACTATAGGCGCCCGCCACCACGCCCTGCTAATTTTTTTGTATTTTTTTTTTTTTTAGTAGAGATGAGGTTTTCCGTGTTATCCAGGATGGTCTCGATCTCCTGACCTCAAGATTTCACTACTTTTTACATGCATCACTCATGTGTGTGTCTTTCTGTGAAAATTTATCACATGTATAGATTCCTGTAACCACCACCACTCTGGAAGCCTTTTTTAAATCATCGATGCTGAGTTATTTAATAAGGAGAATGATTGCACAGGGTATAAAGCTATCAATCATTTTGACTTTCAGAAATTGATTTTTTTGGGGAAAAAGTGAAGGCTGGAAAACAGGATGATGCATGGATGTTTTTCAGGCCAACTGTTAGATTGGCTTCCTTCCCCCTGTCCAGCCCAGGGAAATGTGGTTGGCTGCTCGGGAAGCCACCCACGGACCAGGCTGTGTCTCCAGTCGGCTGTTGTGCATTCCTGCATATTAGAGGGTAACTGTCTACCCATTGTAGGTAGAAGGATGTGGGGAGCCCAAGGAAAGGAAAAGACCCAGCCACTCCTTCCTCCTTCCCTCCCTTCCCGCTTCTCTCTTCACTCCCTCCCTCCCTTCCTTCCCTGCTACCCTCTTCCCTCCCTTTCTCCCTCCTTCCCCTCCTTCCTCCCTCCCCTCCTCCCCTCTTCCCTTCCTTCTCTCCCTGTCCTGTGGGATGGCTGTTGTAGGAACAGGGACGGGAGATGGAGAAACAGGGGAGGGGGCTTTGGCCACCATGAGGTCAATAAGAGCTGCCTTCCAGGCCAGGCGCAGTGGCTTACGCCTGTAATCCCAGCACTTTGGGAGGCTGAGGCAGGAGAATCACTTGAGTCTAGGCGTTCAAGACCAGCCTGGGCAACACAGTGAGACCCCGTCTCTACAAAAAACAATTTAAAAATTAGCTAGGCATGGTAGTGCACATCTGTAATTCTAGCTACTTGGGAGGCTGAGGCAGGAGGATCTCTTGAGCCCAGAGTTTGAGGCTGCAGTGAGCTATGATCGAGCCACTGCACTCACTCCAGCTCACTCCAGCCTGGTTGACAGAGTGAGACCCTGTCTCTTTAAAAAAAAAAAAAAGTTGCCTTTCCATGGGGAGCCATTTGGTGACGTGCAGAGAAAATGGCCTTGGGTCCAAGCTGCAACCTTCCTCCCAGTGCCTAGCTGTTGCTGGGCCCCTGTGCTCCCTCACCTCACTTCAGGTGAAGTGGAGGTAGTAACACCACCTCGCAGCGAGGGCCTGGCGGGTGGCGAGCACTCCACAGTGGCAGGCCCAGTTGTCAGGAGACGACGTCTTCTATTGTGAACCCATTCAGAGTGAGCCTGTAATGTGTCGCCTTCCAGTGCACTAAGCGGTAATCACACCTGGTGAATATCTAATTGGGCAGACAAGAGGCGGGGAGTGTTCCCGTTCACTCCTGATGCTGAGCCTTCTTGCGGTAGAGGAGCTGGCGTCTCCTCAGCTGAGTTAATCTCGGGGCTGCCATCTCCTTTCCATTTGAAGAGGGACAGCCGGGCCTGTTTCAGGTCACTGCGGGAGCAGGTTTCTCCCAGACAAGGGCTGGCTCCTCACCCTTGATAGAGCTGCAGGCCGTGCCTTAGTTTCATGGGGACCTTTCAGTGCCTCTATGAATTAAAAGTATTCATGTGTATAGGGCTGAGTGCAATGGCTCACACCTGTAATCCCAGCACTTTGGGAGGTTGAGGTGGGAGGATGGCTTGAGCCCAACAGTTCGAGACCAGCCTGGGCAACATAGTGACACCCTATTTCTACAAAACATTAAAAAAAAAAAAATTAGCCAGGCATGGTGGCATGTGCCTGTAGTCCCAGCTACTCGGGAGGCTGAGGCAGGAGGATTGCTCGAGCCCGGGAGTTTGAGGCTGCAGTGAGCTATGATTGCGCCGATGCACTCCAGCCTGGTCAATAGAGTGAGGCCTTGTCTCTAAAAAAATAAAATAACAAAAGTGTGTATAAAGTTGAAATATTGCAGGCAGGTCAACTGCTCTAATTGCTCATCTGATTTATACTCTGGTCCGTCACACTCGGGCTTCCAGCCTTGCTGGTGCTATTATCAGCCAAGTAGTGGCTGTTAATGCCTTTAATTGTGGGTTTGACTCAAGTCCTGGCTGTAAATGCCTTCTGTCTCTCATTCCTGATGATGATGAGTGTTTTCTTAGTACTGTTCAAAATAGTTTTTGGAAGCGTCATCTGGACCCTTAAGATATTTGTTTTCCTTCTCTTCTCCCCTCTTTATTATTCTTTGTTTTTTCTTCTCTGATCTGCTCATTTCTTCATTCTGTTTCTCTTGAGGTCCTATTATGTGCCCGGCATTTCTAGTTGGATTAATAAAAATGAATACCATACCATTCCTAGCAGCAGGAAACTTCCAGTCTAGTGGGAAAGACAGTTTGGTAAACAGCAAGCCATGATGCAGTGTGCTGCATGCGGTAATAAATGGGCAATCAGGACTCATTTGCTTTTTTAAAATTATTATTATTATTTTTTATTTTTAGAAACAGGGTCTTGCTCAGTCGCCCAGGCTGGAATGCAGTGGTGCAATCACAGCTCACTGCAGCCCCAAACTCCTGGGCTCAAGAGATCCTCCCACCTCAGCCTCCCGAGTAGCTGGGACTACAGTTGTATGCCGCTGCACCTGGTTAGTTTTTAAAAAAATACATTTTGCAGAGATGGGGATTTCGCTATGTTGCCTAGGCTGGTCTCCAACTCCTAGTCTCAAGCGATCCTCTCACCTCGGCCTCCTAAAGTTTGCTGGGATTATTGGCATGAGCTACTGAGCCCTGCCAAGACTCGTTTCATTAAGAATGATCAAAATTGGCCTTGAAAATGGGCACCATATTGAAGACTGAGGTACCATCTCTCAGTAATTCCAATATAGCAGGTCTTGCACCGTTGGAGTGGATCAGGATGTATTTGCTCACATTTGGGGAGCAAATGTATTTCAGGCAG
This sequence comes from Homo sapiens, assembly GCF_000001405.40. Taxonomy (NCBI): domain Eukaryota; kingdom Metazoa; phylum Chordata; class Mammalia; order Primates; family Hominidae; genus Homo; species Homo sapiens. The sequence goes on from NC_000016.10 coordinate 19,187,508, forward strand.
AAGTTTTAAATGATGGAATCCACTAGGAAGGTCATGCTATATGAGTATTTCACTTTGAATACCAGACTCATACTAGTGAGGCAAGAAGCTCACACAAAGAGAGGCACTGGAGACTCTGACTGAGGGAAGAATATGCTCCTATTGCCCAGCTAATGCTTACTCTGGAAATTATGCTCTTTGAGTGGAAAAGCCGGTTGTCTTACATGCTGCCAACAATCATATGAAAAAGAGCTCATCACTGATCATTAGAGAAATGCAAATCAACACTACAATGAGATACCATCTCATACCAGTCAGAATGGCTACTATTAAAAAGTCCAAAATAACAGATGCTGGTGAGGTTATAGAGAAAAAGGAACGCTTATACACTGTTGGTGGGAGTGTAAATTAGTTCAGCCATAGTGGAAGACAGTGTCGCAATTCCTCAAAGACCTAAAGACAGAAATACCTTTCCACCCAGCAATCTCATTACTGGGCATATACCCAAAGGAATATAAATTGTTCTATTATAAAGACACATGCATGCGTTATGTTCATTGCAGCACTATTCACAATAGCAAAGGCATGGAATCGACCTAAATGTCCATCAGTGATAGACTGGATAAAGAAAATGTGGTACATATATACCATGGAATACTATGCAGTCATGAAAAAGAACAAGATCATGTCCTTTGCAAGAACATGGATGGAGCTGGAGGCCATTATCCTCAGCAAACTAACACAGGAATGGAAAACCAAATACTCCGTGTTCTCACTTGTAAGTGGGAGCTAAATGCTGAGAACACATGGACACAGAGAGGGGAACAACACACAGTGGGGCCTTTCACAGAATGGAGGGTGGGAGGAGGGAGAGGATCAGGAAAAACAACTAATGGGTACTAGGCTTAATACCTGGGTGATGAAATAATCTATACAACAATCTGCCATGACACGAGTTTACCTATGTAACAAACCTGCACTTATACTCCTGAACTTAAAATAAAAGTTAAAAAAAATTCAGTTCTGCAAAAAAAAAAAAAAAAAAAAAAAAAGAAAGAAAGAAACAAGCTGGTTGTCTTTGGCCGGGTTCCCTAGAAGCAGAGCCAGAGATGGCGATTTGGATGTAGATTTGTTGCCAGGGCTGCCATAACAGAGTACTACAAATTGAGTGGCTTAAAGCAACAAAAATTTATTGTCTCACAGGCCTGGAGGCAAGGAGTCCCAGATCAAGGCATTAGCAGAGTCGTGTTCCCTCTGAAACCTGGAGGGGAAGCCTTCCTTGCTCCTTCCTCGCTTCTGGTGGTTGCAGGCAGTCCTTGGAATTCCTCAGCTGGAGCTGCATTGCTCTAATCCCTGTTCTAACGTCACATGGACATTTTTGCCCTGTGTGTGTCTGTGTCTCTTCTCTTCTTTTTTTTTGAGATGAGTGCTGCTCTGTCGCCCAGGCTGGAGTGCAGTGGTGCGATCTCGGTTCACTGCAAGCTCCGCCTCCCGGGTTCACGCCATTCTCCTGGCTCAGCCTCCCGAGTTGCTGGGACTACAGGCGCCCACCACCACGCCCGGCTAATTTTTCGTAATTTTAGTAGAGATGGGGTTTCACCGTGTTAGCCAGGATGTTCTCAATCTCCTGACCTCATGATCCACCTGCCTCGGCCTCCCATAGTGCTGGGATTACAGGCGTGAGCCACGTCTTTTCTCTTCTTATAAGGACACCGGACACCAGTCATATTGAATTAGGACTTACCCTACTCCAGTGTGACCTCATCTTAATTTAAATAACGACATATACAATGACCCAATTTCCAAATAAGGTCCCATTCTGAGATACTGGGGGTTAGGACCTCAACCTGTCTTTTTTTTTTTTTTTTTTCTGAGACAGGGTCTTGCTCTGTCACCCAGGCTGGATTGCAGTCGTGTAATCATGGCTCAATGCAGCCTTGAACTCCTGGGCTCAAGCAATCCTCCTACCTCAGCCTTTCAAGTGGCTGGGACCATGTGGTACCACAAGTGTACACCAACATGCTCAGATAATTTTTTATTTTTTGTAGAGATGGAGTCTCATTATTTTGCCCAGGTTGGTCTTAAACCACTGGGTTCAAGCGATCCTCCTGCCTTGGGGGCCTCAAGTGCTGGGATTAAAGACGTGAGCCAGAATAGCTGCCCTGATTGCTGATTTTTGTTAGAAGCTAACATCTGCCTTCACCAAATTGGTTGGTTGGTCAGTGGAATGGAAAGGAGAGGAGGCAGTTGTGTAATGGTATATAAGACAAAGCTATTCAATTTCTTACTTTTAGCCTATTCTAATGGTGTGTGGAGTTGAGCTAATGCTTAGTGTCTAGTTATACTTTCTTCTTGGAAAACCCATGTGGAAGATGAATGGGTGGCTTATGGGGCCAGCATATAGGCACCTCCTGGTTCAGGGCAGAACATCCCATCTGTCTTGCAACATCCTACCTGACTGCATCTTTGATCTTGGCATTCAGGAAACTGGCAGCTAATGGAGCTATGGCATTTTTGGGGTCTCAGTGATAAGGTTGGCTGGAAGATAATGAAAATAAGACCATACAGTGAGTAGGACAAGGGGATTGACATAGACATGAAATTACACTGGCTATTTAGAGAAATTCTGCTCATTGGAATGGATTGAAAGCCATTGAAATCTGTGTAGGCTCAACTCTTTTAAAAAATTATTAGCTAACATGGTGAAACCCCGTCTCTACTAAAAATACAAAAAATTAGTGAGGTGTGGTGGCGGGCACCTATAATCCCAGCTACTTGGAAGGCTGAGGCAGGAGAAATGCTTGAACATGGGAGGTGGAGATAGCAGTGAGCTGATATCGTGCCATTGCACTCTGGCCTGGGCAGCAAGAGTGAAACTCCGTCTCGAAATTTAAAAAAAAATTATTAGTTTTAATTGTGGGAAAATACACACACCATGAAATTTACCGTCTTAACCATTTTTGCCTGTACAGTTCAGTGGCATTAAGTACATTCACATTGTTGTGCAACCATCACCACCATCCCTCTCCAGAACTCTTGCAAAACTGAAACCCTACACCCATTAATCAATAACTCCCCATCTCCCTCTCCCCGCAGCCCCTGACAACCATCATTCTACTTTCTATGAATCTGACAGTTCTAGGTACCTCATATAAGTAGAGTCATAGATTATTTTTCCTGTGGCTGGCTTGTTTCACTCAGGATAATGTCTTCAAAGTTCATCTGTGTTGTAGCATGAGTCAGAATTTCCTTCCTTTCTAAGGCTGAACTGAATAATATTCCTGTGTGTGTGTGTGTGTGTGTGTGTGTGTGTGTGTGTGTGTCATATTTTGTTGATTCATTCATCCTTTAATGGACACTTGGATTGCCTCCACCCAATGGACAACGGTGCCTCCACCGTTTGGCTATTATAAATAATACTGCTATGAACATGGGTGTGCAGATGGCTTTTTGACCAACTGTGTGTGTGTTTTTTTAAGCCATAAAAATATCCACGATGTAGGTGGTTCATTTTCTCTTGAGTTCATGTGGTTTGGGGAAGGAAGAACAAGGGCAGTGGAGAGATTAGATGCCCCGTGGCCATGCGGGAACCTTTCTGAGCATTAGGAAGGATACACAGTTGTATCCATTTGGCAAGGCTCATCCAGTATTCCTAAAGTTTGTGCATTTCACTGCATATAAGTTTAATCTAAAAAAAAAAACCCACCATAAACAAACACTGAACTCTGGTTAATGATATGCCGAAATGTGTATGGGTGCCATGGTCTGAAGTTTTCCTAAATTCGTATGTTGAAATCCTAACCCCGAGGGGATGGTATTCAGACGGCCTTTGGGGCGGTGGTTAGGCCATGAGGGCAGAGCTGTTATCAATGAGATTAGCGCCCTTGTAAAGAGGCTCCAGAGAGTTGCCTTGCCCCTTCCTCCATGTGGGGCAAAACCAAAAGGTCCCATCTATGAGGAATGGTCCTCAGCAGACATGAAATCAGCTGGTGGCTTGATCTTGGACTTCCCAGCCTCCAGAAGGGTGAGAAATAAATTCTGTTGTTTTCAAGCCGCCCAGTTGATAGTATTTTTGTTACAGCAGCCTGAATGGACTAAGACAGTGAGGAAGTGTACCAATGTCAGCCACTTATTTTGAAATGCATTCAAAAAAGATAGAGTGATAGATGGATAGGGAAGAAGCAAATAGAGCATATTTTAAATATAATTACAGCAGTGTTAATATCAGTAACTGTTCATTTCAGAATCTAGGGGATGTATCTAAGAGTGTGCACTGTACAGTTCTTTTGTTTTGTTTTGTTTTGTTTTTTTGTTTTTGAGACTGTGTCTCACTTTGTCGCCAGACTGGAGTGTAGTGGCATGATCTCGGCTCACTGCAACCTCTGCCTCTCGGGTTCAAGTGATTCTCCTGCCCCAGCCTCTCAAGTTGCTGGGACTACAGGCGCCCGCCACCACACCCAGTTAATTTTTTGTATTTTTAGTAGAGATGGGGTTTCACCATGTTAGCCAGGATGGTCTCAATCTTCTGACCTCGTGATCTGCCCATCTTGGCTCCCAAAGTGTTGGGATTACAGGCGCGAGCCACCGCGCGGCCGCACTGTACAATTCTTTAAGCCTCTCTGTATTTGAAAGTGTTGAGAGTGTAAGCCATGGCCAGGCACGGTGCCTCACATCTGTAATTCCAGCACCTTGGGAGACTTAGGAGGGAGGATCACTTGAGGCCAGGAGTTCGAAATCAGCCTGGCCAACATGGTGAAATCCCATCTCTACTTTTTAGTACAAAAATTAGCTGGGTGTGGTGGCGCATGCCTGTAGTCCTGGCTACTCGGGAAGCTGAGGCATGAGAATCGCTTGAATCCGGGAGACAGAGGCTGCAGTGAGCCAAGATCGCACCACTGCACTCCAGTCTGGACAGCAGAGCGAGACCCTGTCTCATAGAAAAAAAAAGAAATGTAGACTGGGTGTGGTGGCTCATGCCTAAAATCCCAACACTTTGGGAAGCCAAGTGGGAGGACTGCTTGAGGCCAGGAGTTCGAGACCAGCCTGGGCAACATGAAGAGATCCTGTTTCTACAGGAAAAAGGGAGAGAGAGAACATTCATAAGAAAACGTTGAGGAGCAAAAGACAAGAAGTACCGGTGCCAGTTAGGAAAAATTGCTGTGGTCTCTTAGGTGAGAGGTGGTGATGATCTGGACCCTGTGTAAGGTGGCGGTGACAAAGGATGCAATTTGAAAGCAGAGGCTTTGATGCCCAGAAGCAGCCTTTGAGGAAACTATAAACAAGGAATATCAAACAGTGCGGGGTCGGTTGGGGGTGGTCAAGTGGGTTTCTACTACTGTGATGGTTCTCTTACTTTAACAAGCATCCGAATCAGGTGGGAGCTGTGACTGTGGAGCCTCCAGACCTCAGCCTCCCTAATTCTGATTTCCCACATCCTGGGTGAGAGGCCCATGAATCTGCACTTGAGCCAATGGGCTGGGAGATTCTAATGTAGGTAAACTCTGGACCTCGTTCCGAGAAACACTGGGTGGCTGGTGGAAGGTGAAAGGTGAAAGGTGGAAGGTGGAAAGGGTTCAGACATTTGACCTGCCCAGACTTGCATCTAAAACTTGGCTCTGCCACTTAGGGGTTGGATGTTGTGATGGTTTCATAAGCTGGCGTGGCAAGTGCTGTGCCCAGCTGCTTCAGTGGCCGGTGTGCAGGGTGCACCCAATACAGGGCTGCCACTAAGATGATATTTTATGGAGCTGTTCTGGGAAGGAGTAGATTCAAGTTAAAGTGCTCTTAGGCATTCATGTAGAAGAGTTCTAAGTCATGTCAGGATGCAGTATCTTACATTACAAAGCCAGATTGCCCACTGAAGAGGAATGTTTGATTTGGGCCTAGAAGAAGAAAATATGTTTAGTCAAAAGTGATATTTGCACACTGGAATGCTGGATATTTATGTTTCCGAACATTGCTTCAACCTGAGATTTGCACTGCCCAAATGAAAGCCTTTTAGACCTTTGATGTCTAGAATTCAGAGCATTGTGGCTTAGGAAGCAGAGTCTGTGCGTGTGGCCACTAACTAAGCTGTCTTCTCCAGTGTCTGCTGACACCTGGGAAAGTCATCTGTTATCCTAGGTTGGGTTCCTCTAAAGACAAAGATTTGAGTGCTTGCATTTTCTTTAGGAAGTGATGCTGAGAAACACCAGAAGAGAAGGGAGGAAATGAGACCAATAAAGTGTCTCACCACTGTGGGCAACTAGAGCTTAATCATACTGGGGAACTCAGTGTAGCCTACCCCAGGGGTGAGGGAGCTGGGGTATTTATTCACCGAGTTCCCATGTGGCATGGGTTGCAGGATGCTCCCAAAAGTCCTTAATTCCCTGGGCACCTCCAACTTGCCTTGTGGGCACAAGTAGGAAAGACTCCACTGGCCGAGAGACCTAAGCAGAGATGTGGGGCTGACAGTAGGCAGTCAACGAAGTCTGTTCTGGTCGGGGCTAGGTGCTGTGGTGGGCACCTTTAGCGTTGCTACACTTTCTCTTGCCACCCTCAGGGCTCAGAATGCGGCATCTTCCATGCCTCACCTTCTCCCTGCTTGCCATCTCTCTTCATTTCCCCTTTCCTCTGATCAGGAAGGTGCAATGCAGATGAATAAGAACATTGGCTAAGCGGAAACCTGTAAAGAAAAAGATGCCAGTCCCCCCTTCTTATAGAGGTGCCCAATCTTTGCAAGTGACTGTCTTGGCAGCCATGTCTCTCTCTGAGCTTTTGGGGGAACGGATGACAAAGAAAATCTATAGCTGTCTCCATTCAGCCAATGCTCCCTCTCCCCTCACCCCTTTTACATGTAGATACTGGGAGTAGGGAGGATTGTGAATGCTGCAGAACCACCTCTCCGCCTCTCACAAATCACAGAGAGAGATGTTGTGTCCCAGATGTTGCTGGCCCCTGGGTACTTCTCCTTGGTCTTCACTTTGGGCCAGGGCAGCGTGTTCTGGGGTCAACAGGAAACACCCTCACTCAGCATCCTGCTGATGTACAGGAAAAGGTTTGGCCAGCCCCTGGGGCAGAGTAAATACCCCATAGACATCAGCATTTGTTGTTATTTCGTGTTGGTATCTTTATTTATTTATGTATTAGAGACAGGGTCTCACGCTGTCACTGAGGCTGGAGTGCAGGGGTGCGATCATGATCACTGCAGCCTCAAACTCCTGGGCTCAAGTGATCCTCCCGCCTCAGCCTTCCAAGGAGCTTGGACCACAGGTGTGAATTACCACGCCCAGCTAATTTTTAAATTATTTTTTGTAGTGACGGAGTCTTGCTGTGTTGCCCAGGCTGGTCTCGAACTCCTGACCTCAAGCAATCCTCCTGCCTTGGCCTCCCGAAGTCCTGAGATTGCAGATGTGAGCCATCACGCCCAGCCAAATAAAAGGGTTCTAGTCTTGGTATCTTTGGCACTTGGAAGGAACTCAATAGATGTCTTCTGAATTGAACAAATATTGTGTAAAGAGCATGCGCTTTTGAGTTAGACTGATCTGGTTAAAAGTTCCAGCTTCACCATTTCCCAGCTGTGTGAACTTGGGTCTAACTCCTAGGCTGTACATTAGGGATAATAATTCTTACTGCATGGGGATCTGGGGGAGCACTGTGAGGATAGTGATGGTGGCAAGCTCTCACATAGCACTCACTGTGCACTGGGCATTCTGCTAAGTGCTTTTATTGTGTGAACTATTATTATCACCCCATTTTATAGATGAAGAAACTGAGGCATGCATTAAGCAACCCATCCAAGCCACAGAACTGGGACTTGAACCCATGTCATCCAGCTGCAGAGGCTGTACTCTCAGCCAGTCTCCTCCATGGCACTGCTTCTTTCATTTATTTATTTAACCTTTTTTTAAAAATCAAAACAAAACAAAACAAACCTTTTTTTTTTTTTTTTAAGAGATTGGGGAGTGGGGGCAGGCATGGTGGCTCACACCTGTAATCCCACCACTTTGAGAGGCTGAGGCAGGCAGATCACCTGAGGTCAGGAGTTCAAGACCAGCCTGGCCAACATGGTGAAACCTCATCTTTACTAAAAATACAAAAATTAGCTGGGCATGGTGGTGGGCGCCTCTAATCCTACCTAGCTACTCAGGAGGCTGAAGCAGGAGAATCGCTTGAACCCGAGAAGTGGAGGTTACAGTGAGCTGAGATCACACCACTGCACTCCAGCCAGGGTGAAGGAGCAAGACTCCATCTCACTCCTGTAATCCTAGCACTTTGGGAGGCCAAGGCGGGGGGATTATGTGAGTCAGGAGTTCAAGACCAGCCCAGAGAAAAAGAGTGAGATCCCCATCTCTACAAAAAATTTAAAACTTAGCCTGATGTGGTGATGCACATCCACATTCGCAGCAACTCGGGAGGCTAAGGTGGGAGGATCACTTGAGCATGGGAGGTGGAGGCTGCTGTGAGCTATGATGGCAACACTGCACTCCAGCCTGGGTGACAGAGCCGGACCCTGTCTCAAAAGAAAAAACCCACCAAAACCAAAAAGACTCAAAAAAAAGATGGAGTCATGCTATATATGCTGAATAAATGGTGATTGGGAACCCAGGTGCCAGAAGGTCACAGGGAGGGACCCAAGGAAGGAATGTACCAAGAAGGAGGGAGATTGAGACACAATTGAGGTTGAAACCAGAAGGAATTGGCTTAGAATCTGATTTGTGCTTCAATTTATACTACTTTGGTCATAACCATGCCCCAGGCAGACAGTCGATAGAAGAATTTTTTTTTTTTTTTTAAAGACAGAATCTTGCTCTGTTGCCCACGCTGGAGTGCAATGGCATGATCTCGGCTCACTGCAACCTCCGCCTCCCGATTTCAAGCATTTCTCCTGCCTCAGCCTCCTGAGTAGCTGGGATTACAGGCATGCACCACCACACCCGGTTAATTTTTGTATTTTTAGTAGAGACAAGGTTTCACCATGTTGGCCGGGCTGGTCTCGAACTCCTGACCTCATGTGATCCACCCGCCTTGGCCTCCCAAAGTGTTGGGATTACAGATGTGAGCCACCAGCACCCAGCTGAAGAATTTTTTTTTTTTAAATGACTTTATTTTTTAGGGTGGTCTCAGGTTTATAGGAAAATTGAGAGGAAGGGACAAAGGTTTCCCATATACACCCTGCCTCCACACGTATGTAATCTCCTTTGTTATCAGCATCTCCTACCAGAATGGTACATTTGTTACAACTGGTAAACCTACACTGACACATCATTATTACCCCAAATCCATAATTTACATTAGGATGCTCTGGGCGTTGTGCATTCTGTGGGTTTGGACAAATGTATAATGACATGGGTCCACCATTGTAATGTCATCCAGAATAATTTCTCTGGGACTTTTTTTTAAGCCAAAATACTTGATAATTTGAGGTGCTCAGAGTTATGTGCTCATTGGACCCGGTACTTGGAAACTGCCTGGAGTTACAAACGCCCCCAGCCTGCCTTGTCAGCTGCCAAAAACTGCCTGGTAAACAGAGACACCTTACTGCATTTTGTATTTTGAGATCACTCACCACCTGGCACCTTACCAGACGAGGCTCTTGACAAGGCAAATGCCAGGTTTCTTAATGAGAAATCCCTCTTTAACTTGCCCTGAGCTGCTGTCAGCCTTGACCCTCTCCGTAGAGTCCTGGCCTTTGTGTGTATGTTAAAAATTGTTTCCCGCTCAGGTTCTGATGAACAGCAGTGTTTTGGCAATGTTGTGTGGCCAGAGCTGGGCCCAGGCCAGCGTCTTACAAAGCAGCCATTAACTAGAAGTTTCTTTTCATGCGGTCCTTCATGTTTTCTTCCTCCTTAAATAGAAATTGATTCATTTTAGATATCAACATGCACTTTTTTGTTTGTTTTGATTTGTTTTTTTAGAGACAGGGCCTCTAAAGAAAGAGGACAGGTTTTTTTTGTTTTGTTTTGTTTGTTTGTTTGTTTGTTATTATTATTATTTTTTTTGAGACAGGGTCTCACTCTGTTGCCCAGAATGGAGTGCAGTGGTGCAGTAAGAGTTCACTGCAGCTTCTACCTCCTTGGCTCAAGCAATCCTCCTGCCTCAGCCTCCTGAGTAGCTGGGACCACAGTCGTGAGCCACCATGCATGGCTAATTTGCTCAGCCGTGTTGCTCAGGCTGGTCTTGAGCTTCTAGCTCAAGCAATCCACCTGCCTTGGTCTCCCAAAGTGCAAGGATTACAGGCATGAACCACCGTGACCTGCCTCAACATGGACTTTTGATTCCTAGTTATAAAATGAACTAGAAGAGGAACCAGAGGTGATTTGGACCAACTTTCCTGTTATGTAGACTAGAGAACTGCAGCACAGAGAGGTTGAGTGACTTGTCCAATGTCACATGGCTTTCAGGCAGGAGGTCTTGCTGTACTGTACCAAAACTCACTGTACTAACTTCTTTACCCCACAAGGGAGGCGATCTCATGATAGCTAAGAGCATAGACCCTGGAGTCATACAGACTTGGCTTCAAGTCTTGGCTTTGCCATCCACTAGAGGTGTAGGCTCAGGTGAGTTACTTGTCATCTCTAAGCCTCAATTTCCTTGTCTGTAAATGGGGATTGTGTGGTGTGCTGGCTCCCAGAGCCAATTGTTAAGTTTTCAGGAATTTTGCAAGCTGGTTAACATCATCACATTGATAGCTGGAGACCAGCTATTGTATATGAAATTGACCAGTGTCATAAGTTAGAACCTCTGCCCACCCCACCCCGAGAACTAAAGATTTACCACCACAACACTGATCTCAGTAGTACTTAATTTAAAGGGTTATTGTTGGCAGTCAGACTTAGTCGTTATGAAGCATGAAGATCAGAGAGCCTGGCACATGTTTACAGTGGTGCCATATCATGGTCAAAAGCACAGACCTAGTGTCCTTTAATTTTCAGGTCAGAGCCAGCCCAACCACTTCCAGCAGTGTGACCTTGGGTAATTACTCAATGTCATTGATAATAATCATTGCTAGCTCTCCCTGAGTACTTACCATGGATCAATTACTGTTCTAAGGGCTTTCATTTCCACCCAGGGGCTATTATTATTCCCATTTTACAGTTAAAGAAACTCAGGCACAGAAAGTTTGAGTAACTTACCCAAGGCCATGAAGTTAGTGAATGGAGGAGACTGTGTTCCATTGAACATGAGGAGGCTGTGTTAACTGTTGCCCTGTCTCACTGAGGCTCAGCTTGTTGGAAAATGGCAAGAATAACAACCCCAACATCAAGGGTCATAGTTAGGCTGTCATCTGATAATGCCTGTGGCATGAGGCAAGGCCTCAATTAATGTGAACTTCCTACTGGTAACACTAAATAAATGTCAATGTCAGTCATTACCATGATAATTACATTGAAGTCTTCCTAGCCAAGAAATTTCAACTCAGTTTGATTGAGGAGAATAAAGTAACAATTGTCATCCAAGCAATTCATCAACTTCATCTGGGATTGAGAAGATGAGGCTATGAGCTCTGAGTGGTCGGTGGGTGGGTGGCCCAGGTTTCTGGTGGTAAGCTCCAGAGAGAACATGAAGGGCTTTGTTCAGAGAGGGAGAAGCTGAATGTTTCCAAGGGCTGTCAACATTGATTGACCACATATGTATGGCAGGTTCTGGGCTATAAACATGAGTGAGAGCCTGGTCCCTGCCCTTGAGACTCTCATCGTAGTGTAATAAGTATGAGCATTTGTCAGATGTGTCCTGTTTCCTGACACTGTGCAAAGTGTTTTCTATATGTGGTCCCACTGCAGACTCACTCAAGCCTGTGAGGTATGGTGACCCTCCTTCATTCTACACAGGAGGAAACTGAGGTCCTGGTTAATGAGTGACTCACCTAAAGTTATTCACGGAATGGTGGAGCTTGGACATGAACTTAAACAGGGTGACTTCTGAGCTCAATATTCTTATTACCTGAAGTTGCCTTTGAAAAACAGTCATGGCCCTCAATATCTATCATATTAGGCTGGGCACAGTGGCTCACACCTGTAAACCCAGCTCTTTGGGAGGCCAAGGCAGGAGGATGCTTGAGGCCAGGAATCCAAACCAGCCTGGGCAACAAATCAAGACCCCTTCTCTATAAAATAAAAAATTAACCAGGCATGTTGGTGCACACCTATAGTCCTAGTTACTTGAGAGGCTGAGGCAGGTAGATCCCCTGAGCCCAGGAGTTCAAGGCTGCAGTGAGTTATGATTGCACCACTGTACTTCCAACCTGAGTGACAGAGCAAGACCCTGTCTCAAGAAAACAAACAAACAAACAAAAAAGGATGATATTGATATCTATGAATGAGAAAACTAATGGGGCTATAAGAAAAACGTCTTTACATTTCAAGCAGCAGCAAAACTGACTTTGGCAGCTTAAGGAAATGACGAATAAGATGATGATAGGCTCATTTATTAAATCTGGGCTGTAAGCCCTTCACATATATTAACCCATTTAATTCCCACAACAACCATATGATTGGTGTCTTTACTATCCCTATTGTACAGATAAGAAAACTGAGGCCAGGGAGTTAGGAAACTTGCCCACAGTCATCCAGTTAGTAAATGGCAGAGCCAGGACTCATGTCAGACTCTCTAGGAGAAAGAGAGGGTGGTATTGAAAGGATAGTGGAGCAGTTTATAGTATCAAAAGAGGTGAATCACCAAGGCCTCAGGTTAGCTCTGGGAATCTCTAGACTAGGTCCCCATGGACTTCTCTCTAGAGCAGTGCAGCCCAACAAATACAACATGGGCTGCATATTAATGGGCCATATACATGGGCCCATATACATGACCCTAACTTTAAATTCCTAGGAAACACATTTTAGAAACTAAAAAGAAATAGGTGAAATTTACTGTAATATTATTTTATGGAACCCGATACATCCAAAGTGTTATCATTTCCACAAGTCATCAAAGTAAAATATTATTGATGTGAAATTTTACATTCATTTTTCACACTAAATGGTTGAATCCATTGCCTCTTGTACATTCACAGCACATCTCAATTTGCACTAGCCCTATTCAAGTGTGCAGCAGCCATAAGAGGCAAGGGGTTCCTCTACTGACAGCAAAGCCTTAGAAGGATCAGATTAATTGACTTGGCTCCATGGACTGAGGTCACTCCCTCTTCATTTCTCTCCATTCGAGTTTTATTTCTAGGTGATAGAGAATCCAGTGGGTTTCCCCCTTGGGCAGGGTGTCCAGGGCAGGTGCAGTCAGATATGTCTAGATGGTGTGGCTAGAAGGTGTTCGATCTTGACTTTTACTACAGCTGGTGTTGGCCTCAAGATGTGTGTAAACCCAGTGTTGAGAGAAAGAAGAGAAGAGGAGAGGTGAGATTGAGGGTTTAGTTTCAAAAGAGCTTCTGTCCCTGCTGGTGACCCTGTGACCTTCCTTAGGGAATTAAACTGGGCAACCGAGAGGTGATGTGTGGAGGCAGAAGGTCGGATCAGCTCATCAACATCACTGGAATAAAGGCTGCACATTCCAGAGGGGGGACCAGCTGGGGGGCAGCTCCGACTCCCCACCACCCAGGGCTCTCTCAATGGTCCCTCAGTGTTCTTGAGGCCAACAGTAGAGGTCTGCTTCAGCACCAGGTCCCACTGAGGCCCCAGCTACTGCCGGACAGTCCAGGGGACCACAGCACCTGCACATAGAACCTGTGTGAGAGAGGAAATTGGTTTCTGGGTGGCACAAAGGTGGTCATGGAGGCCTGTTTATCTGCGGCATGGAAGGACTTGCCTCCCGAGATTTGTGTGATGTGTCAGGACCCTTTGGGCCACCAGGGACACAGCCCCAACTCAGGCTTCCTTCATGGGGGACAGGGGAAGAGGTACTTAGGGAACTGAGAACCCTAGGAGTTCCCTGAGCTTCAGGCACAGCTAAATTCAGGGACTCAAACCTTGTCGTCAGATAGACTCTTACACAGTAGGTTATCAGAATCAATGACCACCAGCTGACTCCTGTACAAATGCCCAGTGTCAGCCCCACCCAAATCACAGCAAAAGAGCTTCTGACACTGGAAAAAGTGGGGAAGGGAGGAGTGCTAAACAAATAGAAGCCACAGATATCTCTTCTGTGGCCCCCCAAAACCAAAGACTGAGAGAAGGTGCCATTTTCAATAATAGGGAGGGCTTCTAAGGGCAGCAGACATAAGAAAGGAAAGTAGCTACAAGGGATGCCCCTGCTTAAAAAAAAAAAAAAAAAAAAGACCAATAGATCTATTAGATTCTTACAGTGTGCCAGTATAGTGGGTAAGGGAGTAGGCTTTAAAATCTGACAGACCCAAGTTCCAGCCCTGACTTGACCACTGACACGTTCATTCATTCAACAGATACTTACTGAGCACTTGCTTAGTCCAGGCATTAGTGTTCCAGGGGATACTCACTGTGTGACATTGGGGAAGTTACTTGACTTCTCTGAGCCTCAATTTTCAGGGGGAAAAGTAGGAGTAAAAGCCAAAAAGCATAGTTTTCAAGAGTTCAGGATCTGGAGTTAGTTTCTTTATGTTCATACCTTGTAAACTGTTTTTACTCACACTTCTGACACCAAGTTTGTGGGGTTTTTTTCCTCATACCAACCACTTCTCCATTTCTCTGGACACCAACTTGGTGTCCTTCAATTCAATTCATACGGACACTAAATGCCTGGAGTTAGTGCAGACCCCACAGGTTAAGATCTCAGTCCCATAAGATTGCCCCTGCTTCAGATACCAGTCAAAAGCCCCAGGGTGCCACCTGTACCTCTGACTGACCTGGCTAATAAATTGGGAGTTCCCACGACCCCCTCCTCAAGTTCAATAATTTGCTAGAAAGGCTCACAGAACTCAGGAAAGCACTTTACTTACTATGACCAGTTTATTATAAATGACACAACTTAGGGACAGCCAAGTAGAAAGGATGCATAGGGCAAGGCATGAGGCAGGGGGTTGTGTGTGGTGCTTTCACGCCCTCAACGGGCACAGCACCCTCCCAGCACCTTGATGTATTCGCTAACCTAGAAGCTTTCTGAATCCCTTCATTTAGGGTTTATATGGAGATACCATTATATGGGCAGGATGGATTAAACCATTGGCCATTGGTGTCAGAACTCAACCTCCAGCCCCTCCCCTCCCTGGAGGTCTGGGAGTGCAGCTGAAAGTTCCAACCTTTTAATCATGCTTTGATCTTTCTGAAGACCAGTCCCATCCAGTCATCTCATTAACATACAAAAGACACTCTGATCATTCTGGAGATTCCGGGCATTTTATTTTTATTTTCATTTGAGACAGGGTCTTGCTCTGTCACCTAGGCTGGAGTGCAGTGGCGCAATGATGGCTCACTGCAGCCTTGACCTCCAGGTTCAAGCAATCCTCCCACCTCAGCCTCCAGAATAGCTGGGACTACAGGCATGCACCACCATGCCTTGCTAATTTTTTTCTATTTTTTGTAGAGATGGGGTTGCCCAGGCTGATCTCAAGCTTGTGAGCTCAAGCTATCCCTCCACCTCGACCTCTGTAAGTGTTCAGGGGTTTTGGAAGGTCTTTGCCAGCAACGGGGACGAGGATCCAATATGTATTTTCTATTCGCACCTTGGCTCTGCCACCTACTTACAATGTGATGTCAGCACATGCCTGGACCTTTCAGGCATGAAAGATCCCTTTACTGTCATATATTATGAGGATAATAACAGTAACTCTCCCATAGGGTTGCTGTGAAGATTAAAGGGGAAAATAAAGGAAAGCACTTGGCCAGGCGCAGTGGCTCACGCCTGTAATCCCAGCAGTTTGGGAGGCCGAGGAGGCTGGATCACTTGAGGTCAGGAGTTCAAGACCAGCCTAGCCAACATGGTGAAACCCCGTCTCTACTAACAATACAAAAAAAAAAAATAGCTGGGCGTGGTGGTGCATGCCTGTAGTCCCAGCTACTCAGCAGGCTGAGGTAGGAGAATCGCTTGAGCCTGCACCATCATCGAAGGGCCCTTTGAGAACTGAATGACATAATGTGATAAGAAGCAAGGTGCTCAGCCCCAAGTGTGGTACAGAAGTGATTGGTCAATGTTTCCGCTGTGGTTATTTGTTTATTTAGTCAGCATGTTAGGGGGTTGCCCATATGTCGGCTCTGGCTTGGATCTTGGGGATAAAGTGGTAAGTGAAGGGCTCGCAGTCTAGGCTGAAGGCCACAGTTAGAAACCAGAATCCTGAGTGGTTCCCTCCGCTGCAGGGACTCTGTCATGGCTCTGTGCCCAATGCAGCACCTTTGCCTGGCACAGGGTGGAGTTTCTGCTGGTAGAATAAACAGCCACGTGTTCACTGAAAGAGGTAAATCTCAGGCTCACAGGAAAGCACGTGGCAGGGATACCTGCCCTGCTGTGGGTGGGCTGCGCATGGGATGGGGGTTGGTGGATGGTCTGGAATGTTCTGTTTACCTGGCACATAGTTTTACCGTGTGGGCAATGGTGCAACATAAGATTGACGGAAGCGGAAGCTGGGGAATGAAAAGCCTCAGGCCAGGCCATGGATCTTAGCGCTTATCCTGAGGGGGATGGGAGCCGTTACAAGACAAAAAATAGGGGAGGCCCTGGTCAGATTTGAATTTGAGGTTGCTGTTTCTGGAGCAGAGTACGAGGTGGACCTAGAGCAGGGATTCTCAGCTTTGGCACTCGTCACACCTTGGGCTGGACCATTCTGTGTTGTAGATGCCGTCCTGTGGGCAGCACCCCTGGCCCCACCCATTAGATGCTAGTAACTCCCTCTCCCCGACTTGTCACCACCCAAAATATCTCCAGACATTGCCACATGCCCCCTGCAGGGCACAATCACCCCCTTGAGAACCACTGATTTGAGAATGTTTGAGAACAGGGCAAGGTGACCTTAGATGTGGTGGGGGAGGGATCCAGGAGTGATTTTGGACAGGCATGGGGGGCTTGGAGGATTTTTTGGAGTTGGAAACGACACGAGGGCAGAGGGTGAGGGAGGTCTCTAGAGCCTCACTCAGCTTTCGGCGTTGAGGTGCTTGCTGGTTAGGGGTGCTGGACAGTGAGACAGGAGGAGCAGGTGAGGATGGGGCAGGGTGGTGCTGATGAGCTAAGTTTGGGGTGCAGGGTGTTGAGGATGAGCACCCCTGAGGAGGCTTCCAGTGGACTTAACTAAAGATCCCTGAGTGATCTCATCTGATGCCGTGGCTTGAAACACCTGTGTTATCAGTATTTCCGGGGCACTTGTGAAACATTCTGATTCCCAGGCCCCTCCCCTGAAGAATCTGATCAAGTAGGCTCTGGGAGGCCCCAGGAATCTGTATTTACAAGCACCCTCAGTGGCTCTGTTGAGGGCAGCTTTGGAAACACTGAACTTAGTTTGCCGCCTGCTGGAGTGGCTGGCTCACGTCTCACTCCTACCCTGGACTGTTGATTTTGCCCCAAATTGCTCCTCCGCCGGTGTTCCCCGTATCCATCAGTGACACCCGCATTTATCCCCAAACCCAGGAGCCATAGCCTACACTCATCAGCAAATCAGGCCAGCCCCATCAACCCCTTCAAACCCTTCTACTCCTACAACCAGGTCCAGGCCACCTTCACTTCTCACCTGCAGTGTTAGGACGCCCCTCATGGGTCTCCCTGCTTCATTCCTTTGCATTGCATTTCTCAACCCAGCAGCCAGGGGAATACAGTAAAATAAATGTCAGTTCATGTCTTACTCCTGCATCTAACCTTCTAATGGCTTCCTGTCTCATTCAACATAAAATCTAAATGAGACTCAGCCCCTGTATCTCCCTCCAACTTTATTTCCCTGGTCAGTGGCCTCCTGGACTCTGCTTCGGCCACATCAACTTTGCTGGGTATCTCAGGCACACCTGGAGTGGCCCTACCTCAGGGCCTTTGCACTACCATGTCTCTCCTTGGAATGCTGTCCCCCCAGATACCTTCATGGCTCCCTCTTTTCTTCACTCAGGTTACCATCTCAGAGAGGCCTTCCTTGACTTTTTTTTTTTTTTCTTTTGAGACAAGGTCTCACTCTGTCACCCAGGCTGGAGTACAGTGGCGTGATCTCAGCTCCCTGCAACCCCTGCCTCCCAGGTTAAAGTGATTCTCGTGCCTCAGCCTCCTGAGTATCTGGGACTACAGGCATGTACCACCACACCCAGCTACTTTTTGTATCTTTGGTATAAAGATACAAAGATACAAAGATACTTTTTGTATCTTTAGTAGAGGCAGCGTTTCACCATGTTGACCAGGCTGGTCTTGAACTCCTGACCTCAAGTGATCCACCGGCCTCGGCCTCCCAAAGTGCTGGGATTATGGGCGTGAGCCACTGCACCCAGCCCCTTGACTTTCCTTTTAAAGAGCAGCCCTATCACTTTCTATCCCCGATGCCAGCTTTGTTTTTCTTCCTAGCACTTAACTGCTATCAGACATTACATATTAATTTCCTTATTATGTTTCTTCCACTTTAATGTGAACTCCAAAAGGAGGGGGATTTTTTTCTGTCTTGTTCCCTAGTGGTACATAATACATGTTCAATAAATATTTATGGAAGGGAAGGAAAAAAAGGAAAGGAGAAAGAGAAAAAAAGAAGGCGTAGGCAGGACTAGAACTCATAAAGAAAGTATATTTGGGTTACATAGTCAGTGTGATAGTAGAAATGACAGGCGTCAAGAAAATTGCCAAAAACACCATATAAAGTAAAGTAAAGGTGACTAGGAGTTGAATTCTGGGGAAAACTACATTTAAGGGCAGGAGAGAAGAAACAAGAACTGTGGAGACCAAGAAATAGAAGCTAGAAGGTAAGAGGAAGAGCAGGAGCGGACAGTGTCATGTGAACAAACGGAAACATTTCAAGAAAGATCAGCCTTCTCCACTAGAACTTCATGGGGTATATATATGGTATGTGTCCTCCTTTTCTTAGGAGGAAAGGAATGAGGCTCAGAGAGGTTCAGCGGCATGGCTGAGGTCACACACTCAGTGTATGTGGGAGAGCTGGGATTGCAATGGAGGTCTGTAACTCTTTGTCTTTTGTCTTAGTCCACCAGAGTGTTAGTTTTCTGGGGCCACTGTAATACACACTGGGTGCCTTAAAACAACAGGAATTTATTCCCTCACAACTCTGGAGGCTTATAGTCCAAATTCAGGGTGTTAGCCGAGTTGATTCCTTGCAGACCTCTACAGGAGAAACCACCCCAGGCCTCTCCTGTGGCTTCTGATGGCTGCCAGCAATCCTGGTACTCCTTGGCTGAGAGATGCATCCCTCCAGCCTCCACCTCTGTCCTCACCTGGCATTCTCCCCTGTGTGTCTTAGTCCATGTTTCTTCTCCCCATTTCATAAATCCAGTCCTATGGGATATAGGGCCCACCCTACTCCTGTACGACCTCATCTTGACTCAATTACATCTGCAAAACTCCTATTTCCAAATAAGGACTGTGGACCCCCATTGCTATAGTTTGGATGTGTTTCCTCTGCCAAACCTGATGTTGAAATGTGATCCCCAATGTTGGAGGTGGGACCTAATGGGAGGTATTGGGTCATGGGAGTGGATCCCTCATGACTGACTAGGTGCCATCCTCATGGTAGTAAGTGAGTTCTTGCTCTGTTAGTTCTGCACAAGAGCTGGTTGTTTAAAAGAGCCTCGTGCCTTCCCCATCTCTCTTGCTTCCTCTCGTGCCCTGTGATCTTTGCACACGACAGCTCCCTTTCCCCTTCTGACAAAAGTAGAAGCAGCCTGAGACCCTCACCAGAAGCAGAGGAGATGCTGGTGCCATGCTTCTTGTACAGCCTGCAGGACCACGAGCCACTTAATCCTCTTTTCTTTATAAATTACCCAGCCTCAGTTATTCTTCTATAGCAATGCAAAATGGACTAAGACAGTCATATTTACAGGTGTATTAGTCTGTTCTCACACTGCTATAAGAAATACCTGAGACTGGGTAATTTATAAAGAAGAGGTTTAATTGACTTACAGTTCTGTAGGCTGCATAGGAAGCATGGCTGGGGAGGCCTCAGGAAACTTACAATCACGGTGGAAGGCAAGGGGGGGAAAGAGATACCTCATATGGCCAGAGCAGGAGGAAGAGACAGAGAATGGGGAGGGGCCACACACTTTTAAACAACCAGATCTCCTGAGAACTCTATCATGAGAACAGCACCAAAGGGGGAAATCCACCTCCATGGTCCAATCACCTCCCACCAGGCCTCACCTCCAACATTGGGGGAAAGTTATGTAAGGTCACTACCCTCAATGAGCTCACAGCTTCGTGGAGCAGAAAGATAGGGAACAAGGTGGCCACTCCCTCAAAAATGAAAATGGGGCCAGGCACAGTGGCTCATACCTGTAATCCTTGGGGAGGCCAGGGCAACAGGATCACTCGAGGCCAGGAGTTCAAGGCTGCGAGCTGTGATCACACCACTGCACTCCAGCTTGGGTGACACAGTGAGACCCCGTCTGTAACAAAACAGGAAAAAAAAGAAAGAAAGAAAGAAAATGGAGCCTTACCTCATAACACAGACCAAAATCAAATCCTGATGGTCAGGAACTGATGAATGGCCAAACTTTAAGTTTTATAAGGAAATAAAGATCTTTATGAGCTTAGTATAGCAAAGCACCTCTTTAAAAAGTCAGAAAATAAAGTATGAACCAATGAAGGCAAAGAGGGATGCATCCTACCACATTAAAATGATGAACTTCTGCTTATCAGGAAACATAGTAAAAAGGATTAAAAGGCAAGCCACAGACTGGGAGGATACGTTTGCTATACACATATATTAGTTTTCTAGGGCTGTTGTAAGAAAATGCCGCAAACTGGTGGCTTGAAGAACATAAATTTACTCTCTGCAATTATTGGAGGTGTATTAGTCCTTCACACTGCTATAAAGAACCACCTGAGACTGGGCACTACTAAGAAAAGAGGTTCCGTTGACTCACCGTTCTGCATGGCTGTGGAGGCCCAGGAAACTTACAATCATGGTGGAAGGTGAAGGGGAAGCAAAGCACGGCTTACATGGCAGCAGGAGAGTGAGGGGGGAAGTGCCACACATTTTTAAACTGTCAGATCTCATGAGAACTCACTCACTGTTATGAGAACAGCATGGGGAAATCCACCCCACAATCCAATCACCTCCCACCAGGTCCCTCCCCTGACATGTGGGGATTAAAATTCCACATGAGATTTGGGTGGGGACAAAGAGCCAAATCATGTCAGGAAGGTGTTGGCAAAGCTATTATCTGTACCAGGCCTCTGTCACAGTGTCTGGTGGTTGGCTGGCAATATTTGGTGTCTATTGGCTTATAGATCTCTGCCTTCATCTTCACGTGGTATTCTCCCTGTGTGCATGTCTAAATGTCCTCTTTTCATCAGGACATCAGTCATTGGATTAAGGCCTACCCTACTCCAGTATAACCTTATCTTATTTAATCACTTCTACAAGGACCTTCTTTTTTTTTTTTTTTTTTTTTTTTTTGAGACAGAGTCTCGCGCTGTCACCCAGGCTGGAGTGCAGTGGTACGATCTTGGCTCACTGCAATCTCTGCCTTTCGGGTTCAAGGGAGCTGGGATTACAGACACCCACCACCACACCTGCCTAATTTTTTGTATTTTTAGTAGAGATGGAGTTTCACCATGTTGGTCAGGCTGGTCTCGAACTTCTGACCTCAAGTGATCTGCCTGCCTCAGCCTCTTAAAGTGATGGGATTACAGGCGCGAGCCACTGCACCCTGCCAGGACATTATTTCTAAATAAGGTCACATTCAGAGATCCTGGGGGTTGGAAATTAAATATGAATTTTGGGGAGGGAAATAATTCAACCCATAAAAACATGTAATTGCTGAATAATAGTATCCATAATACTTAAAGGCCCTTCTAGAAATTAATAAGAGAAAGACAAATACACAATGATCAAAAAGAAATGAGCAGGGTTTTCATAGATGAGAAAGCATAAGTAGCTGATAACACAACAAGGTGCTCACCTCTTTAGCAGTCAGGGAAACCCAGATTAAACCCACAAGATACCCATCAGATGAGACTAATGAAAAGCCTGACAATAACAGACCAATATAATCCAGTGTGAAATGCAGCTTGTCAGCCTCACTGGGGGCTTATGGAGGAAGGGCATTGCACTCACATAGAAAGTCAACATTTCGGCTGGGCGCGGTGGCTCACGCCTGTAATCCCAGCACTTTGGGAGACCGAGGTGGGCGGATCACAAGGTCAGGAGATCGAGACCATCCTGGCTAACATGGTGAAACCCTGTCTTTACTAAAAAATACAAAAAAAAAAAAATTAGCCGGGCGTGGTGGTGGGCGCCTGTAGTCCCAGCTACTCGGGAGGCTGAGGTAGGAGAATGGCGTGAACCCGGGAGGCGGAACTTGCAGTGAGCTGAGATCGTGCCACTGCACTCCAGCCTGGGAGACAGAGCAAGACTCTGTCTCAAAACAAAACAAAACAAAACAAAAACAACAACAACAACAACAAAAAACCCTAAGTATCTAGCAATAGGAAAATGGTTAATATAAGTTACAGTATTTCAGCCTAATGGAATGTTGTATGTGAACATTTATAATGACACTTATAATGTCTAGATAGTCACATGGAAAATGTGTGTGTAATTCTTTTAGTTTTATTATATTTTATTATTTTATTTTTATTAGTACAAATTTATGAGGTACACATGAAATTTTGTTACATATGTAATATATAGTGATAAAGTCATAGTATTTAGGGCTTCTATCATTCTGGTACAATACATTTTTGTTAAATATAGTAACACTACTCTACTATCAAACATTTATTATTATTATTTTTTAATTGAGACGGAGTCTTGCTTGAGGCAGGAGTCCTGAACTCCCGGCTTCAAGTGATCCTGCCACCTTGGCCTCCCGAAGTGCTTGGATTACAAGCGTGAGTCACCGTGCCCAGCCCCAAACATTGAATTTTTTCCTTCTCACTAACTGTATGTTTGTACCCTTTAACCCACTTCTCTTTATCCTCTCCCCTCTGATCTAAGGGTATTTTTTTTTAAAAGGGTATTTTTTTTTAAAGGGTATTTTTTTTTTTTAAATACCCTTTTTTTTTCTTAAAGGGTATTTCAGAATGTGACTGTATTGTCAATGCAGCTATGCAAATACAGGGTTGAGGTATTGACAAAGACTGGGAAAAAAAGTGAAGAGAAGAAAGAAGAAGAAAGAAAAGGAAGTGAAAGCATTTGATGAAATGTGTAAAGCACTGGCATTGCGGTTGGAGTTTGCTTTTTAAAAAATCCATTTCTATTTTAATGTTGTTTGTGCAGCAGATTAAGAGACAATAGACTTTATCCAACCGGTGAGAGCAAAGGCATAAGGGGGCGCAGAGCAGCTGTGTTTGGGCTTCACTAAAATTTGTGTGCGCACATTTGAAACCCTTTGCTAGGTGAGAGAGAGCGAAAGGACCATAGAGAAGGAGTTCAAAGCAAACCTGTCAGGAGGAGAGCTGGGCTCTTGCTATCTCCAGAAAATGTCTTTTGTCCCAGATGATTTTCTTTGATTTCCTTTTTATTGATTAGAAATTAACTGTGTTGAAAGGCTGCCGGGAGAGAGAATTTTTGTCTGGGTAGAGAGGAGAGAGCTGAGCCACATTTGCCCAAGCCGGCTGCTGGATTCATCTGAGTAATTTACAGATTGTCTATTTTGGTTCTCCCTAGCCCACCCCACGTGGTTCGACCAAATTAAGCGCATCGGGCTCTTACAAGAAAGGAAATGAGGCCTGTTTATTTGTGACATCGCTTCCACAAGGGACGAGGTAGAAGTGGGCCTGTCACCCAGTTCCTTCTCCTGTCTTGGCTTCGATTCTGTGGGGGTTGGATAGGACAGGGGGTGGAACATCGTGCTGACAACCCCTCTCGGCCCGTGGTGTGGCAGCAGCTCAGCCTCTGTGTTGGGGGCTGCACTGCTTGATCTTGGATTTGTTTCTGGTGCTGTGAATATAGTAGTGGACACATGGGCACTTTCTTTGCCTTTATGGAGAAAAAGGTAAGGACCAAGTACCGTGAAGGAAATGACAAGGTGGTGTGATGGGAAATGATGGAGGCAGAGGGGTGTTTTCAACTGAGTGTTAATGGGAAGCTTAGATGAGGAGGTGACTGTTGAGTTGAGATTCCCAGGGAATAGCAAGTTCAAGCCTTGGGGCAGGTACGATCTTGTATTTTTTTTTTTTTTGAGACAGAGTCTCGCTCTGTCGCCGAGGCTGGAGTGCAGTGGCGGGATCTCAGCTCACTGCAAGCTCCGCTCCACCTCCCGGGTTCACGGCATTCCCCTGCCTCAGCCTCCCAAGTAGCTGGGACTACAGGCGCCCGCCACCAAGCCCGGCTAATATTTTTGTATTTTTAGTAGAGACTCGGTTTCACTGTGTTAGCCAGGATGGTCTCGATCTCCTGACCTCGTGATCCGCCCGCCTCAGCCTCCCAAAATGCTGGGATTACAGGTGTGAGCCACCGTGCCTGGCCAATGATCTTGTATTTTTAAAGAATAGAAAGAAGGCAGAGGCGGTTGGTGAGTGAAGTCTCAGAGGTAGGCAGGAATCAAATCATTTGGATCAAATCATTTCGATCCCGTAGATAAATTATTTTAGAGACCATTAGTTCTCAACTGGGTGATTTTTGCCCTCAGTGGACATTTGACGATGTCTGGAGACATTCTGAGACTTTACCACTGGGGAGAGGGGTGATGCCGCTGGCATCCAGTGTGTAGAGGCCAGAGATGCTGCTAAACTTCCTGTAGCGCACAGGACAGCTCCCACAACACAGAATGCTCCAGCCCAAAGTGGCAATAGTGCTGAGGTTGACAAACCCTGTTGTTGACCAGGCTAAGCACTTTGAATTTTATTTTGAGAGATGGAGGGTTTTAAACAGGGAAGTGAGGCCGGGTATGGTGGCTCACACATGTCATCCCAGCACTTTGGGAGGCCAAGGTGGGCAGATCACTTGAGGTCAGGAGTTCGAGACCAGCCTGGCCAGCATGGTAAAACCCTATCTCTACTAAAAATACAAAAATTAGCTGGGCATGGGGGCTCATGCCTGTAATCTCAGCTACTCGGGAGGCTGAGGCACAAGAATCACTTGAACCCAGGAGGCAGAGGCGACAGTGAGCCAAGATTGTGCCAGGGCACTCCAACTTGAGCCACAGAGCGAGATTCCTGTCACAATAAATAAATAAATAAGAAATAAACGGGGAAGTGAGGTAATGGCATGGTTCCGTTTTCTTTTAGAAAACCAGAATATTGGTCTAAATTATTTCAGCTCTGACATTCCAATCTTATCTCACTAAATTTGGATAAGGAAGACTTCACAGAGTTGGAGATCCTACCAGAACAAGCAATCCATTTTCCTTGGGAGGGCTGAACCCACTTCCTAGGAGGATTTTTGTATTTGGTGCTTGGATGTCCACTTTGCAGTGAAAAAGAATGGCTTAAGGAGAAAGAAGAAGGAAGGAAATCTTAGCTGGATCTTTCTGGGCTCTGGATTGTGGCTGGTGCTTTGGCCTCTTCAGATCCAGAGGGGACTGAAGACAGACTCAGTGGAGGCAGTGAATAGACTTTTCTTTCTTCTTAAGAGACAGGGTCTTGCTGTGCCTCCCAGGCTAGAGTGCAGGGGTTCAATCATAGCTTACTAAAGCCTTGTTAGAAACAAATGTGCAGTGTCACAAAGAAAATGAGCACTAAAACAAAGGATTTCCCAGTAAGGCAAAATTTACTTCTGTAGGAAGGTGTTTCTCACAGGTCTAGTCATCATGAGAGTGCACTGAACAAAGGAGGGAAGGGGTTTTTATCCCTAACGTAGCTTGTCCCTGCTACTGTGTCCTGCCTCCACAGGTTGGAGTTGGACCACACAATCTAAGCTGAACCTGGTTGGCTAACTTGGAAAGTGCGGGAATGCGGTTACACTGGCAGGAAGGACAGTTTTGGTGGGAAGAGCTGCTGTGATGGGAGGGGTAATTTACAGAGTGGGTAGTAGATGTAGGCTCTGTAGATAAGGACCAGTGGAAGAGTTGTTTACTGAAACCAAGACAGGGAGGTACAGAGAGCAAGGAAGTTTGGCCTTAAAAGTAGAGAACAAAGAACAAGGAAACTAAACAAGCTAAACCTTTGAAGAGGAGCTTCTCGCATCAGATAGCCTCAAACTCTTGGCTTCAAGCATTCCTCCTGTCTCAGCCTCCTGAGTATCTGGGACCACAGATGCATGCCACCATGCTAAGCTAATTAAAAAATAAAAATAAAGAAAGTTTAGAAATGGAAGGTGGGAAGGTTTTGCTTTGTTGCCCAGGCTGGCCTCAAACTCCTGGCCTCAACCCATCTTCCCACCTCAGCCTCCCGAGTAGTTGGGATTAGAGGCTCAAGCCACTGCACCTGACGAACTGTTCTTATACCAAAAGTTCCAAGTCTTCGGTTCCTGTTAAAATTTTGTTCAGGGTACAGTTATGTATTTAAAAAATCTGAATCAGCCCAAGATTTATAGGCTTAGTTCAGGATTTCTCACCTTTGGCACTAGTGATATTTTGGGCCAGACCATTCCTTGTTGAGGGGGGCTGTCTTGTACCTTGTAGGATGTTTGGCAGCATCCCTGGTCTCTCTCTACCCACTAGATGCCAGTAGCAGACCCTACCCTATTCCCCAGTTATGACAACTAAAACATCTCCAGATGTTGCCAAATGTCCCTGGAGGTGGCAGCAGAGAGGACAAAATTACCCCAGGTTGATGCAAGTTGGATGTCCTAGCACCTCATGGATGTCTGTAAAGATCACCATTAATTTCATGATCTTCCTAAGTGGGGCAAGTTGAGGAGCTGCTGGACTAGATGGTCCTGCTTTCTGTTCCTACATTCTAAGCTCCTTATCAGCTGGCTCCTGGTCAGCTTTTTTTGTTTTGTTTTAAATTAGAGACCATGTGTTGCTCTGTTGCCCAGGCTGGAGTGCAGTGGCACCACCAACATTCACTGCAGCTCCGAACTCCTGGGCTCAATTGATCTTCCCACTTTGACCTCCTAAAGCTCTTGGATTATAGGCATGAGCCACCATGCTTGGCCCTCGTCAGCTTTTAGATGTAGCATCTGATACTTCTAGGGAAGAAGGACTGAGAAGATGCTGGCTCCAGGAACACCCCAGGGACATTTTTGTCCCTAGATTGTTAGAGCCGACATTTATGATGCCCAAGTGAACGATGTTATTCATACGTACAACATATTCTGGGGCAGAGACCCTGAGTGTGATGGCAACTCTCCTTTTCCTCCAGGGCTGGGTTAGGATAAGGCTCTGAGGCCCCCAAGCCCTGAAAATTATGGCGCTGCTCACCATATGTCATTCAAGATAATAATAATTCTCTTTTTTTTTTTTTGAGACAGAGTCTTGCTCTGTTGCCCAGGCTGGTGTGTAGTGGTGCAATCTCAGCTCACTGAAACTTCCGCCTTCTGGGTCAAGGGAGTCTCCCACCTCAGCCTCCTGAGCAACTGGGATTGCAGGCGCCCACCCCACACACAGCTACTTTTTGTATTTCTAGTAGAGACGGGGTTTCACCATGTTGGCCAGACTGATCTCGAACTCCCGACCTCAAGTGATCTGCCTGCCTCGGCCTCCCAAAGTGCTGGGATTACAGGCATGAGCCACCGTGCCCGGACAAAAAGGACTGCTGCAATAATTCTCAAATGTAAATCTCAGCAATGTTCTGATTTCTCAACGGGAACTGCAGTGCTATTTCTGAAATACCAAATTCTTGCCAAAAATTATATTTCTCTTTTTTTAAAATTTATTTGATGTAGAAGTGGGGAGGGCATCATCCACTCCTAAGTGGCCAAGAGCACACACCTGTTCTGAGGGAGAAACCAGTATTGTCTTTAACACTTAACAACAACAACAAACCAGGAATGTAAATGGGTGAAGGTGATGTTGTTTCTAAGGAGAATCCTCACTAATTTATTTCAAACATCCAAATTATTAACCATCTTTGGCTGCTTTATTTTATTTACTTATTTTTAAGATAGGGTCTTTCTCAGTTGCCAAGGATCTATCATAGTTCACTGCAGCCTCAAACCTCTGGGCTCATGCAATCCTCCCACATTTGCCTCTTACATAGTTGGGACCACAGGTACTCACCACCACAGCTGGCTAATTTTTTAATTTTTTTGTAGCAAAGTGGGGCATCTCACCATGTTTACCAGGCTGGTCTTGAACTCCTGGCCTCAAGCAATCCTCCAGCCTTGGCCTCCCAAAGTACTGGGATTACAGACATGAGCTACTGCACCCAGCCAACTTTATTATTAATAATAAGTTACTTGGCCCTTGTATTAGTCTGTTCTCATGCTGCTGATAAAGACATACCTGAGACTAGGCAATTTACAAAAGAAGGAGTTTTAATTAGACTTACAATTCCACGTGGCTGGGGAAGCCTTGCAATCATGGCAGAAGGCAAGGAGAGCAAGTCACGTCTTACATGGATGGCAGCAGGCAAACAGAGAGAACTTGTGCAGGGAAACTCCTCTTTTTAAGACCATCAGATCTCGTGAGACTTATTCACTATCACGGGAACAACATGGGAAAGACTTGCCTCCATGATTCAATTACCTCCCACCAGGCCCCTCCCACTATATGTGGGAATTCAAGATGAGATTTGAGCGGGAACACATCCAAACCATATCAACTTTTATATAATAATATTGATAAATTCAGGATCAGAACACAACAAAGAGTATTGGGGCTTTAGTGAAGGCTTCCCTCATTCTGTTCCATCTGTATGGGGCACCCTTCCCTGCAATATTTGCTGGACTAAATCCTACTTATCAAGGCTTAACTCAAATGCCTCCTCCTCCATGAAGACTTCCTTGACCATGCCCCTCCCAAGAATAGATTGTGCTTCAGTCTGTCTTGGGTTTCATTTATATTGCTGATTAATACTTGAGCCCTACAATTATTTCTTTTTTTTTTTTTTTATTATACTTTAAGTTCTGGGGTACCTGTGCAGAACGTGCAGGTTTGTTACATAGGTATACACATGCCATGGTGGTTTGCTGCACCCATCAACCTGTCATCTACATGAGGTATTTCTCCTCATGCTATCCCTCCCTTAGCCCCCCAACCCCCAACAGATCCTGGTATGTGATATTCCCCTCCCTGTGTCCATGTGTTCTCATTGTTCAGCTCTCACTTATGAGTGAGAACATGCGGTGTTTGGTTTTCTGTTCCTGTGTTAGTTTGCTGAGGATGATGGTTTCCAGCTTCATCCATGTCCCTGCAAAGACATGAACTCATCCTTTTTTATGGCTGCATAGTATTCCATGGTGTATATATGCTACATTTTCTTTATCCTGTCTATCATTGTTGGACATTGGGGTTGGTTCCAAGTCCTTGCTATTGTGAATATTGCCACAATAAACATACATGTGCATGTGTCTTTATAGTAGAATGATTTATAATCCTTGGATATATACCCAGTAATGGGATTGCTGGGTCAAATGGTATTTCTGGCTCTAGATCCTTGATGGATCTCCACACAGTCTTCCACAATGGTTGAACTAATTTACACTCCTGCCAACAGTGTAAAAGCTTTCCTATTTCTTCACATCCTCTCCAGCATCTGCTGTTTCCTGACTTTTTAATGATCGCCATTTTAACTGGTGTAAGATGATATCTCATTGTGGTTTTGATTTGCATTTCTCTAATAACCAGTGATGATGAGCTTTTTTCCATATGTTTGCAATTATTTCTTAATTGAGGTGAAATTCACATAGTATAAATGTAATCATTTTAAATATACAATTCAGTGGCATTTAGTAAATTCTCAGTGGTGTGCAACCATCACCTCTATCTAATTCCAGTTCTGGAATTATGGAATTCCATAATTGGAATGTTCCATATGGAACATTCCCATCACCCAAAGGAGACCCTGTATCCATTAAACAGTCACTCCATATTTCCCCCACCTCCCAGATCCTAGCAATCACTCATCTACTTTCTATCTCTATGGATTTACCTATTCTGGATATTTTATCAATGGAACTGTACAATATGTGATTTTTTGTGTCTGGCTTCTTTCACTTTTTTGAGGTTTGTCTACATTGTATCAATGCTTCATTGTTTTTATGAATGAATAACCTACCATTGCATAGATAGGTGATGTTTTGTTTATCTATCTGTTGATGGACATTTAGGCTGCTTCCACTTTTGTCTATTGTGAATAGTGCTGCTATGAACATCTGCGTACAAGTTTTCATGTGGACATGTTTCCTATTCTCTTAGGTATACACCTAGGAATGGAACTGCTGGGTCATACACCAACCTGTTTACCAAAGCAGCTGCACCAGTTTTCATTACCACCAGCAGTATACAGCGTTCTTGTTTACCACATCCTGGCCAACACTGCTTATGATTTTGTGTGTGTGTGTTTATTATAGCCATCCTAGTGGGTGTGCAGCCCCTGGAATTTTGATTTGTTTTTATATCTTCCTTGCTCTCCACCAATAGATACTGAGTTGCTTGATGTCTGGGATTGCTGCTTAATCACCAGAAACCTTGTGTAAGGGTTAACCATGGGCTGAGTTTGAACCTTGTTCTTTTTGTTTATGATATATGATCTGGAGCAAGTCATGCAGCTCAAGCTCTCTAAGCTTGAATTCTTTCATCTGCAAGATGGAAGCCTCTGGAGTTGTTAAGGAAAAGAAATGCGATTCAGCTTTAGTGCCAGGACAGTGCCAGGACTATGGTGATTTCTCCATAAAGGTTTGCTGTAACAATCATAATCGTGACATCCCCAAGTGCTTGGACCTAGTACCTGTTACATGAGCGTTTATTAAATGAATCAATGAATCCTTTGCTATTGCACAATTAGCCCTCTTTTTTACTTTCTATCAACTGCTCCCCTGACTCCAGACAACAGTTTTACAAATTGATCACTCCCCAGATAAGGCAGACAGAAACAGTGGCCGGATCAATGGGAATGGTTCCCTGGAAAAGTACAACCTGAAATCCCTGTTGTGCATGCTGTGTATGGAGGATGGGATGGGTAGAGAGTACAGCAAGCTTGTATCTGCAAAGGGAAGAAGGAATAAAAGAGCTTTGCTTTCTTAAGATGAAAAACACTCAGTCTTCTTAGAAAAAGGATGACTTCAGGAAGTGCCTTGTTGAAGGTTCGATCAATGGCCCCAGGGGAGGGAAGGAACAATTCTATCCACACTTGAAGGCTGCAGAGGTGGCTTGAGGGGCTCTTAGGTATTGAGGGCCCAGAAGATGGCCTCACCACCTCCTTCCAGTTCTGTGAAGACTGCCAGGATTGGGCAGAGCCCCTGGGATCAACCACTGGGCAGCTTGCCTTGGTTCCTGTAGGCGTCTCTAGAATCCATTCATTCTGCCCACACTGGCCTTCTCTTTGTTCCTTTGAACACACTGACTGAGTGATGCCGGGTTTATTCCTCCCTCCCTCCATCCCAGACCTTGCACATGTTGTTCCCTCTGCCCCATGAGTCCCTATCCCTCTTTCCTCCCTCATTCCTCTTCAAACCTCGCCTCTCAGAGAAACCCTACCCCATCCACCGACTGAAAGGGCAGCTCCCACGCGAACCCCATCCATTCTCTTACACTGCCTAATTTGTCTTGTTTTCCTTTTTCATATTTATTTTATGTTTTTAATGGGAATATTTCCCACATAAAATAATAAAACAAGGCCGGGCGCGGTGGCTCACGCCTGTAATCCCAGCACTTTGGGAGGCCGAGGCGGGTGGATCATGAGGTCAGGAGATCGAGACCATCCTGGCTAACAAGGTGAAACCCCGTCTCTACTAAAAATACAAAAAATTAGCCGGGCGCGGTGGCGGGCGCCTGTAGTCCCAGCTACTGGGGAGGCTGAGGCAGGAGAATGGCGTGAACCCGGGAAGCGGAGCTTGCAGTGAGCCGAGATTGCGCCACTGCAGTCCGCAGTCCGGCCTGGGCGACAGAGCGAGACTCCGTCTCAAAAAAAAAAAAAAAAAAAAAAAAAAAAAAAAAAAAAATAATAATAATAATAATAATAAAACAAACACCCATGTGTCCATCTCCCAGATGTCGTAAGTCGCCAATATTTTGCCACATTTGCTTACTTCAAATCACTCCCTTTCAATCAACTGCATTGAGGCGGAACTTACTGTTTGTTGATTTTTGGCAAATGCACACGTAACTGCTACCACAATCAAGATATAGCATATTGCTATCACCCAAGAAATGTTCTTCCTTTCTCTCACTCTGCTATATTTTTCTTCCTAATACTTAGCATTACCTGAAATCATCTCATTTATGTATTTTTTAAAATCTGTGTGCTATCCATCCCCCCCACAGGAGTGTATGTTCCATAAAGTCAGGGACGGTTCTCACTGGTGTATCCTTAGTCCTGGTACATAGTAAACTGTTTTTTGTTCTGTTTTGTTTTTGTTTTGTTTTGTTTTGTTTTAAAATAAAAGGAAATATCACTGTGACTTATAAACCTGGGAGGAGCAAAGTCCAGGAGGACCTGGATGGCCTGGGCTCCTGAGAATTCTCCGCATTGCTCATACTAGAGTAGATGTGTCAGCAGGGTCATGCCCTAAAGACACCGCATCTTCCAAGCCCTTGAGAAGCAGCAGGAAACCCCTAGCAACAGTGCAAAAGGGGCTGAACTTCTTTTATTACTCAAGACACTCAGTTGACCATTCCTATTTTGAAAATCTCCATACTTGGATACCCAGGGCAGGGCAGCAGGAATGTAAAGGGGCAGAAATGGACAGATGAGGTATGATGTGAAGGGGGCAGGTCCCATCTAAAGGAGCACTGCACTGCTCTGTGGCTAGATGTTGGGTTAAAGAAAATTATTCAATGACATTTCTTTCTTTCTTTCTTTTTTTTTTTTTTTTTGAGATGAAGTCTCGCTCTGGTGCCTGGGCTGCAGTGCAGTGGTGTGATTTCGGCTCACTGCAACCTCCGCCTCCTGGATTCAAGTGATCTGCCTCAGCCTCCCAAGTAGCTGGGATCACAGGTGCACACCACCATGTCTGACTAATTTTTGTATTTTTACTAGAGATGGGGTTTCACCATGTTGGCCAGGTTGGTCTTGAACTCGTGACCTTAGATGATCCACCCACGTTGGCCTCCCAAAGTGCTGGGGTTACAGGCATGAGCCACTGCACCTGGTCCTCAATGACACTTCTTGAAGTATGGCAAGGCAGAATTTATTGAGGACCATCATGATATGTACAGGGACCACAGTAATGGGATTTTTCAGTCACAGAGAGAAACTAGGCTCAGCCTCAAATACAGCATAGACAAATGGGAATCTATAGCCATGGAGCAAAGTCGGGGGTCAGGGATTTTTTAAAAACATTACTAAGAGGAAGCATCAGAGGAGTAAGGGGGACTCTGGCTAAATCAACCTAGCAGGATTTTTGCTGGAGACAGGCCAGGGTGATCAGACATTACCTGAGGGATGACGAAGAATGAAGAACCTGTCTGGGCATGATGGCTCATGCCTGTTATCCCAACAGTTTGGGAGGCTAAGGCAGGAGGATCACTTGAGGCCAGGATTTCAAGACCAGCCTGGGTAACACAGGAAGACCTCAACTCTTAAAAAAAAAAAAATCATCCAGGCATAGTGGCACATGCCGTAATCCCAGCTATTCAGGATGTTAAGGTAGTAGGATCCCTTGAGCCCAGGAATTTGAGGTTGCAGGGAGCTATGATCATGCCATTGTTCCAGACTGAGTGATAGGGTGAGACCTTGTCTCAAAAAAAAAAAAAAAAAAAAAAGAGAGAGAGAGAATGAGGAATCTGACCAAACTGACTTAGCAGCGTTCTTTGCAGAAACTGGATTTTACAAGGTGGTGCACTGATGGGCCTAGGAGGTTTAGGAGCCTGACTAAAGTTTGGTCAAGTAAAGAATCTTTGTCACTTGCCTGGTGGGAATGCCAGCGTTACCAGATCTTCCTGTTTTTCAAGCAAGGCAAGAAACCCACATTTTTTAAAAATGTGGAATAGCCTGATTCTTGAATTGTATAATAATTAACAAGTAATTATAAGTTAAAATGTGATGTGGGGCAAACAAAATACACCTGCAGGCTGTTTGTTAGCAACTTCTGAGTTAACATGCGAGATTGTTTCTTGTTTGTTTGGGGACTAACTCACTCAGTACAGGAATCTTTTGGTTTGACTGTTCACCCTGTCAGTAGATGTTTATTGAGTATCTACTATGTGCTAGGCATTGTTCTAGAGCCGCTGGGTATTGTGCTAGGCATTTGGCATTAATTTGTTGAAATGACTGGCATCAAAAAAGATAGAGATGAAAGATAGATGATAAAGATAGATAATAGACATAGATAAATAGATGACTGACAGATAATAGATGGTTAGATTATAGATAGATGAGACAGTTAGATAGATAGATAGAGATGTTACCCTTTAAAGATACATATTGAAATATTACAAATAATATAATGACTGGGAGTTACTTCAGAGGAATATGGGGAGTTGAATGAAGGTGTAAGTGAGGGGAGATTCACCATGGGATGAGAATTTTTGAAGCTGAATGATGTTTGGGTACGAAGATGGTGGGGTATACTCTTCTGTCTGGTTTTGAATATGACTGGAAATTTCCCACACTAAAATGCTTGTTTTAATGTCCTCATCAGTTAAAGATGCATTCTGAAGGATATGCAGGTACAATGACACCATATCGAGGGCTTAGTTTAAAATATTCAGCTAAAACGTTTCACAAGTCAGAATATAGGTGAAATACCATTTGGCAAAATGTCGATAATTGTTACAATTTTGTGACGGATAGATGGAGATTTGTTATGCTAGTCTATTGTTTTGTATATGGCTGAAATTTTCTACAATACTTTTTTTTTTAAAAGGGGACAGAGAAGTGGGAGGCCTCCTGTTTTCTAGGTACCTTTGGCAGTATGGAGTCATGCACTTAGGTGTTCATGGGAATTTTCCACAGTGTGACAGAGCTGACATCAAGGGGATGGGTACTCTTCAACAAGGGATGTCACTGTGCCGAGTGTTGCTATCGTGAGGTTAGAAGCGTGGGATCTGCTGGGGACTCCAGGTTAAGAACAGATTTCTCACTCAGTTCCTCTGCAGGGCATTCTACCTCCCAGGTATCCTATTGGATGGCAGAATAACAGCAGTCAGAGTATCTGGAACCAAATCAGCCTCCCTGGGTTTAAGTACCAGCTCTACCACTTTCTTGCTGTGGCTTTGGACATGTTATTTAACCCTGTGAGCCTCGGTTTCCTCATCTGTTAAACAGAGTTAATACTAATACCTCACAGACTCATTAGTCATTACATGTAAAGCGCTTAGCGTAGTACATGGCAGTGAAGCATTTTTTAAAAAATTATTGCTGCTTTTGTTGTTATTGTTGTTGCTGTTGAGTGATCTAAGAGCGGAAAAAACTCAGAGATAGATGGACCACAATAATTAGAGGCAGAGATGAAAAGAAGTCACACACAGAGGCTCCCACTGTCAACTGATGCGCTCACAGCAACCTGTTTGTGAGCTGCTGCAATCAATTTCTTGTATGGTGGGTGCAAAAGGAATAAAAGGAGAAGGCAACTTCCTGATCATTTCCTTTCTCTACAGAATGAAGTGGAGCTGGGGGAGCTGCTTCTGTCACTGAATTATCTCCCAAGTGCTGGCAGACTGAATGTTGATGTCATTCGAGCCAAGCAACTTCTTCAGACAGATGTGAGCCAAGGTTCAGGTACCGTGTGATTCCCCTCTTCTCTCACTTTATTAATGGGGCATCTGTGTTTGTGTGGAGAACCCAGTTTTCTTTTTCCGTATCCTGGATGAGCATTACTCATCTCAGGATGAGGCAGGTAAATGATGCCATCTTAGTAACCCTATTGGAATTGGGGAGTTGACTGAGACTGGTTGTGATAACTACTGGAAACTTAAAACCTATTTGAACCCAAGGAAGTGACTTGGCCTTTCCAAATGCTATTCCTGCAATGTAGACGCCATCCTGCAGGTGGCGATAGTGTGCATTGACTATCCATTCTAATCAATGAGCGTGGAGGACACACCCTAAGGTTTTTCGCCAGCTCATTTCATGTGTGCCATAAATTTTTATGAATTCCAACTCTGAAAAGACTTGTATTTAAAGTGTGTATATTATAGCAAAAACCATTCAAACATGACTTTTAATGGAACGGAACAGATTCCATTCCATCTGCATGTTGCTTCTTCCATGACAGCAAAGGATATTACTGTGAAAGCAGCTGTAGTCAGGGATCTGTTCAGCTCAGTGGTGGAATTATTGTCTTCTCTAAGTGCGGTAGCTAAAATAAATTACTTTTGCAATAAGGTGACAGCTAGAAGACACCTTGCATTCTCAAAAGCCACATTATAAAAACAGAGGCTTAGAAAGGGCCAGTGGAGGCAATGGTATTAAGACTGAAGAGTTTCAGACTCACCACGATGGGAGAGTCAGTATGATAAAATCATTAAGGGTTTAGGAGTCAAATGATGTGGCTTACAAATGATGTGGCTTTAGGGAAGTTACTTAACCACTATGTGCCTCAATTTCTCAATCTCAAAAACTGACATAATAACAGTATTCATCTTGATAAGTTGTTTAAACAAATATTAAATTAGATAATGTACATGAATCCCTTTGTAAACTGTAAAATGATCTAAAAATGAATTATAATTCTGCCATCTCTATTCACCTGTATATGGGCTATGGGCTCACTGAAATGATAATGGGTTTCCACAGACAGAAATCCAGGGCAGGCTCTGAGTCTGGTTCTGTGTCCACCAGCAAGATCTTTAAAAACTGATTTCTCACCTTGAGTCCTCAGTTTTCTTATCTGTAAAATGAACACAATGCTGACATATGGGAGGAGCTCAACAAATATTAGATGGCTAAAGGAAGAAGGAAGGGGATAAGCAGATGAATGGGAAAATGGATGGATAATAGATGGATGGATGGTTGAACTGTCAAATAGATGAGAAATTGGATGGATAGAAAATGGATAGATAAAAGTATGGTGAGATGATGAATGGATCAGTGAACTGACGGATGGAAAGATGGATGGATGGATAAACAGGTGGATGAATGGACGGACTATGAGATGAATGAAAAGTTGAATGGGTGGATGGATAGAAGAATGGAGGAATAAAAAGACAGATGGATGGGAGGTTGAATGGCAGAATGACTGGACGGATTAGGTTTCATGATCTCCAACATTCTATGATGCTGTGTCTAATTTTCAGACCCCTTTGTGAAAATCCAGCTGGTGCATGGACTCAAACTTGTGAAAACCAAGAAGACGTCCTTCTTAAGGGGCACAATTGATCCTTTCTACAATGAATCCTTCAGCTTCAAAGTTCCCCAAGAAGAACTGGAAAATGCCAGCCTAGTGTTTACAGGTAGGTAGCATTCCAAAACCCGATGAACTCCAGGTGAGGCACGTCAAACTTACTGTCCTAGAGCCAGAAGGCATCTAGAGAGAGTTACATTTAAGAACGTAATGTCTGGCATTCAACTACCTGGGTTTGAACCCACTTAACATCTATGAACTGGGGCAGGACTCATAGAGCCCTATAATATAATTGTTAGAAATGTGGACTTGAGCCAAATTTCCTCAGACTGCCACATAATAACTGAGGTCTTTGGCAAGTTACTTAACTCCTCTGAGCTTCAGTTTCCTCATCTACAAAATGTGAACAATAATAGTACGTGTGGCATAGGTTTGTTGTGAACAGTAAATGACTTACGACTTTGCAATATACTTGGTACATAATAAGTACTCACTATGTGTTAGTTTTGATGATGATGGTGGTGATGATTCAAGTTCCCTGCAGTCAAATAGAGAGGCATATGAAAAAACAGTGTCACCTAACTCAGAAAAAGGGATTTTTAAAGTCTTCCCAGAGGATGTAGTATTTAAGTAGAGGCTTCATGTGACACTGTCTGGTAGAATTTAGTCCATTTTTCCAGGGTGTAATCTAATGTAGTATTTCCAGGGTATATTAGTTATTTATTGCAGCATAATAAATCACCCCAAAATTTAGTAGCTTGAAACAACAAACATTTATATCTCATAGTCCCTGTGGGTCAGAAATTCAGGTATACAAAGCTTTGCTGTATAGTTCTGTGTGAATACCTCTGACAAGGCTGCAATCAAGGTATTGGCTGAGGCTGCAGCCTCATCTGAAGGCTCAACTGGGGGAGGATCTCTTTTCAAGCTCACTCACAGTTTTCAGCATGATTTAGTTCCCTGCAGGCTGTTGAACTGGGGACCTCAGTTCCTTCCTGGTTGTTGGCCAGTGACCTTCCTCAATTCCTTGCCACATGGGCTTTACCATAGAACAACTCACAACATGACTTTCATCAGAGTGGTCAAGTGAGGGAGCAAGAATGGCAAGGAAGAGTCTTTTTGTAATCTAATACTGGAAATGACATCCTATTACTTTCATTATATTCTATTCACTAGAAGCAATTCACTAGGTCCAGCCCACACTCAAGAGGAAGGGATTACACAAGGGTAGGAAGAGTGGGAGGTGGGAACCACTGGGACTCATCTTAGAAGCTACTCACCACAACAGGGATAGAGTTAGTAGGAGTAATGGTTATTCTTTCTTGTGTTCTAATTACAGTATGTACTTCCCTATATCATTGCTAACATTCACCATAACCCACCCTGTCAAGTTGATATCTTCATCCTCAACTTACAGATCTAGGGACTGAGGCTTAAAACCTAAACAACCTACACAAAGTCTCAAGCTGATAGAATCAGGACTCAAGCTCTGGTCTTGCCAGCTCCACATATCAAGGGATCTATATTTCCTCAAACACCCAGGTAGGGCTAGAACTGGGGATCGACATCATCCTTTGAGACATCCTTCTCCAGGGTAACTGGAAACTCTCCTCTGGTTAGATCTTGTCTAGAACCCTGGGCTCCAGGTCTCCCAAGAAATCAATCCATGGCTGAAAAACCCTTGCATACAAGATTTCCCCTATATAAACTTATTGCTCCTTCTCACCAAGATTGCAAATGTCTATCCTCTGAGACCCCTTCGAAGCAGGTTGGTTCTGGGTTTTCTCAAGGCCTGTCACCCATAGAGTCTGCGTTGAATCAGGGGATGCCTGCCATATGCAGATATAATGATCCCTTCTAATGCAGTCTGTGATGGCTGCTGTCCGGATGGAGTTACAAATAGACAAGGGCCTCACTCTCTCCTAGGTTTCAGGCCAAGACAGAAGACCGTCACCCCTGACTCCTTAAATGGTGGACAGGCAGGTAGTGGGGCCTATTGTATATTAAACCAAGACACAGATAAAAAATGAAGTCTCTTTTCCCAAGTCCCTGCTGAGAATAAGGGACCTCCTATTGTAAGCTTAGATGAGGAGAGGACCCCAGGGGAAACTGAGAGCCCCCATGGAAAGCCCTGACACTTCATATTTTACTTAACATTTTATGATAAATGTAGCACACACGTGTTATAATGAGTGACACCATGAAAAGATGTGTAAGGACAGAGAATCAGAGGAGAACAGGGGTTATGTGCCTGTGCTGGGGAGCTGATGTCTGGGTCCTGGCTTTACCACTCACCTACTTTGGTGACCCTGGGCAAGATCTGCGTGCTTAGGTTTTCTCAGCTGTAAAATGGGGATAACAATACAGGACACTTCACAGGATTGTTATTTGCATTCAGTGAGATCAATAAACACACGGTGCTGAGCACTGTGCCACCCATAGTAAGCACTCTAGAACTGTTAACTGTTATTAAAGGGAAAGTTTAGTGTTTTCCTTTTTTCTCCCACACACATGGGGCAGCCACCACCTTCTCACTCCCTCATGCAGTTTTGTTTATTTCAGAGTGTTTTCTTGCTGTGTAATCCTTCTCCCCGCTTTTTTTTTTTTGAGACAATCTCATTCTGATGCCCAGCTGGAGTGCCATGGCATGATCTCGGCTCACTGCAAGCTCTACCTCCCAGGCTCAAGCAATTCTCGTGCCTCAGCCTCCTCAGTACTTGGGATTATAGGTGCACGCCACCATGCCTGGATAATTTTTTGTATTTTTTGTAGAGACGGGGTTTTACCATGTTGGCCAGGCCAGTCTCAAACTCCTGACCTCAAGCAATCTGCCCACCTCGGCCTCCCAAAGTGCTGGGATTACAGGCATGAGCCACCACGCCTGGCCTAATGTCTTCCTTTAATGCCTTCCCCTTTCCAGTTCCTTCTCCCTGAAGTCATGCCTTTAATGTTCTGCTGTGTAGCATTCCACACTTTTTTCCTTGTTCACACAAACAATATCCACATACAGAGGGTTCTGTTCCTTTAAAACATTATTCATGAATTCAGCAAGTGTGTATTAAACACCTTCTGTGCCAGGCAGTGCTTCCAAGTTCTGGGAATAGAGCAGTGAACAAAACAGACCTAATCCCTGCCCTGGCGGAGCTTACCAGGACATTCCATGGATACCACACTGACACTTGCTTTGGTTTAATTAACAATGAATGTGTTCGTTGCCTTCAGATCAATATGAATACAAATGGATTTAACTTTTCATTTTTAATAACTGCATTAGATACTGTTGCATGATGTAGTATGATAAAAGCTGAGGTTATTTATTCTGGGGGTGGGGGGGTATGACAGAACTTCAGGGATTGTGATTAGAACTCCAGAAAAATACATGGAAGTATGGAAAATTTTGCATATAGTTGCAGAGGTTTTTTCGAATTCCTTGAATTCCATATGGTTACCTCATAAGGCTCAAACTACAAGGGTAGCCACACCACACCCCCTCTCCATACATCTTTTATTCAACCCACGGCACTTCAGGTGGCAACTGTCAGCTGGGGCAGTGGTCAGCTGATGCTGTCAGGGAAGTCCTGTACTCTCCATTCACAGAAGACCCGCTTCTCTCCTGTAAGTTTTGGGGCCCTGACTTGGAAGTTCAGGCTCCTCTGGTTAAAAGCTCGTTGAAAATATTCTTTCTGGAGAAGGAAGCATTGCCTGCCTGCCCCCTTAAATCAGGGATTCTCAACCCTGGCTGTACCTTAGAATTACCTGAGAGCTTTAAAATGCTACCAATGGCTGCACTGCATTCCGCAGAGACTCTAAAGCAACTGGACTAGGCTGAGGCACTGAGCATCTATAAGTAGCTATTTTTTAAAAACACCCCAGATATTTCTATTGCTCATTCATTGTTCCGAACCACAGCTGTGAGTGGAAATCCCAGCTAGGGTGGCAATTTACATAAAGGGTACTGGCTGGAATAATATGAGAAAGGTGTCTTAAGCCAGTATGTATCTCAGCAAAGCTACAGTTCTCCTGAACTCAGATTCATAAGGTTCTAACCTGCTTTATTTGTCCACTGAGAGAAAGAGCTGTCACCTCTAGGCCGAGGAACCAAAGCCCAGCCTATTAGCATGTTTCCAAACACTTCATAACAAAAGTAAGGTTGGTCTGCAATTTAGCATTTGCCGTGAATCCCTGGTAAAAGCCTGTAATTAGCTGGTAAGCTGGACTTTCTGAACACTTGTTTTCCTGTGTGGGAGGAGGATTTGTCTGCAATTTTCTATCAGGTGGTTTCTGCAGCTGAAGTTTAAAAATAAAAAATGAAAAGAGGGGTAAAATTGCTTTTCACCGCCCAAGATAGCAACACACAGCCCAGAGGGCTTCCAGGAAATTCAGGAAGGTTTACTGAACCAAAGTAAAGTGGAGCTGGCCACTGAGGTGATTGGGCTTTTACTGGATGTTGGGAAAAAGAAGGAAAGAAAGCGTATTAGTCCGTTCTCGCATTGTTACAATGAAATACCGAAGACTGGGTAATTTATAAAGAAAAGAGTTTAATTGGCTCATGGGTCCTCAGGCTGTACAGGAAGCATGAGGCTGGCATCTGCTTGGCTTCCCAGGAGGCCTCAGGAAACGTACAATCATGGAGGAAGGGAAAGAGGGATCGTGCACCTGACATGGCCAGAGCAGGAGGAAGAGAGTGAAGGGGGAGGTGCCACACACTTTTAAACAAGCAGATCTCAGGAGAACTCACTCACTATATAGTACCAAGGGAGATGATGCTAAACCATTCATGAGAAATCCACTCTTATGATCCATCACCTCCCACCAGGCCCCACCTCCAACATTAGTGTTTACAATTTCACATGAGATTTGGGTGGGGACACAGAGGCAAACCATATCAGAAAGGCAGAAAAAAGAAATGCAGCTTGATGGCAAATCTTCAAAAAGTTAAAAATAGAATTAGCATGTGATCTAGCAATTGCACTTGTAGGTATATACCCAAAAGAATTGAAAGCAGGGACTCAAACTCTTATTTGTACACCTACGTTCATAGCAGCTTTCCTTACAACCACCAACAGGTGGAAGCAACCTGAACATGCATCGACAGATAAATGGGTAAACAAAGTGGTGCATACATACAATGGAATATTACTCAGTCTTGAGTAGGAAGGAAATTCTGACCCATGCTACAACATGGATGAAGCTGGAAGACATTATGCTAAGTGAAACAAGCCAGATATGAGAGGACAAATGCCGTATCATTTCATTTATGTGAAATACCTAGAGTAGTCAAACTCATAGACAGAAAATAGAATAGAGATTATCAGGGGCTGGGGGAAGGACAGGATGGGGAGTTATTATTTAATGGGTGCAGACTTTCATTTGGGGAAGATAAGAAAAGTTCTGGAGGCCAGGCATGGTGGCCTGTTCCTGTAATCCCAGCACTTTGGGAGGCCGAAGTGGGTGGATCACCTGAGGTGAGGAGTTTGAGACCAGCCTGGCCAATATGGTGAAACCCCATCTCTATAAAAATACAAAAATTAGCCAGGCGTGGTAGTGAGCACCTGTAATTCCAGCTACTCGGGAGGCTGAGGTAGGAGAATCACTTGAACCTGGGAGGCAGAGGTTGCAATGAGCCGAGATCACGCCATTGCACTCCAGCCTGGGCAACAAGAGTGAAACTCTTTAAAAAAAAAAAAAAATTCTGGAGATGGATGGTTGTGATGGTTACACAACACTGTGAATATACTTAATGCCACTGAACTGTATACCTAAAAATGGTTACTTTTATGTTACACGTATTTTGCTATAATTAGAAGGAAAGAAAAAATAAGTAAATGAAGCTTCAGCCCGGCAGATCCTGAGCAATTCAGAGAAGTACCTGGATGCTGATGCTGGAACCTGGAATACTGTTCTTTTCCC
This sequence comes from Homo sapiens, assembly GCF_000001405.40. NCBI lineage: Eukaryota > Metazoa > Chordata > Mammalia > Primates > Hominidae > Homo > Homo sapiens. The sequence continues at coordinate 19,230,640 of NC_000016.10, forward strand.
TGAGAAAAGAATGTTCTTTCATTGCCACTTTGAGGGAATAGTTAGGCGTAATAGTTAGGAACCAGACCTTTAGCTTGGGTTCATATTTGTGACTTACTTGCTGTGTAATCTTGGCACTTTGCTTGGCCTCTCTTTGCCTCAGCTTCCTCACCTGTAAAATGGGGATAATGGTACTTACTTCGGTGAATTGTTGCAAAGTCCAAATGGGTAAATAGACATAAAGGCTTAGAGCAATGCTTGGCTCAGAGAAAGTCCTCTTTAAATATGAGACGTTATTATTATTACTTGAAAGACATCCAATTTATGCAGCTAGATGCTACCTTGAGCTTATCTGAAGAAAGGCTACATATATATACATAAATAAATAATATAGTTTATCTACGTTGTCTACATAGAGTCTGAGATTCTGTGGAAAACCCAAAGAGGGAAGGAAAAAATTATTTTGCAGAATTACCTGGGTAGGGTATTGTCTTCCCTCTCGATGTTAGAGAAAGGCCATCTGTCTTCTTGGAGGTAAAGTTTTGGAGAAATCCCTAAATTTGAAAGAACCAAATGTCATGTGTTGAGCCTCTAGCCTTCTCCCTCCCTCAGTTTCCCCTAAGTGGCCAGGGTTTCCTGTCCTTCTGAAAGGCACTCAAAACCCTCTGTATGCTGGGCACAGTGGCTCATGCCTGTAATTCCAACACTGTGGGAGGCCAAGGCGGGTGGATCACCTGAGGTCAGGAGTTCGGGACTAGCCTGGCCAACATGGTGTAACCCCATTTCTACTAAAAATACAAAAATTAGCTGGGCATGGTGGCGGGTGCCTGTTATCCCAGCTACTCGGGAGGCTAAGATCATGCCATAGCACTCCAGCCTGGGCAACAAGAGTGAAACTCCATCACAAAAAAAAAAAAAAAAAAAAAAAAAAAGAAAAGAAAAAAGTCTTATTCCCTTGGCAAACTTGATCAAGAGGCGGCCCTTGGCTAAGGAAGCGTTTCCAAAGCCTGGGGGAAGGCAGGTGGAGGAACTGCTGCTTGCTGGCCGCCTGTTATGGCTGAGGTGGGAGGGGGTGGGACCAGCTCCCTGGGGCTGGAGCTGACCATGTGTCTGTCCTTACTGATTAAATTTTTGGAGCACCTACTATGTACCTGGCACCGTGCTAGACGTTATGTATTCGACAGAGAACCAGACATTCACGGCCTGTGTTCTCATGGAGCTTAATTCTAGTAGAGGCAGACGGACATTAATTAAATGCCACACCAATAATGATTGAATTGTAAATTGGTCTAAGGGCTCTGAAGGAGAGATGCAGGGCACATTTCAGAGTGTCTGACCCAGTCTGTGGAGTGAGAGGAGCTGACACGTGAGCTGGGAGCTGAAGGACAAGGAGGTATTAATCAGCAGAGAGGATTGCAGGGGATGCAGAGAGGTCGGCCGGGCTCCCGCCCCGGAAGAGAAATTGAGGCTGACGTCATACTTCAACCTGGGAGCTAAAACTGCCAGGGGTTGGCATGAAAGACCCCCACACCCTGCTGCCTGCTGCGGGAATTGACCAGGGCATAGGCTTAGAGGGGCCTCATCAATAATAACCAGTGCAGGACAGCTATGGAATACACAGAAAAGAAACAAGGCAATGACAGACACGCCTCAATTTTTGCCAACCCTTGGTGTCTCTCTAAGACTAGAGAATATGGCGTCTCTATTTTCACATGCATCTGCGTCGCCCAGGGATTTGTTAAAATGCAAATTCTGACTCAGTAACTCAGGAGGCCAAGGTGGGCCTGGAATTCTGCATTTCTAACAGTTCCCAGGTGATGCTGATGCTGTGGGGCTGCAGACCACATTTTGGGAAACAAATAGACCCAGGAAGGGCATCAGGGTGAGTGATGATTGATTGTGCCAGTGCATTAATAAGAATTAAACCCTTGGCCCGGTGCGGTGGCTCACACCTCTAATCCCAGCACTTTGAGAGGCTGAAGGGGGCGGATCGTTTGAGTCCAGGAGTTTGAGACCAGCCTGGGCAGCATGGCAAAACCCCATCTCTACTAAAATTACAAAAATTAGCTGGTCATGGTGGTGCATGCCTGTAGTCCCAGCTGCTCGGGAGGCTTAGGTGGGAGGATTGCTTGAGCCTTGGGAGGTGGAGGTTGCAGTGACCCGAGATCACGGCACTGCACTCCAGTCTAGGTGACAGAGCCAGTCCCTATCTCAAAAACATAAACAAACAAACAAACAAACAAACAAACTCTCTAGCACTGGTCCCTACCCCTGCACATTGTTTGACTCCCTAACCCTGTCTGTACGTTAGTATTACTCAGGGACTTTAAAAAAACTCTGATGCCCCGTTCCCAGAACAGATAAACTGAATCAACCCAGGCGTCTGGGTTTTTTGGGGTTTTGGAAGGCATCTGTATTCTTCAAAGCTCCCAGGTGGCTCTCTTGTGCAGGCTGGGTTGGCCAATCTTTGCCTCTACTGTTCCACCTCCCTCTCGCCCTGCTGTCTGTCTGGAGGCCTCCCAGACCCCTCTGTGAGAGCGAGTGCCAAGGCACCTGGTCTGTGTTCCATAATTGCTTGGCTTTCTGCAGCTGTAGCATCAAATCAGCTAATTGAATCTGCTGGTGAGATGAGATGGGTGGGAAGGCACGGCGGGGAATGGGTGGGAGGCCTGGAGGGCAGCATGCCAGCCTCTTGCTTGGAAAGACCCCAGGTCAAATGGGTACTGGAGGATGTTCTTTAAAGGGGTTGGGGGCCAGGCACAGTGACTCACATGTATAATCCCAGTACTTTGGGAGGCCGAGGCAGGAGAATCACTTGAGTACAAGAGATCGAGAGCAGCCTGGGCACATAGCATAATCCCATTTCTAAAAAAAAAAAAAATTAAAAATTAGCTGGGCATGGTGGTGCATGTCTGTCATCCCAGCTACTCAGGAGGCTGAGGTGGGAGGATCACTTGAGTCCAGGAGGTCAAGGCTGCAGTGAGCTAGGATCATGCCACTGCACTCCAACCTGGGCAACAGAGTGACACTCTGTCTCAAAAAATAAAATTAAATTAAAAATAAAAAGTGTTGGAGTTTGGGAAGCAGGACAGTGGAGAGGCAGAGGGTCTCCAGCAGAGAAGAGAAAAGGAAGGAATTCTGAGTGGGGCAGAGCATTCTGAGAGAGCCTGAAATTCTCCTGGGATGGAGAGATGTGTGAGCTTGTTCCAGGGCACAGATGCTTCCCCACAGCCCCACCCTGGCCACAGCCCACCCATGACATACCTTCTCTCTGCAGCCATGCAGCAGCCTCTGTCTTTTCCCCTTCTAGCCTGACTTAGTGAGCACCAGACTCAGCTCTGCCTAATAGAGAGAAGGTTGCATGGCTATTCAGAGTATGGATTGGAGTGAGCTACAGTTTGGTTCAAATTTCACCTTTTGGCCATTCACAGTGGTTCACACTCATACCTGTAATCCCAGCACTATGGGGGGCCTAGGCAGGAGGATTGCTTGAGGCCAGGAGTTCAAGACCAGCTTGGGCAACATAGCGAGACCTTACCTCCACAAAAAATTAAAAAATTACCCAGGCATGGTGGTGCTTGCCTGTAGTCCCAGCTACTCAGGAGGCTGAGTTGGGAGGATCGCTTGAACCCAGGAGTCCAAGGCTGCAGTAAACTATGATCACACCACTGCACTCCAGCCTGGGGGACAGTATGAGACCCGGTCTCAAGAAAAGAAAAGAAAGAAAGAAATTCACCATTACCACCTAGACAGTGTATGGGCATCGGGCAAACTATTCTTTTGATGGATCTCAGGTTTCTTCTCTGTTATGAGCTTCCAATCTCAATTTTTATTTTATATATTTATTTTTACCTTTCCTCTAATGCTGAAAATCTCACTATTTTATATAAAAAGCTTTAGAAAGTGCCTTGTACAGTTAGTGCTCAATAAATGTGAAATATGATTGATGATGATGATAATTGATGGACCCTGCCATAGAAGAGCAGGACCTGGAATTACACAGACTTGAGTTTGAATCTTGGCCCCATGATAAATCAGCTGTGTGACCTCAAGCAAGTGACACTGCCTCTCTGAGATCCAGCTTACTTTTGTGTAAAGTGTAGCAATCATTCTTTTTATGGGGGTTAAAGGCAAATCAGCCTGTGGGCCCATCCAGAAGTGGCCACTTGGAAAATTATATCTGCTGTTTTAATCATTGCAGTCTGTGAAAGAGTTGAAAACCTGGTGCTTTGGAGGTATTTAATAGCTCAGCCCAGCAGCCTGTGGTTGTTGCCCCAGCATCTCCCTCACCTGTTCACCATCATTCCAAAGCTGCCAGTGGTATGATGTCTGGGAGCCAGGAATTGACACCAAATCTGTGCCAACTCAGATGCAGAACCAGGCGTTTGTGCTCCCTGAAGTTTCTTGGGATTGGCAGTATGGGGAGATAGGTCAGAGCAAGACCTGGCAGTAGGCACTCAGCGCCAGATCAGTCATGGGAAGTGAGCTGCAGAGCGAAGGGATTAAAGCCAGAGGACCACAAAAGTGAGCCCCTGAGAGCTACAGTATGGGGAGTATTATAAAGGGGAAGAACTTAAGAATAGGTTCCATAAAACTGTGTATGTACTACTGGACTCATCTCCAAGCTACACAAGTGGATATTATTCTAAACAGTCTACTAAAGACACTGAAAACCAAACTATAGGGTGGCTCACCACCTAGGTCCCTTGGGGACACATCTGAGGGGCAGATACAAATAGCATTGCAAGGCCTTTGAAAACTGAACTGACATCAAAATAACAGCAAACAGAAGGCAGGATAGAACTTGTAGCCTGAACTTTTCCATGTCAATTTCTTAAAAAGTCAACATATTCAATAGGATTTAAGCAAGACCTAGAGTCTCATAATATTAAAAATGGCCAGGATACAACCCAAAATGACTTGATTTACGAAGAATTAGCAAAATCTGGCAAATTCTTAGAGAAAGTGTAATCAACAGATGCCAACCACAAGATGGCCCAGATGTTGGAATTATCAGATGAAGACTTTGAAGCAACTATTATAACCATGCTCCACGAAGTAAGGGTGAACCCTCTTGAAAAGAATGATAAGGTAGAAAATGTCAGCAGATCAACAGAGAAATAGAAGATATTAGAATTACGTGGAAATTTTAGAACTGAAAAAGTACAATCACTGAAACAAAATATTTGCTGGATGAACTCAATAGCAGAATGGAGGTGACAGAGGAAGGTGTTAGTGGGCTCGAAGACAGATCCAGAGAAATTATGCAACAGAGAGTGAAAAAAATCGGGGAAAGAAAAGGGTGGGGAGACCTATGGAGAAATATCAAAAAGGTTTAATGTTCATGTCACATGGATTCCAGAACATTTATGTCACATGAATCCCAGAAGGAAAGAAGAAAAAACAGTGGGGAGCATTGGCATGGAGACAGGCGACTCACCCCAGACAACCCCTGAGTTCCTTACCAGATTGCTGGGCTCCTGGCTTAACCAAACCACTCTTGTTCTTCCCTTCTCAGAAAACATTAGCAATTCATGAGGAAGCTGTGTGGCACCATGGTCAAAGTCAGCCAGAGCTGGCTTCTGTGTGACTGTGGGCAAGTTGCTTTACCACGCTGAACCTCGGTTTTTTTCTTGTCTGAACAATGGGGACAGTAATACTTCTATTTATCATGAACCACCTGTATGTTGATTTTCTCATTTAATCTTTCAACAAACATATAAGTTATGATCTATTTTATGATCATTTTTCAGCTGGGGAAACTCGAAGCTTAGGGACGGGAAGTGCAATGAGTATAGCCAACTGCAGAGTGAGAGAACAGTTCACCCAAAACTGCCCTCACTTCAGATACCAGCTGTAAGTTCTGAGGTCTCTAGGACTACCTCCCTTCAGACCAGTTGGTTACAATTTCAGGGCCCCTGTGACCTCCCTCAGGTTCAATAATTTGCTAGAAAGACTACTAGAACTCAGGAAAGTGCTACTTATGACTACAGTTTTATTACAGCAAAAGGGTGCAAATTAAAATCAGCCAAGGGAGGAGACGCATAGGGCAGAGTCCAGGAGGGGTCAAACTCTGAGACTCTAGTCATCTGTCCGCCTTGTGAGTCACAAACAGCATTACCTCTACTCAGTCACTGTGTGTGACAATGCAAACAGTATAGCCAGCCAGAGAAGCTTGTCACGCCTTTGGCATCCAGAGATTTTACTGAGCCTCAATCACATACTGCTCAGGTGGCTGATCTTCAGTCTCTATCCCCTCCCAGAGGTCTGGGTAAGACCTTTCATGATCAGTTTCACCATAAGTCTGAATTGATACTATGTGATCCTAGAGCCCCAATCATAAATCACATTGCTAGGCTAGCCAAGAGTCAAAGCCCCTAGGCAAACAAAGATACTCTTCTTAGGCAGAACATTCCAGGGACCTAGAGATCAGTCCCTAGGAGCCAAAGACAAAGGCTAGGCCTCTTTTTGGGTAAGATTACTTTTTCACTGTTTAGGTAGTAACTAGCAACCGTGCAAAGTCATCCAGCTGGTGAGTGGTTGAGCTGAGCTTCCAACTTAAAGCTGCTTGGTTCCAAAGCCCTTTTCACTCACTCTTAACCACGACATTGATGTTCCTGTGAATCAACTGGGGGTCTTGTTAAAATGTGGTTTCTGATTCCATAAGCCTGAGGAGGCACCTGAGCATCTGTATTCTAATAAGTTCCAGGTGACACCTGTGCTGGTCTGAGACCCACACTTTTGAGGCAGGAGGTGGGACTTGGACACTGGACCAAATTGAGGGCTAGCTAAAACAGGGATGGGGGAAAACAGCTTTCCATAAGACACACCCAACAGTGCGCCATCTCAGTTTACCATTGCCATGGCAACACCTGGAAGTTACCGTCCCTTTCCACGGCAATGACCCGACAACCCAAAAGTTACCACTCTTTTCCTAGAAATTTCTGCATAATCCACCCTTTAATCTACATGTAATTAAACGTAGGTATAAAGGTGATTACAAAACTGCCCTGAGCTGCTACTCAGCACACTGCCTATGGGGTAGCACTGCTCTGCAGGAGCAGTCACAGAGCTGTCACACTGCTGCTTCAATAAAGCTGTTTTCTTCTACCCTACCACCAGCTCACCCTTTAATTCTTTCCCGGGCAAAGCCAGGAACCCTCATGGACTAAGCCCTACTTTGGGGCTCATCTGCCCTGCACCACTTTGAATAGCTAGGAGACCCTCCCTCTGTTCTCCCGTGTCACCCCACTATGGCCAGAGCAGGGTTGGGGGACTATGAGTTTGCAGAAATATCAGTGGGGAGATCAAGTAGAGCCTGCAGGATAAGAAGTTGATGGTTTTTTCTAAGTACATTGAGACGTCTTTGGAGGATGTTGACCAGAGAAGTGATGTGGCTTAGATGTTTGAAAAATATCCTTCCAGCTGTTGAGAGGAGAATCATCTGAAAGACCACTGTGTTAATGGCAGATTGGACTGGAGAGGTGGCAGAAGGGTTTCAGAGAGTCACTCACTGGACTATAATGTTGGAGGTAGGATCAGCAGAACATGCTGATGGATCAGATGTAAAGGACCATTCCCTATCTTGGCCAAGTTACTTATCTCTTCTGAATCAGGATTTCTTGTCTGTAGATCTCAGTTCCCAGCTCACAGGCTATTGTGGGGACAAAAGGAAATAATGTATAAATGGGCTCAGTGCAGTGCTTGGCATAAAGCAAGGGCTCAGTTGATTGTGGTGTTGAACCTGGATGTCGGCAGAGGCCAGAACTCTAGCCAGGCGGTCAGGAGATAGAAGCATAGACCTGACCTGTTACCCTGGGGTTCTCCTGGCAGAGCCCCCAGTAGCACTCTGACCTCAACTTCTCCTCCTGAGAGCTCCTTGAATCTGCCAACATCCACCAGGTGGTAGAACTTGGCTGGATCGTACACATCCATTATGGGTTCCAATGGCAGCCTTTGAAGATCAGGCCAGCTGCCAGGGCTCCTGAGGGTTTTTATTCCACTTGAATGGCTGTTTAATGACTCTGGTGCCTTTGGATGGAACCTTGTTCCAGGCAGATCCCCATGGGGGAGAGCATCGGGGAGCTGAGGGTTTATCCAACCACATATGTGCCTGCAGGGCCTAAGCTATACGAGGGGTCCAGCAGAGGCCAGATTTCAGGCTTGCTTTGTGCCTCGGTGGTGGCAAGATGCAATCTTATGCTCAGAAGCCAAGGCCAGCACCTGGGTAGGTTCGAGATGAAGGCTTATGCAGGAAATCAAATCAGAAACCAAGAGTATGCTTTCAGACATCCCTTCTATCCATCATCTCATTCTGACTTTCCCAACCCAGAGCTGCCAGTCAGCAGAATGCTTAACTTTTAAAATGCCAGGGCCTGGCCAGGTGCCATGGCTTATACCTGTAATCCCAGCACTTTGGAAGGCCGGGGCAGGAGGATTGCTCGGGGCTGGGAGTTTAAGACCAGTCTGGGCAACACAGAAAGACACCATCTCTACAAAAAGTAAATGAAAAAAGTTAGCTGGACATATGGTGGCGTGTGGCTGTAGTCCCAGCTACTCAGGAGGCCAAAGTGGGAGGATCACAGGAGTTGGAGGCTGCAGTGAGCTATAATCATACCACTGCACTCCAGCCTGGACAACAGAGCAAGACCCTGTCTCAAAATTAATTAATTAATTAATTAATTAAACATTTAAAATATATGTATAATAAAATTTTAAAATGCCAGGGCCTGCAGGGCACAGCTTCTAGTGTCACCTGTCTGCCTACATTTTGAGGAAACGTGCTGTAGTGGAAATAGCTTTGGCTTAGAAATCAGAAAACCAGACTCCCAGAGTTTAGTGCTGTATCATTTTGAGCAGAACCTTTTAATCTCTTTCAGCCTCTATTTTTCTTCTATCAGATGCATATAAAATCTATCTCAGGGTTGTTCATGCAGTATTTGACGGTAATAACAGCAAACACTTAAATCGTGCTTCCTGTGTGCCAGGCACTGCTCCAAGTATTTCAAATGAATTAACTCATTTAATCTGCATAGAAACGCTATGACATAGTGTTACGAGATCATTGAGGGTGTTGCTTTTCTGGCCGGAAACCACTGTGCCTGGTGGCGCCTTTGTCTGAGTTTTGCCTGGACCCACTGGGCCCACTCATCCTGGCAGGCTGTGCTCGGCTCATGCTACCAGGCTGGATCCCATGCCTCTGAAGAGACTGGAGCAGAGTAGCAAGGGTTATGTGAGCAAACGAGCATGGGGTTCAGCCACTGTGCACAGTCAGGCACACCAGCTGCTGCAGTGGGGCAGGCAGTTCCAGGTGCCAGCATGGGTGCCGGCTCACTGCGAGGCTGCGGCTGGACCAGGATCACCACAAGCAGCTTCAACGGCTGGCACCGGGGAACACAGTGGTGCCCAGAAGCTTGGAGACACCAGGAACCACAGGGCCCCAAAGGGGAAGTCACAAACCTGGCTTGGGGAGCTCCTGGGCCTGGGCCCTCTGAAGGGCTGCAGCTCTCCTCTCCTTCTTTCTTCCCTCCTTCTTGTTGCCTGTAGTGTGGCAAACAAGGGGCGTGTTTCAGCCCTGTTTGTGTTACAGCTCTTTTAGCCCTGCCATTTGGCAGGCCCTGAGTTCTTGTCCTGCATCCAGGAAGAATGAGGTACGCAGACAAGTGGAGGGTGAGCAAGACGAAGAGGAGCTTTATTGAGCAATACAACAGCTCAGAGGGGACCCGTAACAGGTAGCTCCTCTCTGTAGCCAGCGTGTCCCAACGAGTGTTCAGCTCTCAGCAGAGAGGGTAGCTTCTCTCTGCTAGGCAGGTCATCCAAGTGTCCAGCTGTCAGCAGCTGGACAGCCTGTAGTCTACCCATCGTCTCTCTGTTCTCTACCCTGAGTCTGGCTGAGTCCAGGGTTTTTATGGGCCTCAGAGGGGAGGAAGTGTATGCTGATTGGTCCATGGGCAGCCATGGGCTGGCCCAGGGAAAAGCACCAGAGGTTTCCACTCTGGTCCACGGGACTGGCGGCCTGGTCCCCAGGCTTCAGGCCCTCCCTGGTTTGAAGGCGGGGCTTCACCAGGGACCAGCCCTCTTCTGCCCAGAAGCCTGTCTGTCTCCTGCTGCTCATGCCAGGTTGCTCATGGCGCTCAGGCTGTTCATGCCGAGAGGCACCTGCAGGCCAGTGGTAGGCTGTCCTTGGCCCCTCCTCAGCCTCCCCGTCATACTTGCTGGCACCCAAAGTCTGGAAGGGGCCGAGGCATCAGGGGGCTGTCATGTCAGCACTACCCCAAGCATGTGCACACCCGGCCAGGCTGCCACAGCACCTAGGCTCAGTTCTTTTTTTTTTTTTTTTTTTTTTTTGAGACGGAGTCTCGCTCTGTCGCCCAGGCTGGAGTGCAGTGGCGGGATCTCGGCTCACTGCAAGCTCCGCCTCCCGGGTTCACGCCATTCTCCTGCCTCAGCCTCCCAAGTAGCTGGGACTACAGGCGCCCGCCACTACGCCCGGCTAATTTTTTGTATTTTTAGTAGAGACGGGGTTTCACCGTTTTAGCCGGGATGGTCTCGATCTCCTGACCTCGTGATCCGCCCGCCTCGGCCTCCCAAAGTGCTGGGATTACAGGCGTGAGCCACCGCGCCCGGCCCCCTAGGCTCAGTTCTGACTTTGCTCCGAGTTAGGAGTGGGTGCTGAAAGCAGGGAGGAGCCAGGCAGCAAAGGTGGGGTGGGGGATTGGGGCTGGGGAGGGAAGGGTGCCTTCCTGCGCCCCCAAGAGTGCATAGATGCCTGGGTCTGCAGCTGTAGCTAGGTGGCTGCAGCTGCACCCAGGAAGCTCCCTCCCTGCCATTTTGGAAGAGGCAGGGCTCCCGCTTGTGACTGCTCCCACCCACTCTGTGGAGCATGCTGGAGCGTGCAGCCCTGGCCGTACCTCCTGGCAGCCTGGGGCGGGGGCCCAGGTCCTCACTGGGTCGCTCTCTGCCCACTCCTCCATGCCTGACTGCATTGCTCTCCCACTGGTGGATGGCTCAGCCCAGTCCCATTGCAGTGGCCCCTAGGGCAGCAGGCTCTAGTGGAGGTTCCTGGGGGCAGGCTCTGAGGACCATCCACCTCCTTCCTGCGCCCTCCCCACAGCTACGGCGGGGCAGAGAGAGGTGATGCGTGCCAGGGTCGGGAGTCACAGAGGCTCTGGGCCTGGGAGTGGGTCCCATCCAGTCATACAAGGGTGGGGACAGCACAGTTGGCTGCCTTGGGCACGTGGGGCACAGGGGTCCCACCACCACTGCCCGTTCCCCGCAACTGCCCCCCACCACCACAGCCAGAGCAATGGCAGTGGCTGCTCCGGATGGCCCTTCACTATCATCAATAGGAGTCATTATTGCCCTTTTATGGAAGAGGGAAGTGAGGCAACAATAGGGTGGGAAGTAGCTTACCTAGGATCCTGGAGCCAGGATTCAAACCCTGGTCATCTGGACTAGAATCTGAGCTCTCAGTTACTGGGTTATATGTCTCAAGTGTTTAGCCCCTGCTTTGTTGAGGTGCTGCATTAGTTGCTGAAGAAACACAGAAAAACAGAAAAAATCCATCCTTTCATGACCTTGACATTCTAGTTGGGGTGAGATAAATGATAAATAAACGAACAGCTAAATAATAGTGGAGTGAGCCAACAGAGAAGGCCAGGAAAATTACTCTAAATTTGATATATAAGCTGAGAAAGGGCCAGCAGTGGAAGGATGTAGGAAAGGAGCATTCTAGGCAGAGGGAATTGTGCAAAAGGCCCTGGGGCAGGAATGAGCTTATTTTGTTCAAAGAAGAGAAGGAAAGCCAGAGTGTCCAAAACAGTGATCTCATGGAGTGAATTAGGCAATGAGGTCTGAGCAATTAGCAGAGACTATAGCAAGGAACTTAGATGATACATTTTTTTTTAATTAAAAAAATTTTTTTTGAGATGGGGTCTCACTCTGTTGCCCAGGCTGGAGTGCAGTGGCACAATCTCAGCTCACTGCAGCCTCGACCTCCCTAGGCTCAAGTGATCCTCTCACCTCAGCCTCCTGAGTAGCTGGGACTATAGGTGTGTGCCACCATGCCTGGCTAATTTTTGTACTTTTTTTTGTAGAGATGGGGTTTCGCCATGTTGCCCAGGCTGGTCTTGAACTCCTGGGCTCAAGCAATCTGCCCGTCTCGGCCTCCCAAAGTCCTAGGATTACAGGTGTGAGCCACCACACCCAGCCTTAGATGGTGAGTGTTTATTGAACACCCATAGTGTGCCTAAGGCTGATAGGCATGGAGGAAACAGAACTGAAGAAGAGATGTGGCTCCTGGCTCCATGAAGAACTGGGTGAGATGACATGCATGCAAGGACTTAGCACACAGCAGATGCTCAGTGGGTGTAATTTTCTCTCTCTTCCTATTTGTGAGTCGACATGAAAACTGCTTCTCTGGGTTTCTGCCTCCCCCCATGCCCTGCATTAGAGCAGGACAGAATGTAGTTGGCTTATCATGGAAATTATTTTTAGAAACAGCCATAGGCAAGGGCATTATTTACCAAGCAAAACAAAGCAAACAGGTGGGTGAAGAGTCAGTAGGGCGGGCAGTGGGCAAAAGATCTTTGCCTCTGTCTTCATGAGCAGATGCCTACACTGGCCACAGGAGGCTCTTTGGGGCCTGTTGTTCACTTTCTTGAGGATCTTGAGTGACTGGTCCAGGAACCAGGGAGAGTATCTGCTGATGTGGCAAGCAAAATTCCCCTTAGATGTCTGCTTTGGGATCTTATTCTGCTTAATTGTATTTGGGCTGGAGAAGCAGAGGGGAGGCAGCCTTTGGATGACTTGTGGGTGGGTTCCTCTTCCATCCTTGTGCAAGGTCACCCTTGCCTTCTTGGTGACCTCTCTGCTAAGGAGAAGCCAGGACACTTAAGATATGCCTCATCTGGCTGGGCGCAGTGGCTCATGCCTATAAATCCCAGCACTTTGGGAGGCTGAGGCTGGCGGATCACCTGAGGTTGGGAGTTCAAGACCAGCTGACCAGCCTGACCAACCTGGAGAAGCCCTGTCTCTACTAAAAATAGAAAATTAGCCAGGCATGGTGACTCATGCCTGTAATCCCAGCTACTCGGGAGGCTGAGGCAGGAGAATCACTTGAATCTGGGAGGCAGAGGTTGTGGTGAGCCAAGATCACGCCATTGCACTCCAGCCTGGGCAACAAGAGCGAAAAAACTCCATCAAAAAAAAAAAAAAAAAAAAAAAAAAAGATATGCCCTGACAACCTCGTGATAAAATAAGGGCCCCAGCCTCATTACAAGAAGCACCTCTAAGACTCAATAAGTTCCTAAGGCACTTGAGGACTAGGGCAAGTTGTACTTTTCCAAGTTATTAAGTGTGGCTTGGAAAAGAAGGCACAAAAGACATCATGGGAAGAGCTCCTAACTTGGGCGAGGGGCAGGAGTTTAGTGGTAGCTCTTATAATAAAAATAGCCAACATTTATTAAAGTCTTAGAATCCTCCACGTGCTGTCCCAAGTACTTTATAAGCACTGTCTCAACTCATCGCACAACAACCAGACGAGGTAGGTTCTGATGTTATCCCATTTTACAGGGAAAGAAACTGAAGCTCAGAGATCTCATATGACTCACTACAAAGCTAGAAGTCACTGTATCAGTTAAGGTGTGGCTAGCTGCTATAACAAATCAGCTGCCAAGGTTTTGTGGTTTGACACCACAGAAGCTTATTTCTTTTCTTTATTATTATTTTTTTTTGAGACAGGGTCTTGCTCTGTCGCCTAGGCTGGAATGCAGTGGCACAATCTTAGCTCACTGCAGCCTTGAACTCCTGGGCTCAAGTGATCCTCCCGCCTCTGTGTCCTGAGTAGCTGGGACTACAGGTATGTGCCACCGTGCCTGCCATTTTAAAAAATTTTTTGTAGAGATGGGGGTCTCACTGTTTTGCCCAAGCTGGTCTTGAACTCCTGGCCTCAGGCAATTTTCCCATCTCAGCCTCCCAAAGTGCTGGGATTACAGGCATGAGCCACCGAGCCTGGACCAGAATCTTACTTCTTTCTTGCACCATGGTCCTTCGAGGATCCTGTCATGAGTGACCTTCCATGTGGTGATTCAGCGGCCCAGGCGCCTTCCATCTCATGGCTCTGCCATCTTCTCTGGCCTTGGGGAGTTTCATCTCTAGCTGGTGGTTGGGGAGGAAAGAGAGCTGAGGACTGCATGGGAACTGTTCATGGGCTGAGCCTAGAAGTAATGTACATCACTTCCACTTCCAATTCTATTCATATTCTACTGGCTGAAACTCTGAAGGAGAGGCTGGGAAATGTAGTCCAGCTACACGTTGAGGGAGAGAGTGAACAGGCTTTGGTGACCACACAGCCATCTCTGCTCAGATACCCAAGGAGGCAAATAGAAGAGCCAGTCCATGCCTTCAACATGCTTGCTCCACGACCTCCCTGAGCACCTGTGGCCTCTGAGTTTATGGTCAGGGTCAACAGTGGGGGAATCTCATGCCACCAAATTCCAGGCTGGCAAGAGCCTGGAAAACCTTTTGGCTGGAGAGCCCGGGTCACCTGCTGACTTATGAAAGCAGTGAAATCAGTGGTTCTCAACCTGGGGTGACATTGTCTCCCTAGAGGACATTTGACAATGTCTGGAGGCATTTTTATTGTCACAGCTCAGGGATGCTACTGGCATCTAGTGGGTAGTGGCCAGGGGTGCTGCCAAATATCCTACAGTGAACACATAACCCCTCACAACGGAAAATCATCCAGCCCCAAATACCTATGGTGCCAAAGTGAAGAAACCCTGAGCTAGAATGATGGGATTCTGTGGGTCCCCTGAGGTTTTTGGGGTGAGGTGGTGATCTCCACCAGGCGCCGAGAAGGGCAGGTTTGCCTGGGCTCAGAGCCAGTCAGCACCTGTTCTGCACCTGTTTGAGGCTTGTTTACTCTCCTTATGGCATTTTAACCTCTCATCATTCCCAGTGGCTTCTCTTTAACTGCCTGAGTGTGAAGAGCTCAGATCCAGAGCATGCTGAGTGAGTCCACGCTCATCTGTGCAGATTTTTCAAATGGCTTCCCTGTCTCCACCCATAAAAACGTAGGCAAACAGAAATACCTTGCTCTGCAAACAAGCCCCATCCCCCAGGTGACAGGGCCTGGGCAGATGGACTGCAGCTCAGCCCAGCTTGAGAGGGAGCGGGGAGCCCTCTTGGGAAGATGAGCAGAATATCACCTGAATGCGGTGACGTGAAGGGGTTACATGGGAAAGGGCAGTACTGATGGCTTTTTAGTATTGCTGTTATAAAAGATATAATTTTTCCATACTATATGTATGTATATATGTGCATATATATGCATATGCATGTATGCATATTATTATTTAGATATAATTCCTATATTTTGTATATTATTTATTTATTTTTTTTTTTGAGACAGAGTCTCACTCTGTCATCCGGGCTGGAGTCCAGTGGTGCGATCTTGGCTCACTGCAACCTCTGCCTGCTGGGTTCAAGAGGCATCCCAACTAGCTGGGATTACAGGCACCCACCAGCAAGCCCAGCTAATTTTTGTATTTTTAGTAGAATCGGGGTTTCACCATGTTGGCCAGGCTGGTCTCGAACTCTTGGCCTCAGGTGATCTGCCCGCCTCAGCCTCCTAAAGTGCTGGGATTGCAGGTGTGAGCCGCCATATCTGGCCTATAATTTATATGTGTATATTGTATTACTATTTCTATAAATATTAGCCACCAATATATTAATAATGAATATTAATAAATTGATATCCATTAATGAATATTTGCAATATGAATATGTAAAAATGAATATCACTTATATATTATTCAAATATCTAGAAACTACACACACATATATTATGTGCAACCGTAAATGGGGAGAAATAAAACAAAAAGTAAAAGTCCCTAATTTCCCCTACTTAGAGCTAACCACTTGTAACATCTAGGCTCTTTCCAGGAATGTATGCACTAATATGTGTATATACGTACACATATGTGTGTGCGTGGTATGTATACGTATGTGTGTGCGTGTATATGTGCACATCTGGGTATGTGTATGTCTATATCTCTACTCTCTTTTGTTAGCATCCAAAATGTATATGCTTTACTGCCACTTGCTCTTCTCACTTTGTACATCTTAGACAGTTTTCCAAATTAGCACCTATTTATTCATTTAACAAATATTCATGAGTCCCTCTTATGAGCCAGGCACTGCGGCTATGACAGTGAGCAAATTAGACAAAAATCCCAGGTTCAGCAGGCTAATGCTTTAATGTGGGAAGACAGGCAATAAACAAAACAAATAACTGAATTTTGCAGTTGAGAGGTGATGTTGAATCCAAATGAGAAAACGGAAGCAGAGAAAGGGGGTCGTGATGCATGGGGTGAGGGTGACAGTTATTAAAGGGTGGCCAGGGGGAAGGTGACCTTTGATCCTAGCCTTTTAGGAGATCAGAGATATACCATGTGGACGTTTGTGGGAAGAGCATTCCAGCCAGAGGGAACAGCAACACAAAGGCGCTGGCAGGAGAAACAGCAAAGAGATCAAGTGATTGAGGTGGAGAAGTATAAAGCCCTCTCATTATTACGGCCGTATGATATCCCATTCAGTCAATTAGTTGAAGAGTAATCTATTTGGTAGGTCTCCTGTTGGTAAACCTTGAGGTTAATCACTTTTTCTGGGCTTAGAAACATTGTTAGAGTGAGCATCCTCACCTATATCTCTGCTGATGTGTCCAAATGTACTGTGACCTAAATCCTAGCAGTGGGATGGCTGGATCAAAGCATACATGTTGGTCAATTTTGATAGATATCGTCAAATTTGCAATTTTTAAAAAAATGACACATCCTTGCCCCAAGCAACCCTCCTGTCCCGGCCTCCCAAGGTGCTGCTGGGATTACAGGCATGAGCCACTGCAACCAGCCAGTGGCACAATTTTTACTTTGTTGTGTCTTCTTGAAGCATCCAATTGAGACAGATGACTTAGGAAAATGTTTTAGCTCAGGGAGGTCCCAACTCCTTGCCCCGCAGAAGATTCTTGTAAGAATGACATAAGCAAGCTTTGAAAATTGTTAAGTTCTGAACAACCATTTTTTATCATCCCTCTTTACCTTTAAAATCATCTTTATTTTTAATTATGTAATAATCTCAGATTTGACTTTAGTTTTATTTTATAGTTGGCATAGACAAAGCAGTTCTAAAGGTTACTGCCTTCCAAAATCCAGTGTGTGGATTATTATTTTTGCAATGAGTGAAAAAGTGATAAATGGACTTCAACAGGATTGAAAACCTTTGCTCTTCAAAAGACATAGTCAAGAAAATAAAAAGCCAAGCCATGCCCTGAGAGAAATTTTTGGCAAAACATATATCCAACAAAGAGCCCATATCCGGAATATATAAAGAGCTCTTGTAACTCAATAAGACAGTCCACACCCCAAGAAAAATGGGCAAAAGCTTTGAAAAGGCACACCGCACAAAAAGAGAATACATAGATAGCAAAGAAGCATATGAAAAGATGCTGCTCTTCATCAGTCAACAGAAATGCAAATTAAAACCATAATACATTACCACTACACACCCACTAGTACAGTTAAGTTTAAAAGATGGAAAACAAGAAGTGTTGGTGAGAATATGAAGCAACTGGAACTCTCATGCATTTCTGGTGGGAATGCAAGATGCTACAGCCACTTTGGAAACAGTTATGAATGGGGCTTATAAGGGTAAATATATATTTACCATCCAACCCATGAATTATACTCCTAGGTATTTACCCAAGAGAAACAAAAACATATGTCTACAAAAAAAGGCATGTATGCAGATGTTCCTGGAAGCATTATTTGTAATCACCAAAAAAGTGGAAATGATCCAAATGTCCATCAACTGATGAATGGATAAACAAATTGTGAGACATTCATACATTAGAATACTACTGGGCCGGGCGTGGTGGCTCACGCTTGTAATCTCCACACTTTGGGAGGCTGAGGTGGATGGATCACTTGAGGTCAGGAGTTTGAGACCAGCCTGGCCAACATGGCGAAACCCCATCTCTACTAAAAATACAAAAAATTAGCTGGGCATGGTGGTGGGTGCCTGTAATCCCAGGTACTTTGGAGGCTGAGGCAGGAGAATCACTTGAATCTGGGAGGCGGAAGTTGCAGTGAGCTGAGATCGCGCCACTGGACTCCAGCCTGGGTGACAGAGCAAGACTCTGTCTCAACAACAACAACAACAAAAAGAATATTACTCAGCAGTAAAAAGGAAGGACATATTAGTACACATACACATGGCCGAATCTCAAAAACATTACGCTAAGTGAATGCAAATGACTATATACTGTGTGACTCCATTTATATGGATTTCTACTAAAGGCAAAACTATGGTAAAAGAGGCCAGTGTGGTGGCTCACGCCTGTAATCCCAGCACTTTGGGAGGCCGAGGCGGGTGGATCACAAGGTCAGGAGATCAAGACCATCCTGGCTAACATGGTGAAACCCCGTCTCTACTAAAAATACAAAAAATTAGCCAGGCGTGGTGGCAGGCGACTGTAGTCCCAGCTACTCAGGAGGCTGAGGCAGGAGAATGGTGTGAACCCAGAAGGCGGAGCTTGCAGTGAGCTGAGATCATGCCACGGCACTCCAGCCTGGGCGACAGAGCGAGACGCCGTCTCAAAAATAAATAAATAAATAAATAAATAAATAAATAAGTAAATAAACTATGGTGGAAGAAAGCAGCAGGCAAGGTACTACTACCTGTGTCCAGCCAACTTGAGCCAGGGAGGGGATGGAGTGGAAAGGGACAAGAAGAAGGAACTTTCTTTGGGGAAAGAGCTATATCTTGATTATCTATGGTGGTACTTACACAATCATAGGCAGTGATTAAAATTCATCAAATTAGATACTTGGAAATGGATGGATTTTATTCTGTGTAAATAAGACTTTAATAAGACTGCGGGGATATTTTTTAAAAATGAAACAAGTGGTTGTGGGTTTAATTTGCATTTTCTCATGACTGTTGGTGTGGAACATCTTTCCAAGTGCTTTTCATGTGGAAGGTGGAAGGCATTAAAGGCAGGAGAGGGCTCTGAGCAGGATCCAGTGTGCTCATTGGTACAAAGGACCGTTGAACCTTTGTTTGGTGTTTTGGGTAGACAAAATATGAAGGTTTCAGACTCTTTGGTTCAGGCCCTGGTTGGTGTTTCTGGCCATGCATGGTCTGTTATTGGAGTCATTGGGATAACCTGGAGTCACTGGGGGCTCCATACTTTCATCCAGGTCGTCTTGTCTTGCTCACTCCCTTGTCCCCAGCAGATTCACCAAGTCCTCTTTTTGCTCTAGGATCCAACAGCCCCATACCAGCCTGCGAACTGAGTAGTCACCCAGCTCATGGTATCAGTCCTTGGATACCCTCACCTGGAAATGAACATTTCCATGGCATAAAGAAGCAAGTAAAGGCAATAAAAGTAGAATGATTGAGTTGGTTGTGTGTCTGGTTGCTTTTATTTTAAAGGCTTTGGTTTAACATTTTATTTAAAAATTTTTTAACATATTGAAAGAATTGTCCCATGAACACCCATATTTCTACCCATCAGATTCTGTAATGAACATTTTGCTGTTTGCTTTATCACACATCTATCCAACTCTCTCTCTCGACTCATATTTTTATCATACATTTCAAAGTCAGTTGCTGATGTTAATCCCATTTCAATGTGGGGCAGACTCTCGGGGTAATTTCAAAAAGATGTCTCAAACATGTTTGTGTGTGTGTGTGTGTGTGTGTGTGTGTGTGTGTGTGTGTGTGTTTGGAGACAGGGTCTCACTCTATTGCCCAGGCTGGAGTGCAGTGGTGCCATCATGGCTCACTGCAGTCTCGACCTCCCAGACTTAAGCAATCCTTCCCAAATAGCTGGGACTCCAGGGGCACCCCACTACATTCAGCTAATTTTAAATCTTTTTTGTAAAGGTCTTGCTGTGTTCCCAGGGCTGGTCTCGAACTCCTGGGCTCAAGTGATCCTCTTGCCTCAGCCTCCCATAGTGTTGGGATTACAGGCATGACCTTGCCTCAGCCTCCCACAGTGCTGGGATTACAGGCGTGAACCACCATGCGTGGCCCCATTAGTTCTTTTTTTAAGGTGACTTTTTATTGAAGTCCAACACACATACAGAAAGGTGCATCAATTCATGAATTTATACAAAATTAACGATCCCATGTGACCAGTACTCAGATTAAGAACCAGAAACATTCTCAGAAATTCCCTCATAGCCCATGTCAGTTACTTCCCCCTCCCCCAGGGCAGCCATCATCCTGACCTTTCCTGCCATATATTCATTTTGCCTCTTTTTGACCTTTATGTAAATGGGATCACACCCCTTCCTTCATTCAGCATTATCTTCGTGAAATTTGTGTCATTGTGTGTAGATGTCATTTTTCTATTCACATTTTGAGGATAATAGTGTTTCAGAGTGTCACTATACCACAATTTACATATCCATTCTAGTAATAGGGTGATTTTTAAAACATGCTAGAATTTGCCCATCAAAACAGGTGGCATTTCTTTCAGAGCATAATTTGGGATGCCGCATATGCCAAGAGCTGAGGTTAGGAGTTGCAACTCACTCATAAAAGGTCATCAGGACCCGAATTCAAATCCCGCTCTACCACTGGACCACAGGCTGGGTCCCAGGTGGGCCTCCTCCTGTCACTGGGATTTGACACCTTGTCTTGCACAAGGATTCCAGACACATGCCACATTAACCCACAGTATAGGTTAAGGAATAGACTCTGTTGGGGAATAAGGAAAAGGCCTGTAGGACAGGCATTGGCAAGAAAGGAAGAAGCTTGAATTCCCTCTCCGTAACCACCATCCTTTGGAGAGATGCTGCAGGTCTGTGGTGTGTGTCTGAGTTCTAGGGCCAGGACTTTGTGCCCACCATCCCACCATTTTATAGCGCAAGCGTGAGCAGGCAACCTTGTCAGTGGGGGCAGGTGGGTTAGCACCAGTGACCAGAGACCTTAGGGCCCATGGGAAGTGACAGCTTCCTCTTCCCAGGGGAGGAAGCCACCAGGGTGGGAGGAAAGCTGGTCCCAGACAGTTCGTGGTCCAGATGTTTCGCCTAAGCTCCTAGAGCCTCTTTTGGACAATTCTGCTCATTGTACTTACACCCTGAGCCTCCATCTATTTCTCTGGAAAGTGGGAGCATCTCACAACCTTCTTCCTAGACTGCTGTGAGGGTGGAAAGGGATTGCGCATACACAGGGCCACACGGTCTCTACATGTGGCCTATTGATCTTTAAGGGATGTTACCGCTGTTCAAAACATGTTTGAGCTGAGTGTAGTGGCTCACACCTGTAATCCCAGCACTTTGGGAGGCCGAGGCAGGCAGATCATTTGAGGTCAGGAGTTCGAGAGCAGCCTGCCTAACATGGCAAAACCCCGTCTCCACTAAAAATACAAAAATTAGCTGGAGGTGCTTGCTTGAACCCAGGAGGCGGAAATTGCAGTGAGCTGACATCATGCCACTGCACTCCAGCCTGGGCGACAGAGCAAAACTGTCTCAAAACAAAACAAAACAAAAAAACCATGTTTGAGACGTCTTTTTGAAATGACCTCAAGAAACTGCCCCACATTGAAAGAAAACATAAATGTTGCAGAATTCTTCATCCTTTGAAATGAAACACATATGTTTTTGTTTGTTTGTTTTGAGACAGGGTCTCACTCTGTCACCCAGGCTGCAGTGCGGTGCTGCCATATACACATATATATATACATATATATACATATATATATATACATATATATACATATATATATACATATATATATACATATATATACATATATATACACATATATACATATATATATACATATATATATACATATATATATACATATATATATACATATATATATACATATATATATACATATATATATTTTTTTTTAAATAACTTGAGGTCATGGAAAGCTGAATGGTTCATCTAGATTAAGCTCAGCAGCACCTTAAAAAAATTAGAAATGAAGCATCATTCTAAAGAAATGAGGCTGATTTCTTTGGATGTTTTGAAGAGGATTCTATTCCTCAACTTAATGTTTGCATGAGGCACTTACCCTAAGCCAGTGAATCTCAAACCCGGCTACACATTAGGGTCACTGGGAAAACTTTAAAAAGCTGGGATGGATGTTTGGGTGCCACCTCCAGAGACTGTGTCAATTGGCCAGGAAGATCCCCTCCCCCATCACTATAGTCTAAAAAGCTCCCTAGGTGGTTATGTGTAGTCCTGCTAAACTCCAGCGTGCATCAGAATCACCCAGAGATTTGTTAAAACAGACTGCTGAGCCCCTGCCCAAGAGTTTCTGATTCAGTATAGCTGTGTGGGCTTGAGAATTCGCATTTCTAACAGGTTTCCAGGTGATGCTGCTACTGCTGGTGTGGAGACCACACTTCGGGAACCACTGCTTTAGACAGACCAGAGGTCAGCAAACTACAGCCCACTTCCTGATTTTGTAAATAAAGTTTTATTGGAATACAGCCATGTGCATTCATCAACATGCTGTTTGTGGCTGCTTTCTGCTAGTGCAGCAAAGTTGAATGCTTCCAATAGAGGCCATAGGTGGCCCTCAAAGCCTAAAATATTTACTCTCTGGCCCTTTATAGAAAAAGTATGTTGGCCTGGTATGGTGGCTCATGCTTGTAATCCCAAGACTTTGGGAGGCCGAGGTGGGAGGACAGCATGAGCTCAGGAGTTCAAGATAAGCCTGGGCAGCAAAGTGAGACCCTGAATATTAAAAAAAAAATTTTTTAAAATAGTTTTTAATTAGCTAAGTGTGGTTGTGTGTGCCTGTAGTCCCAGGTCCTTGGGAGGCTGAGGCAGGCAGGTCCCAGAAAGAAGAGGAGAGCAAGAAGACCTTTAACAACTTAGTCCCATCCCACAGAGATTGGAAACTCTAGATTGAGCCTGGGAGTTTGAGATTGCAGTGAGCTATGATAATGTCACTGCACTCCAGCCTGGGCAATGGAGCAAGACCCTGCTTCTTAAGAAAAGAAAAGAAAAAAGAAAAGAAAGAGAAAAAGTGTGCCTACCCTGGCCCTAGAGTAACACCTCTGGACTCTCTTTCAATTCTCTTTTTTTTTCTTCTTGAGACGGAGTTTCACTCTTGTTGCCCAGGCTGGAGTACAGTGGCACGATCTCGGCTCACTGTAACCTCTGTCTCCTGGGTTCAAGAGATTCTCCTGTCTCAGCCTCCCGAGTAACTAGGATTACAGGCGCCTGCCACCATGCCTGGCTAATTTTTTGTATTTTTAGTAGAGATGGGGTTTCACCATGTTGACCAGGCTGGTCTCAAACTCCTGACCTCAGGTGATCCACCTGCCTTGGCCTCCCAAAGTGGTGGGATTACAGGGGTGAACCACCGCACCCAGTCCTCTTTCAATTCTTTATTTGTTCTTTTCAGGGAAGAGGTGACTTACGTAATGGAGAACATAATAACTGCATGTAGAGGTCCCAATCTCTGTGGGATGGGACTAAGTTGTTAAAGGTCTTCTTGCTCTCCTCTTCTTTCTGGGACCTGCCTGCCCACCACAGGCACCACCCTCTGCAACTCCCTGAGTGAGTCTGCTGGACAGGCTTCACCTTGCAGGGACAAAACCTGCACAGTTATGATCAGAGAGTTTTAAATCAAGAAGAGGAAATAGTAGGATCGGGCCCCTTTCTACAACCCAGCTAAGCCACCAGTCAACTCATATTTTGATTCTGCATCTAAGCTGACTGCACATGAGATTCACTCGGGGAGCATTTGAAAACCAGTGCCACCCAGGCCCCCAACCCCAAACCAATCAACAGAATCTCTTGGGGGTAAAGCTGGGCACTGACGGGGGAAGATCTGATTTATTATCCCCTAAAGACAAAAATGAAATTGGAAGATCACAACATAACATTCTAATGATATCACCACACTGGCTCAGGTGCTCATGGTGAACCTGGAATTTGATTCCAGACCTTCTGCAGGCCTTACCTCATCCCCAAAGCTCATGACGTAGATGAAATATTGTAACTAGCTCTGTAGACAGTTTGCAGTGTACATCTTCCCCCAAGCGATGCCAGCTTCTCTGAAACAAATGTAGAGAGGACCCTCAGTCAGATGTATACATTTTTGGTTGTTCATGTCAAAACAAGCACGTTGCTTTATAGTGACACCTTTAAGTGTGCTTCCTTCTAGTCGGTGTGATTCACACATGGATCTGAAAGTGATTCTTCAACCCATATGTCATCTTCAGTGCAGGCTCCATGTGGCTCAATCTCCACACTGAGGCATAAAGAAAGGGGTCCCACAGCCCCAAAGGAATTTTAAAAGAAATTTCAACCTTGACTTTCATCTCTTGAGGAAGGAGAAAGAGATCTCATTCATAAGCCAAAGCAGCATTTCTCCGTGGTTTCTCCTCCACTCCCCCGTTTCTCTCCCCTTAAATTCGCTCTAAATTTGTTTTCTGTGCTGAGCTCCCAAGCTCTGTCTAGCTCAGTGGAGGTGACTTTCCTCCCACCTGCTCCTGAGTCTCCCAGCTCCTTTACCCTGTGAATCTGCCATAGTCTTTTGAATCTCAATGGCTTTCCTTTGGTTGGGAGAGGGGAGGCTTCGGTTTTAATGAAGGGAACTCCCATCGTTGCTGCTTTTCCCTTAAGGCAGAGGTTTTCTACCTCCACACTTACACTGATATTTGGGGCTGGATTATTCTTCACTGTAGGGCCTGTCCTGTGCATTGTAGGATGGGGGGCAGCATCCCTGAGCTCTACCCGCTAGAGGCCAGCAGCACCCCTCCCTCCAAGACATGACAATCAAAAATGCCTCCAGATTGTGGGGTAAAATTGGCCCCTGTTGAAAACAAATGCATTAAAAAATTCAGGCCAGGCACGGTGGCTCACACCTGTAATCCAACACTTTGGGAGGCTGAGGAGAGTAAGATTGCTTGAAGCCAGGAGTCCAAGATCAGCCTGGACAACATAGCAAGACCCCATGTCTAAAAAAAAAATTAATTAGCTGGGCGTGGTGAGGTGCCCCTGTAGTCCCAGCTACTCAGGAACCTGAGCCAGGAGGATCACTTGAGCCCAGGAGGTTGAGGCTGCAGTGAGCTATAATCATGCCACGCCACTGCACTCCACTGTACTCTCTTAAAATAAAAATTAAATAATTCGTTCTAAGCCAATATTGCCTGCAGACCACGACAAAGAGGGCTTCTACCTTGGGCCTCATGCTGTAAATGGGAGGAGGCAAGAAATTCATGGAGTGAGGAGTCCAGGCATCAAGGAGCCCACATCTTCCTTGCTAGATCATCTCCACATACTGGGATCCCAGAATTTCCCACCCAAACAGCCCAAGCCTATTTCCAGGATCTGCTCAAGGCTGGTCTAGGTCAGTCCCCAGGACGATGCATCATGCTATCAGTGTGTGCCCTCTAGGCTCAAGGAAATAATAAAATAGAGGTAATCATAGTACAAACCTCATAGATTTGTTGTGCGGATTAAATTTGTGTACTGAAATCCACAGGACAGGGCTGGTATGTGATAAGCACTATAGAACTGTTGGGTGCTATCATTGTATTTTTCATAGCAACAGTCTTTAATATAGGACATCTTCCCTCCTTATCTGCTGCTTGACTGAACAGGGAGCCACTCATTCAAAAGTCAGAGCCAATCCTGACCATGCTGGACCCTAGAGAGATGGCGAGAAGGGCCTCAACATGGCGCCTTTATGAGGATTTTCACGGGACTTTCCAGGGCCATTCTGACTGTTGGCCTTTTCCCTTATATGCTGGTTGAGGTTTTAACCCCTCTTCAAACACACACACACACACACACACACACACACACACACACACACACGTACCATACATCTCTATTACCCAATCTGGCCCTTATCACAGGAGAGGGTCAAGGGAAGTAGGAAATGGGTGAGTCTATTATTATTATTATTATTATTATTATTATTATTATTATTGAGGCAGGGTCTTACTCTTTCGACCAGGCTGGAGTGCAGTGGTATGATCATGCCTCACTGCAATCTCAACCTCCGGGGCTCAAGCAGTCCTCCCGCCTCAGCCTCCCAAGTAGCTGGGACCACAGGCGTGCACCAACATGCCCAGCTACTTTTTAAATTTTTTTATAGAGACAGTCTCATTATGTAACCCAGGCTGGTCTTGAATTCCTGGGCTCAAGCGATCCTCCCACCTTGGCCTCTCGAAGTGCTGGGATTACAGGCATAAGCCACTGTGCTTGGCCTCTTCTTTTTGAGATAAAGGAAGAAATTAGGCTGGACTTTGAGTTTCAATTTCTACTATGCCTCGTGCTGGCTGGGTGGCTTTGAGCACTCAACCTCTTAACTTCTCCGAGCCTCAAATTCCCCATCTGCAAAATGGCAATAAAAATAGGGCTGTGATATGGATTTAAGTTTAAAAAAGAAAAACAACAACATATATAAAGTGCTTTTCTCAGTTCGTAGTACACAGACCTCAAGATTTGCTGTTACTGATTTTTAATTATTATAATAAAGTTAACTGAATCGTCATTATGACTGTTGGAAGGAAAAACATGAAAAAAAAGTTCTGTCCCAGCAGCTGCTGTGAATCACGAAGTGAGCCAGAAAAGCTTGAAAAACATCACCCTTAAGTCATGGATGAAACTTCTTAGAACCAAAGAAATGTCATAGCTAAAAAAGAACTCAAAATCTACATATACCCGCTCATTGTATAAAGGGGGAAACTGAGGCCCAGGGAAGGGATATGATGTACCTTGTTTTGCAAAAAAAAAAAAAAGAAAAACCTGAAAAAGCTTCTAGGTTTCTGAAAGAAGAAAAAAAAGAGAGTGCTCCAGTGAGAAGAGGTTTTGCAAAAGTTGGAAAGACAATGAGGACCACCTGCGTTGCAGTGTGTCAGAGCTGCCCTGTAGGAAGAAAGAAAAGGGGAAGAAGCAGGCCTGTGTAGACTGCGTTATGTCTCCTCCAACAGTTAAGCTAACTCATGAACACCCTGATGATGGGCTGTGGGGACCTCTCGGCCATGAGGAAGTAGGCAGGACTATGAAACAGCCCAGGGTGGTCTTGCTGGCTTTGTGCATTTTTTCTTTTCAGGAACAGGGGAACATCTTAACCCAGCATCAAAGAGGTAGATCGCCGGGTACAGTGATGAGGTTTCGGGGTGCCAGCCATAATCTGGGGGTGTCCCTGCACTGTGCTGTCAGACTCAGAGTTGCATATGGGAGCAGTGAGAGCCTAGGGCACAAATGAGAGTCCTTCATTACCTTGTGAACCAAATATGCAAAATGAGAAGCTGTTGAGTCTGCTCCCATTGGTAAAGATGTTTTTTTTTTTTCCTTTTAATTTGCAGTGTTTATTACACCCACATTCTAAGTCATCCAGCTTCCCTTCCAGAACCGTCTGCCTTGGCAAACTAAATTAGCGACCAAATAATTTAGCTCCTATGGTGAGGAACAAATTCGTTTTTACAGCAAATATCAACAGGTGAAAGCCTCAGTTTGTCCCTGACTCCTTCAGGGTACTTAGGTTTTGACTGGAGCAGTGAGTGATCTCCCTTCACCCTCTAGAACTCACTCTTCTCAGCTGTAAAATGAGCCAGTGAAAGCAACTGCCTTAAAGCACTTCTCAAATGTGGGAGGTGGGGGGCGGGAAGGGTGGCAATTGTGTCCCCAGGGTACATCTGGCAATGTCTAGAGATACTTTTGGCAGTCACAAGGGAGATAGAGGAGGCCAGGCACGGTGGCTCACGTCTGTAACCCCAGCACATCAGGAGGCTGAGGCAGGCGAATCACCTGAGGTCAGGTGTTCGAGACCAGCCTGGCCAACATGGTGAAACCCCGTCTCTACTAAAAAACACAAAAATTAGCCAGGCATGGTGGTGCATACCTGTAGTCCCAGCTACTCAGGAGGCTGAGGCAGGAGAATCACTTCAACCCGGGAGGCGGAGGTTGCAGTGAGCTGAGATCATACCACTGCACTCCAGCCTGGGCGACAGAGCAAGACTCCATCTCAAAAATAAAATAAAATAAAATAACAGAAACAGGGGAGATGGAGGAATTGCTACTGATATTTAGTGTGAGATGATAGGAGCTACCAAGCATTTTAGAGTGCCTAGGACAGCACCGCAAAACACAGAATGATCTGGCCCATAATGTCAGCAGTATCAAGGGTGAGAAACCCTGCTCTGGAGGCTTGATGTGATGATTAAATGAGTCAATCCACTGACGTCCTTAGCCCTGGCCCTAATACACAGTAGGTGCTTAATAAACTGATCTTTATCCCAGGCTCCTTCAAAGCCTGATCTTTGAGCCCTGGTGGATGCCTCCTACCACACTTTTGTTTCCTGGTTGTGTTTCCCCAACTTGAATTGCTATGATACGGTGGAAATAGATATGTTGATAACTCTACAGGTAAGTTGGGTCTCAAATTCCTAAAAGTGGAATAGGCAGGGTGTGTCCATGCATTGTCTGAAGAAGGGAACTGGACTTCTGGGTACTTGCCTGTCCCCAGAGGGTAGCCTTAGGGTGCTGGAGATTAAGCGAAATCAGAAGAGAAAACATTAGAGCAAGGTACCGTGCAAGGTGTTACTCTATAGTCATTGGAGGAGGAGAACTAAAAGCATTTTGTGAGAGTAAAGTTTCCACTTACTGATCCCTTTCCCCATAAGTTTTAAACAAGGCTTAACATTTTTTAACTGTGTTTGCTACCAAAATTCCCATACTTCCTTTGATCCATTCAGCAGGCATCCTAATGGATTCATGATCATAATTATAAAAATAAATGATCACACTGCAAATAGCCGCCAGCCCTGTGAAGGAGGAAAATGTTATTTGCCTCTTCACCAAATGGTTCCATTCTATTGTAGTTTTTTGAGTTCTTGTATCTGTCTGGTACTCACAATCCACTATATTAAGTTACTCCAGATGGGAAAACCAGATGACTGAGTTTATTTGAATTATGTCTAAATCCATGAGCATTAAATAGGTTCTTAGAGAAAGCCCTCTTCATGGATTTTGTACATAGACTTGTGACATCAATTCTGAATGTTTTGATTTTTTTTTTTTTCTTGCCACACTCCATATTATACAGGTTGTTGAGAAATTGCTTCCAGATGACTAGGGTACACTTAGAGTGTGTACATTTTGTAAACCAAAAAGTGTCTGAGACAAGTCGCAATCAGTTTGGGAGTTTATTTTCCAAGGTTACGGACCTGTGCATGAAACAGCCTCAGGAGGTCCAGAGGACATGCGCCCAAGGTGGTCAGGCTACAGCTTGGTTTTATACATTTTAGGGAGACATAAGACATCAATCCATACATGTAAGAGGTACATTGGTTCAGTCCAGAAAGATGGGACAGCTGGAAACAGGGACTGGGGAGTGTGTGGGGTGACTTCCAGGTCTTAGGTGGATTCAAAGACTGGCAATTGGTTATTATCTAAAGACCTGAAATCAATGTCTAAATTACAATAAAGGTTTGTGGACACCAAGGTTTTATCATGCAGATAAAGCCTCTAGATAGCAGGCTTCAGAGAGAATAGATGGTAAGTGTTTCTTACCAGATTTAAAGAGTCTCTTCTGGCTGGGCGCAATGGCTCACACCTGTAATCCCGACACTTTGAGAGGCCAAGGCGGGAAGATCACTTGAGCTCAGGAGTTAGAGACCAGCCTGAGCAACATGGTGAAACCCCATCTCTACAGAAAATACCAAAAAAAAAAAAAAAAAAAAAAAAAAAGCCAGGCATAGTGGTGTGCACCTGTGGTCCCAGCTAGTTGGGAAGCTGAGGTAGGAGGATCACTTGAGCCTGGGAGGCAGAAGTTGCAGTGACCTGAGATCATGCCACTGCACCTGGGTAACAGAGAGAGACCTTGTCTCAAAAAAAAAAAAAAAAAAAAAAAAAGGAAAGAAAAAAAAAAGAATTCGTTCTATCAGTCTTAAGATCTGTCTTCATGTTAATGTTGGCATGTCTGACTTCCCCTTCCCACCACAGCCTGAACTAGCTTTTCAGGTCACCTTTGGAATGCCCTTGACCAAGAGGAGGGGCCCATTCAGATGGTTAGGGGGCTTAGAATTGTATTTTTGGCTTACAATATCCAGAAATATATTAGTGACTACATTTAAAAGAGTCCCCCATAACCATCAGTAGAAATATTTGGTGGAGGTACTTTACAACAAAATTTTTAGTTATGGATGTTTCTAAAGAGAAGGAATTTAGGAATGTGGTTATAAGGAATTGGCTTCATTCACAGGTTATTCAAATACTGCAAATTTTATCACCAATTAGCTATGTGACTTGGTTTCCTTACCTATAACATGGAGAGGGCTGGGTTATCTGACCCACTGTCCCTAAGCCCCTTTCTGGATTCCACATGTCTAGTCTTTAAAAAAAAATTGTAGAAAGAGAGTCTTACTATGTTGCCCAAGCTGGTCTCGAACTCCTGGGCTCAAGAGATCCTCCCACCTTGACCTCCCAAAGTGCTGGGATTACAGGTGTGAGCCACTGCACCTGGCCCCTGACATGTCTAGTTTTAATTCTCTATTTTCTCCAACACACTTAGAATTTACAGTGATGGCAATCTTGATATTCTCCCAGGCAACTTTCTAATAGAAGTTATTACTTATCTTCAGCTTCACTTTATTATAATTTGCATTTTAAATTTTTTTAAGACTGTTAAGATTGCCATAA
Organism: Homo sapiens; assembly: GCF_000001405.40. Classification (NCBI taxonomy): domain Eukaryota; kingdom Metazoa; phylum Chordata; class Mammalia; order Primates; family Hominidae; genus Homo; species Homo sapiens. The sequence goes on from NC_000016.10 coordinate 19,261,315, forward strand.
CTTTACCAAGTGATTTGCAATTTACACTGCCTGCTAATTAACTCAGATGGCCATGGCAGGAACTGCCTCCCATCAGAAAGGCTGAATCACTCAAGCGCTCCCACCTTTCAAGGGCCAAGTGATTCACCAGCCAAGTTACTTTACAAATTGGGATGAGGAGCATAGGATATTAGACTTCCTTTTAGTTTTCATCCTTTCTGGTGATTTAGTTGTGGATTCTCTAACAGTGACTTATTTTTCCTTTGTTTTCTTTCCAAAATAATATGTACTTTCTGTAAGAAGTTCAAACTGTACATACTTATTGATACAGAAAGTGGACATTTTCCTCTGTTTCCCCCTTCCCAGAGAGAGCCACTCTGAACAGTGGTGAACATCCATATTGTTTTCTTCAGGTATATTAACATTCTTTTTAACAAAAAGATTGTGCTTACATATACTGTTTTGTAATGTGCTTTTGTCTCCTAGCAATATGTGTTGGAGATTTTTCCATTTCATATAGATAAGTCTGTCTCATTTTTAATGGCAACATGGATTTCCGTGGTATTATTATCTCAGAAGTTATTTAATTCATTTCCTCCAGTCTTATTCTAGGTACCTCCCAAAGACAAACTTAGTGACATGAGCTCAAGTAGGCTACTAGGAGGTGACCTCAGGAAGCTTGAATAAGGGAATGGCAAATAAGACAGGAAAAGGAGGAAAACAAATCAAGGATGTTTGGCGAGTGGATATCTGCAGTATAGGGGGTCTTCAAAATCACCCTCAGGTCCAATGATTCACCACAGAACTTGGAAAAACTGTTATTCTCATGGTTACAGTTTATTACAGAAAAAGCATACAGACCAAAATCAGCAAAGTGAAAGATTGCTGCTATGGTCTGAATGTTTTGTTCCCCCAAAATTCTTATGTTGAATCCTAATCCCCATGTGGGAGGTGATTAGACCATGAAGGCTCTGTCCTCATGAATGGGGTTGGTGCCCTTATAACAGAAACCCAAGAGAACTGTCTTGCTGCTTCTATTGCATGAGAAGGCACCACCTATGAAGGAGAGCAAGCCCTCACCAGACACTGAATCTGCTGGTACCTTGATCTGGGACTTCCTAGCTTCTGGAACCATTAGGAAATAAATTCCTGTTGTTTATAAGCCTCCCTGTTTATGGTAATTTGTTATAGCAGCCCAGCAGACTAAGAAAGGGGAAAGAGTCCTCTTTGTCATAGGAAAAAGTCCAAGAGAGACCAGATGCAAGCTTCCAGTTGTTCTCCTCAACTGGAGTTATACGAGCAGTGCCTAATTCTCCTTGCAAGGATGTGTGACAACACACTTAGGGTATTGCCACCCAAGAAGACTCACCTGAGCCTTGGTGTCCAGCATAGTTAGAGGACGTTGGTCATATAGTCATGGCTGACCATCTGGGTAGCTGAGCCTCCTTGCAGAGGTAGCTTGCAGAGGTCCAGCTAATGTTGAGTGGCCCAAGGTCCTCACCATAAATCACAGTTAGCACAGACAAGCTGGCATGGCTCAGGCAGGAAGCTGCAGGTGCTTGAGGAAGGACACTATCTATAGAAACCATGAGTAGCCTCCAAGGTGGGCTGAGGGGTAGGCAGGGCACCAACAGCCCCAGCTACACTCCCTCAGGGACAGTCTTGCCATTTCCCGTTTTTCATTCTTATAAACAATGCCCTGGTGCAGGGGTCAGCAAACTTTTCTATAAGGAGTCAGATAATCTTTTTTTTTTTTTTGTATTCCCTTTTGGCAATTTGTTTAATTGAGATAAAATTCACATAACTTAAAACTCACCCTTTTGGTGTATACGATTCAGTGCTTTTTAGTATATTTTCAAGATTGTGCAACCAACACCACTATCTAATTCCAGAACATTTTTATCACCCCAAAAAGGAGCCCTGTGCCAATTAGCTATCACACCCCATTCCCTCTTTCCTCTATCCTTGATAACCACTAATGGTAATTTCTGTCTCTAAAGATCTGCCTATTCTGGACATTTCATATAAATGGATCATAATATATGACCTTAAAAACTTGGTACATAGGCCAGCCATGGTGACTTATGCCTGTAATCCCAGCATTTTGGAAGGCCGAGGTGGGCAGATCACCTGAGGTCAGGAGTTCAAGACCAGCCTGCCCAATGTGGCAAAACCCTGTCTCTACTAAAAATACAAAAATTAGCCAGGCATGGTGGTGGGCACCTGTACCCAGCTACTTGGGAGTCTGAGGCAGGAGAATCACTTGAGCCCGGGAGGCAGAGGTTGCAGTGAGCCGAGATCACGCCACTGCATCCCAGCCTGGGTGACAACAGTGAAATTACAACTCAAAAAAAAAAAAAAAAAAGAAAAGAAAAAAAAAACTTGGACATAAATGTTTACAGTAGCATTATCCATAATAATAGTCAAAATGTGGAAACAACCCAAATGTCCATCATCTGATGAACAGATAAGCAAAACATGGCATATCCATACAATGGAACGTTAGCTGGCCATAAAAAGTAGCACTACAACATGGATGAACCAGACAGATAGCAGATATGTGAGGCTTTGAGAGCCACATGGCCTCCAAATTATTCAGCTGCTGTGGTCTGAATAGTTGTCCCCCACCCTGCCAAATTTGTATGTTGAATTCCTAACCCACAAAGTGATGGCATTAGGAGGCGGGACCTTTGGGAGATGATTAGGTCATGAAGGTTGGAGCCCTCATAATTGGGATTAGTGCCCTTATAGAAGATGCCCCAGAGAACTAGCCTGTCCCTTCCACCATGTGGGGACTCAGTGAGAAGATACCACCTATGAGGAAGCAGCTTCTCACCAGACACCGAATTTGCCAGTGGCTTGATCTTGAACTTCCCAGCCTCCAGAACTGTGAGCAATAAGTTTTTGTTGTTTATAAGCCACCCAGTTTATGGCATTTTGTTACAGCGGCCTGAATGGACTAAGACATCAACTCTGCCCTTTTTGCACAAAAGCAGCATTATGTAAACAAATGGGTTTGACTGTGTTCCAATAAAACTTTATTTACAAAAACAGGTAGTAGTCCATATTTGACTGGGAGGCTCTAGTTTGCCCATTCCTGCTATATAAAATATCCTTGTATGTGTATTTTTGTCCATTTGTGCAGAAAATTCTATGGGATCAATTCCTAGAAGTGAAATTGCTGAGTCATGAGTTATGACATATTTATTTTGAACAGATGCTGTGAACCACCCCAAAATTTGAACCAACTTGCTTTTCCACCAGCGGCACATGAGAGTACGTGAGACTGAGATTTCCCCCACCTTTTTTTTTTTTTGAGACAAGCAAGGTCACTTTGCTACCCAGGCTAGAGCCAGTGCAGTGGCACCATCACTGCAGCCTTGACTTCCCTGGACTCAGGTGATCCTCCCACCTCAGCCTCCTGAGTAGCTGGGACTACAGGCACACACCACTATGTCTGGCTGATTTTTTGTATTTTTTAGTAAAGGCAGGGTTTTTCCATGTTGCCCAGACTAGTCTCAGACTCCTGGGCTCAAGCGATCCACCTGCCTCAGCCTCCCAAAGTGCTGGGATTACAGATGCGAGCCACCGTGCCCAGTCAGAATTTCCTTTCTTAAAGCCCTTTCACAAAGAAGTAGAACCCATACCCATTTAGAAGGGAAGTTTCTGCATTGTCATTCTTGAGCTTTGGAGAGGAAGAAGAAGATAGAACATTTTGCCCCCAAAGAAGAAAACTAAATGGGGCCTGAAGTGGTCTCATAATAGTATCTTATTTTAGATTTGAGGCTCACAGGGAAGGGGACTCTGGTAACTTGTCCTCATTTGGTGAGATCAAACCTTACACTGCCCACTAAGTGTCATTCCTAAAAGCCTTGAGTGTTACCTGTTCAATTATTTTTTCAAATGCAGAGAGCTCCTTAGCAATTTCATTTATTAAGCAAAGCTTCCATTCCTATTATTTCTCTTTGTAAGTAATTTGCATGTAAATGAGGTCCACCTATGCATACTGAGCATGTTACCAAATGTACAAAAAATATACATGGTCCAATTTTTCTCCACAGAGCTGACAGGTACCCATCCCTCTTGCTGAAGATGACATAGTATTTCACGTAGCCTAGTTTTCCCTAAGTCTTTTTGGCTTTTGGACGATGGATGGAGTTTTTGTTTTTATTTTTCCATTTTTCTTTTTTCTCCCTCATTTTCATCATTTGGAATTCGTGGTGTGAAACCCACAGGGGAGAACAGAGGCTCATTAGCATTCAAGCTCTGTTTTTGGCAGCATATTTTAGTTGCTTTATATGATATTCAGCATCCCTCCTGGGATCTAGCCTGCCTTTGCTCGGCTCACGCTGGGTGAATCTGTGATATTTCCCATTCTGTAGCCCTTCATTTATAACACAGGCATAGCCTGCTTTCCCATTAGTGAGATGGCATGCCTGGACTACCCACACACAGATCAAGAATTAGGCGGAACTTGGCCGGGAAGATAAATCAAGTTAACCGTCTCATTAGGCTTGAAAGACACAAATTAAGCTGAAGTTGGGATTAACAGAGAAGCCTTTCAAAGAGACATGCAGCACAACAAGGGGTGGAAGAAGTTGCCGTAGCCATTACTCTCAGAAAATTTCCAGCATTTGATGGAACAGAGGAAACATGAAGTCTCTTTTATAAAAGGTCAACAGACAGAAATTTAGGCTCAAAATAGCAGTATAACATTTGTTGAGCTCTTACCACCTGCTTGGCACTGTGTGCTGAGAGCTTTACACACATTATTTCATAGAAATTGCACATTGACCTATGAGAGAAGCACTACTAAAATTCCTGTTTAACTAATAAAGAAACTGAGGCTCAGAGAGGTTACTTCGCCTGCCTCAGAGACACAGAGCTTGGTCAAATGATAGAGCCAGGATTCACTCCCAGGATATTTGGTCCCATGGCCCATGGCTTAACCTAGTGGTTCCCGTTTGGGATGCATTGGCCTCCGCAGGGGCCATTTGGCCATGTCCGAAGACATTTGGGGTTGTCACAGCTGTAGAGAGAGCTGCTACCAGCTTCTAGTACGTAGGTACCCGGGATGCTGCTAAACTTCCTACAGTCCACAGGACAGTTACGGCAAAGGATTATCCCGCCCATAATGTCAACAGTTCCATGATTGAGAAACCCTGGTTTAATCGCTCAACTGGACTACATTGACAGGCTCACTGTTCCACTAGAACTATCCACTTACAGAGCTCTATATGCAGTGTGGTGATGCCGTGGGACATACGTTTAAGGCTGCATATTGCAGGCGGTGCAGCTGTCTGGCAGAAGGAACAGCCAATGCCAAGGCTGAGAGGTAAGAATCTGGCTGGCATGGGATGGCAGGAAACCAGGTGCAGCTGTTGCAGAGACTCACAGGAGGATGAGATGAGGGAGTTGGACTTCTCACCAAGAAAAGGAAAAAGACAGCGTGCCCTAAACGATGACCCCCATGTTTGCAGTTGACAAATGTGTAGACTAATGGCCTCTTGTCTTCTCCCTGCCTTCCTGTTCTGTTCCCCTCCTTCCTCTTGCCTCCCTCCTGCCCTCAACCCTCTGGCTCCCTAGTTTTCGGCCACAACATGAAGAGCAGCAATGACTTCATCGGGAGGATCGTCATTGGCCAGTACTCTTCAGGCCCCTCTGAGACCAACCACTGGAGGCGCATGCTCAACACGCACCGCACAGCCGTGGAGCAGTGGCATAGCCTGAGGTCCCGAGCTGAGTGTGACCGCGTGTCTCCTGCCTCCCTGGAGGTGACCTGAGGGCTGCAGGGAAGGCAGCTTTCATTTGTTTAAAAAAAAAAAAAAAAGACGGAAAAAAATGTGTCACATACTATTACATCCACACCTGCATACACACTCGCAACATGTCTACACACGTCCACACACACAGACACACAGATACCCCAAATCCTCTCAGAACTGAGAGGAAGCTGACTATTGATCACAAAATGGCCGCCCTCAGTTGAGTGAGGCCTAGGAACTTTCCGGAAGCCCCATCCATAGATCACAAGCTCAGTGGGCTCTGCCGTGGGACTTATTGGCAGTGCCTGCTCTTGTCAATACTCCTGCCCCAAAATGCACTTTCAACCCTCAGGCCAGAGAAAGGACCTCCCAAAGGGTGCCAAGCTCCATCAAGACTAAATTTACCAAGAGTTTGGCCAGTGTGTGGGAGACTTGAACACCCCCCACTTCCGAAACACACACCTACTGGGTAACTTCTGAACAGGCTGCTGTTCCCTGGGGTTCTTCAAACCTGATACCTTTCTCCAAAGGTGTAAGTATCTTTGTCTTCTCCGTAGTAAATGTGATAACTAGATTATGGGCCATTTGGAGAAACCAAATGGCAACCAAAACTATTCCAGTGTCAGAAGCCTTTCCTGGCTTAACAGAATTGTTCTTGTGTTAGCTCATCCCAGGGAACGCCCTGTGGGTATGTATGTGTATGTCCTCGTGCATGTGCCCTCACAGGCGAACACGTGTGTGCCTATGTGTCCTCTTGGAGAGCATGGCGATGGGCCAGGACCTCAGCCCTGAGCACTGCCTTCTCTCTGCCTCTCCTGTCCAGTGAGAGTCCAACCAGTGTCCTCCTGTCTGTCAGAGATCCCACTTTGGATAAAAGTAGTGTGTGTGTGTGTGTGTGTGTGTGTGTGTGTGTGTAAAGTAAATAGGATATGATAGAGCAAAAGTAACATTTTTTGACCGAATCATGGTGATTGTGACCCACGAAAGACATACAAAGACTTGATATATGGATTAAAATGGCTATCACACCCCATCCATGATGATCTTCTTCCTTAATCATACTCTGAGGATCTTTCTGTGTTTTTCTGTGAACGAATGTCACGTCTCTCGTGCTAAGGAATTAGTGTAGTTAGAATAGATCTCTCTCTCTCTCTCTTTCTCTCTCTCTCTTTCCTCTCTCTCTGTTGGATGCTTCTGTATCTTTTTCCACAGCATAATGTCTGGTGTGATGGGGAGCTATTTATTGAAATTAAAGATTATTTATTTGTGCCATGCATTCGAGTTATCTTTTTCTTCATGAACACAGGACATAGAAGGTGGGAGGGCATTGCAGCTAGTACTGCTGTGTAACAAACCATACTGAACAAGTCAAAACAATGATTTTTTTTTTTTTGAGACAAAGTCTCACTCTGTTGTCCAGGCTGGAGGGTAGTGGTGCAGTCTCTGCTCACTGCAACCTCTGCCTCCTGCATTCAAGCAATTCTCCTGCCTCAGCCTCCCGAGTGGCTGGGATTACAGGTGTGCACCACCACCCCTGGCTAATTTTTGTATTTTTAGTAGAGACAGAGTTTCACCATGTTGGCCAGGCTGGAATTGAACTCCTGGCCTCAAGTGATCCACCTGCCTCAGCCTCAGCCTCCCAAAGTGCTGGAATTACAGGCATGAGCCACTGCACCCAGCTTCAAAACAATGATATTTATTATACTGATAGATTTTGGGGGTCAAGAATGTTGAGTATTTGCAATATGTCTGTCTGACTTGAGCAGTGTACTAATGCCAATTATTCCAGTGTTGCTCTTCTATATAAAACTTTTCACTTCCTCAGGGCAAGATTCACGGCTTATTTAGCATTTTGTTGGCCAAGCCCTGCTAAGGGCATGACCCAGGTAACTGCTCCATGGGCTAAAATGGCTTCACCCCTCAGGCTACATTGGGTATTGCAGAGAGAACCTCATGGTGTCTCCCATTCTGGAGTGGAAGTGTTGTGGAGGTCAAGGGGGAGAAACAGGGAGGCTGGGTTAGGTTGATGTATTCATCCATTTTGCATTGCTGTAAAGGAGTACCTGAAACTGGGTAACTTATAAAGAGGTTTATTTGGCTCATGGTTCTGCAGGCTATACAGGAAGCACAGTGCTGGCATCTGTGTGGCTTCTGTTGAGGCCTCAGGAAGCTTACAATCATGGTAGAGGGCAAAGGGTGAACAGGCGTGTCACATGGCAAGAGAGGAAGTGAGAGAGGAAGAGAAGGAGGTGCCAGGCTCATTTAAACAACCAGCTCTAATAGAGTGAGAACTCACTCATCACCAAGCCGTTCATGAGGGATCCACCCCCATTACCCAAATACCTTCCACCAGGCCCCACCTCCAACATTGGAGATCACATTTCAACATGAGATCTGGAGGGGGAAACAACATCCAAACCATATCAGTTAAGTTCTCAGAAAAGGAGAAGTGTTTTCCTTCTCTATGAAATGGCTTCATTACTGTGGTTTACAGTAGAAGATAAAAGCATAAAAGAACAAACAAAATGAGTGAAGACAGGTACGTAATAAGCACTTAGAACTAGAGGTGGAGTCATTGGTGATGAGGCCCAAGGGCTTTGGGCCCAAGAAACCATAGTTCAAATCCCAGGACCACCACTCCTTAACTGTGTACTGGGGCACAAACCACGTAAGTCTTCTAAGCCTCAATTTCCTCGTTGTCTTAGGGTGCCTCAAAAACAGACCTTGACATGAGGACTTGGGTGCAGACGACCCCAGAAAGCATAAGTGAAGAATAAGGGGAAGGAGAAAAGCAAAAGTCTTCATGAATTAGTACTGTGAGCTCAGTCATACTGAGGACCCCTGTAGAAAACACTAAAGAATTATCATTATGCAGAAGCTGGAGTATTTAATTACTGACGCTTGTCCCTCCTCATGGCTTGAGGGCTGCCCTGAAAGCATTAAATGTTTGGCACTTCAGAATTGTCCAGTGTGGTCTGTATAAGCTCCCATAACACCAGAGAAATCTCTGGGCAGAGGAAGAGGCACATGTGCTTGATGAGGTCAGCTGTGTATGTGCACAACACAGCTCCCTATAGCCACAGGGGAGCCAGGTGGACTGAGGGATATGAGGCAGGGCATCCCCAGCATTAGACACCTTCATTAGTAATAACAAGAGGGCTGACTAGCACCACACGAGGTGCCAAACATCACATTTAAGCCTCATGCAGCAACCTTCAGGGGTGTAGAAGAGATGTTAATCTCCTTTTACAAATGGGGAGGCCAAGATTTTTTTTTTTTTTTTTTTTGAGGCAAAAAATTGCTCCGTCTCCCAGGTTGGAGTGCAGTGGTGGTATCACGGCTCACAGCACTGGGCTCAAGCAATCCTCCCACCTCAGCCCCCCAAGTAGCTGGGATCATAGGCCTGGCTAACTTCTTAATTTTTTTGTAGCGATGAGCTCTCATTATATTGTACAGGCTGGCCTTGAATTGCTGGGCTCAAGTGATCCTTCTGCCTCGGCCTCCCATAAGTGCTGAAATTACAGGCATGAGCCACTGCGCCCAGCTGGAAGTCAAGATTTAATAAGTTTAAGTGTCAGGTAACTGCAATAGAGATAAAAAGCCAGCCCAGGCCCAGCTGCCTACCCTGTTATGGGTTGGTGATTTGCTGGAGTCCTAACCTGAGACTGTGGCCTTATTTGGAGAGAGGGTCTTTACAAAGGTGATCAGGTTGAAGTGAGGTCATGAGGTGAGCCCTCATCTGATATGACTGGAGTCCTTATAAGAAGAGGAAATTTGGCCAGGCACAATGGCTCATGCCTGTAATCCCAGCATTTTGGGAGGCCAAGGCAGGAAGATCACTTGAGGTCAGGAGTTCGAGACCAGCCTGGCCAACATGGTGAAACCCAACTTTACTAAAAATACAAAAAATTATCCAGGCATGGTGGCACATGCTAGTAATCCCAGCTATTTGGGAGGCTGAGGCAGGAGAATCACTTGAACCCAGGAGGCAAATGTTGCAGTGAGCTGAGATCGTGACAGCCTGGGTAACAGAGTGAGACTCCGTCTCAAAAAATAGAAAGAAAAAAGGAGGAAATTTGAATGCAGAGACAGACACAGAGGGAAGAAGATGTGAAGAGACAGGGAGAAGAAAGCCATCTACAAGCCAAGGAGAGAGGACTGGAACAAATCTCTCATAACCCTCAGAAGGAACCAACCCTGTTGACACCTCAATCTCAGACTTCCAGCCTCCAGAACTGTGAGACAATGAATTTCTGTTGTTTAAGCCCCAGTCTGTGGCACTTTATTAAGGCAGCCCTAGCAAACTAAGTCAGAGCCAGTGTAGCTAAACACTCCACTGGGCTGTGTCATCTAAAAATAGGATGACAATTCTTTTTTTTTAAATTTTGAGACAGGATCTCACTATGTTACCCAATCTGGTCTCGAACTCCTGGGCTCAATCAATCCTCCTGCCTCAGCTCCCCGAGTAGCTGGAACTACAGGCACACACCACCATGTCCGGAAATAGGGTGACAGTTGTTACCCCTTAGGGTTGATTAGCTGGGAAAATGCCTGCAGAGAGTTTGTTTGTTTAGTTGTGTTGTTGTTTTGTTGTTGTTGTTGTTGTTTTGCCTGCAAAGTTTTACCATAACCCTTGGCACACTGCGTGATGGTGATGAGTGCTAGCACACATCAGGCAGTGTTTGCTGGATGATCAGAGGTAACAGTGGTGGACAGATCAGAGCCTTTCACATCTCCAGGAACAGAGCTCGTCAGGAGACGAGAGGGATGTGTTGAAAGGTGAAGGAAGGACTGAGTTTCTGTAGAAACCTGTGCCCAAGGTGCCCTGTTGTGGGCTGCCCACTCGTTTAAATTGGCATCCTCCTCCTCTTCAGGTAGGAGGTGGGAAAGGAGATACACAGGCCACTTAAACACCCTCTTTGGAATGGGAACTTGAGTTCAAAGGAAAAAAGCTGGGTTGGGGATTTTTAAACCCGCTTCTACTTTCCCAGGACCATCCAAGAGTCCGCTCATCTTCTTGGGTGAAGCAACATCCCCCTTTCCCTCCTTGGCAGTGACTCGGAGCTCACGGCTGACTCCAGGGCATCCCAGGATTCCAGCCCACACCTTGGACTTGCAGAAGCTAATGACCCCTGCCCAGCTCTGCTCACATAGGATGGGTCCCAGGGCGTCAGGAATAGCTATTTCCTGGGTACTGATATTTCACTCCCAGAAAGCTGGGAATCACTGCAAGAAAATTCCTTTCCTTTCCTTTCTGGGTGGACTGTCATCCACTGGCAGTGGGATATCTGCCCTTTTTATGATCAAAAATACCATTTAAAAATAACTCTGGGATGTTTGTAGGTAAAAACTGAAAACTTAGGCCTAGAAAAAAGACTGGATGGCAGTGCCCTACAGGTTGGCAGCAGTGGTCCTTTGGGTCATTCTTTTACTACCTAACTGTATTAGTCAGGGCTGTCGGAGAGACAGTACCAGTAGGAAATATGGAAGGGGATTTAATTAGGGGGGATTGGCTCACATGATCACAGAGGCAGAGAAATCTCAGGATAGGCCAACTGCAAGCTGGAGAACTGGAGAACTGGGAGCGTGGCTCAAAGCTGGGAGTGTGGCTCAGTCCAAATCCAAAGCCTCATAACCAGGGAAACCAACAGTGCAGTCCCCAGTTAGACCCAAGAGGCCCCTGAAGGATGCTGGTGCAAGTCCCGGAGTCCAAAAACCGAAGAACCTGGAGTCTAATGTTCCTTTAAAGGCAAAAAGAGGGAAAGTGTCCCACTCTGGAAAGGAGAGAGAGATCAAAAAGGGCCAATCCCCTTTCTGCCCTTTTGTTCCAGCCAGACCACCAGCCAACTGGATGGCATCCACCACACTGAAGGTGTCTCCCTCTCTCAGACCACTGACTCACACATCAATCTCCTCTGTAAACGACCCCCCCAAGACATGCCCAGAAACAAGGCTTCCCCAGCTGTCTAGGAATCCTCAATCCAGTCAAGATGACACCTAAAATTAACCATCATAAGCCTACCCCTTGTCAACCTGGTACTCCTGCATGTCTCCTTAAACCATACTTAATCTCCACATAAAGACAATTACAAGGTCATAATTCCACATGACATGATACAGCTATCCAAAGTACAACCAAAAATGTGTGAACCCCGTCCCCAGAAGAGGAGGTAAAGTTCTTGAGTGATGTTTACTCTTCTCCTAATATTCCATAACTGAAATACCAGGATGTAAAATTAACAATGCTTAAATGCTGATATAAAGTTAATAAATCTAGCTGGGTGTGGTGGCTCACGCCTGTGATCCCAGCACTTTGGGAGGCTGAGGTGGGCTGATCACTTGAGGCCAGGAGTTCGAGACCAGCCCGGCCAACATAGCGAAGCCCTGTCTCTATTAAAAAATACAAAAGTTAGCCAGGCATGGTGGCGCATCCCTGTAGTCCCAGCTACTTGGAGGCTAAGGCAGGAGAATTGCTTGAACCCGGGAGGTGGAGGTTGCAATGGGCCGAGATGGTGCCACTGTGCTCCAGCCTGGGCAACAGAGCGAGACTCTGTCTCAAAAATAAATAGATAAAAATAAAGTTGATAAATCTTATGTTACATGATAAAAGAATAAGGCAGAAGAGAAAACAAAGATATTTGCTTAATATATGTATATATATGCACAAGGGATTGAGAGATGCCCTGTATATATAATGGTTTCTTAACCAAGTAGGGAGAAAAAGGCTCATATAATTATAATCATCATTTCTGTAACTGGTGCAGGTCATAGTTGATTGTTCATAACTACCTTCTACTACCCAATCTGTATTCCCTTTGCTTTCAGCAAACACCTCAGCTGGTCATGATTTTTTTGTTTTTGTTTTTGTTTTGTTTTTATAGAGACAGGGTCTCCCTGTGTTGCCCAGGCTGGTCTTGAACTCCTAGACTCAAGCAATCCTTCCACCTCAGCCTCCCAAAGTGCTGGGTTATAGGTGTGAGCCACTGCTCTCAGCCTGCTCATGGTTTTTAATGGAGCAGGGTGACCCAAACTTTCATTTCTGAAGGGTCTGGGCCATTCATAGTTCTGCCTAGATTGGGTTATTGTAGTTTCCCATCATCCTTGATTCCAAGGCATTAACAAGACACTCTATGGGATCCTCCTGTGTGCCAGACATATTTTTCCTTTTCTCCATTGTAGAGTAGTATCCAGTTTCCCCTTGGTAGTCCAGATCAATCACCCTACCCAACACCATAACTCCCTTCTTAGCCTGTAGACTCAGAGGCATGAGCAGCCCAAAGTGGCCAGGTGCCAGTCTTAACTTTCAGGTCAATAGAATCACTATTGTGTTTCCTGGTAGAAGCATTCTTCCCTCTGCAACTAAGATCTCTAGGGCAGCAGAACATAATGTCATGGAACAGGAAGCAAAACAAACAAACAAAAAACTGCTAGTGGGTCAGTAGGAGTAATAGTGAGTGGAGCTACTCCTATGCTCACTCCTTGATTCCTGGACCCGTGAATACTAGCTACCAGAGAAACAACACCATATCTGATTCAGAGTATATACAGCCTTCTGGAGAACCTTGCCCCACCCCTATAAAGTATTGTTAACTAGCTGGCTGTGATTTCAAAAGACCATTCCACTGTTCCATCAAGCCAGCTGCTTCAGGATGGTAGAGAAGATGGTAAGATCAGTGAATTCCATGAGCATGAGCCCACTGCCACACTTCTTTGGGTGTAAAGTGAGTTCCTTGGTCAGAAGCAATGTTGTGTGGAATACCATGATGGTGGACAAAGCATTCTGTAAGTCCATGCATGGTAGTTTTGTCAGAAGCATTGCGTGGAAGGAAGGCAAATCCATATTCAGAGTCAGTGTCTATTCCAATAAGGACAAAATGCTGCCTCTTCGATGATGGAAGTGGTCCAATATAATCAAACTGCCACAAGGTAGTTAGCTGATCACCCCAAGGAATGATGCCATATTGGGTGCTCAGTGCTGGGTTCTGCTGCTGGCTGATTGAGGACTCAGCAGTGGCCACTGTAGCCAGGTCAGCCTTGGTGAGTGGAAGTCCATGTTGCTGAATCCATGTATAACCTCCATCCCTGCCACCATGGCCACTTTGTTCATGAGCCCATTGGGCAACGATGGGGTGGCTGGGGAAAGAGGCTGCCTGGTATTCACAGAACAGGTCATCCTATTGACGTGATTATTAAAATCCTCCTCTGCTGAGGCCACCCTTTGGTAAGTATTCAGCTGGGACACAAATACTCTCACATTTTTTGCCCACTCGGAGAGGTCTGTTCACATACCTCATTCCTAAATTTATTTGTTACCAATTTTCCAGTCATGTTCCTTCCAAGTTCCTGACTATTCAGCCAAACCATTGGCTATAGCCCATGAATAATATATAGTCCCATGTCTGGCCACTTCTCCTTCCAAGCAAAGTGCACAACCAGGTGCACTGCCCAAGGTTGTGCCAATTGAGAAGATGTCCCTTCACCGTTATCCATCAGAAATGTCCCAGAAACTGACTGTACTGCTGCAGCTGTCCACTTCTGGGTGATGCCTGCATATTATGCAGAAATATCTGTAAACCAGACCCCAATCTTCTCTTTTCTTGTCATCTGATCATAGGGTACTCCCCATGAGCCCAAAGGTGCAGGCTGGGAGAGAGAAGATAGTGTAGCAGGAGTGGGGAGCATGGGCATCTGGTCCACTTCTTCTTGTAAGGTACTTGTGCCTTCAGGACCTGCTCAGGCCTGGTCACATACCAGATCACATACATACCTGGTCATACCTGGTCACAAACATACCACTTCCATTTGATGAAGGAGTGCTGCTGTGCATGTCCAACTTTATGGTTTGGTGGATCAGATAACACCTAATTCATGATGGGCAGCTCTAGTGGCATGAGAGCTTGGTGACCCATAGTCAAGCGTTCAGTTTCTACTAAGGCCAAGTATCACGCCAAGAGCCATCTCTCAACAGGAGAGGAGTTATCTGCGGATGATGCACGGCCTTGCTCCAAACTCCAAACAGCATCCCCATCTGCCACTGACACCTTAGGCACCACTAGATCTGCTGGATCATAAGACCCAAGTGGCAGAGCAGCTTTAACAGGAGTCTGGACCTGTTACCAAGCCTTCTCCTGTTTTGAGCCCCACTTAGAACCAATGGCTTTTTGGGTCACTCAGTGAATGGGCCAGAGTAACACAACCAAATGAGGAATGTGTTGCCTCCAAAATCCAAATAGGCCCACAAGGCATCATGCCTATTTCTTGGTTGTAGAAAAGGCCAAATGCAACAATTTATCCTTTACCTTAGAAGAAGTATCTCAACAGGCCCCTCACCACAGGATTCCTAGAAATTTCACTGATGTAGAAGTTCCTTGAATTTTAGTTGAATTTATATTCCACCCACTGTCATACAAATATCTTACCAATAAGTTCAGAGTGGTCGCTACTTCTCACTATGTCCAATCAGCATAAT
Source organism: Homo sapiens (assembly GCF_000001405.40). NCBI lineage: Eukaryota > Metazoa > Chordata > Mammalia > Primates > Hominidae > Homo > Homo sapiens. Next base: position 19,276,528 of record NC_000016.10, read on the forward strand.
GTCATCAATGTAATGGACCAATGTAATACTTTGTAAAAGGGAAAGGCAGTCAAAATACCTGCAAACAAAATTATGATATAGGGCTGGAGAACTGATGTATCCCTGAGGGAGGACAGTAAAGCTATATTGCTGGCCTTGTCAGCTGAAAGCAAACTACAGTGGATCCTATGGACGGATATGGTAAAAAATGCATTTGCCAGGTCAATAGTTGCATACTAGGTACCAGGAGATGTGTTAATTTGCTCAAGCAATGAAGCCACATCTGGTACAGCAGCTGCAATTGGAGTCACCAGTTGGTTAAGCTTATGATAATCTACTGTCATTCTCCAAGATCCATCTGTCTTCTGCACCAGCCAAATAAGAGAGTTGAATGGAGATGTGTTCTCCATCCAAACTGAACACAGAATGGAGAATCACCACCCCTGTGTCTTTCAAGTCCTTGATGATGGCACTAATCTCTGCAATCTCTCCAGGGATGCAATACTGTTTTTGATTTACTATTTTTCTGTATAGAGGCAGCTCAATGGCTTCCATTTGGCCTTTCCATAATAGTCCTCTCTCCACAAGTTAGGGGGTCCATGTGGGGATTCTGCCAGCTGCTAAGTATGTCTATTTCAATTAAGCATTCTGGAACTAGGGAATGTTTAATAACCATGGGATGGGTTCCAGGACCCACTGGACCCACTGTCAGTTGGACCTGAGCTAAAGCTCCACTAATCACCTGACCTCTGTAAACCAAAAAGTGTGTGAGACAGGTCTCAATCAATTTAGAGGTTTATTTTGCTAAGGTTGAGGATGAGTCTGGAAAAAAGAGACACAAGTTAGAGTGGAATCTAAAGCCTGTGCTTTTTCCCAAGACAATTTTGAGGACTTCAATATTTAAAGGGAAAAGAGGGGGCAGGAGGGGAAGGAGGAAAGAAACAAGGAGGGGGAAGATACACAGTGAAGGGAGTGGTCACATTCTTGTGAGGCTCTGACCAGTGCTCAGTGAATCCACATTTTACATGTGAAAAGGAATGAGTGAGGGGAAAAGTCAATTATGTATTCATTTCACACTCAGTAGATCTACATTTTACATAAGATAAAATAAGCATGTGAAGTTATAGCTATCTGGTTAGGAACAAAAGAAAGGCAGTTTTTGCATTACTCAATTCCCAAGCTTAACTTTTCTCTTTGGCATAGTGAGTTTGGGGTCCTTAGATTTTATTTTTCTTTGACACCTCCAAAAGCCCTTACTTTGACTGGAGGGCCACAGTGCCCTTTTTGGGTCTCCTGGAATCAATGTCAGTTAGAGCCAGTATTGTAGTCCCCAAAGGTCTGATTATTTCCCTTTCCCCAGTGCACAGTTACCTATGGTAAAAGGCCATAGGTCCCTTTGGGGAAGGATGGGGAAAAGATTAACAGCATAAATCTTCAGTAGTGTACCAGGGTCCTTCCTCAGGGAGACTCAGCCTCTGCTTCTTTCAAGGGGTTCTGGGGTCTGTAGGCTAACTCAAGTCTGGAAAATGATTGAGGGACCATGATTCTCTGTTTTTATGATTTAAATTACTTTTGTTCACTTGACCTGAAAGTTTTCTGCTTACACAGATCAAGTAAGAATGTAGTAGACTTCCAGGGCCAGACAAGGTGACACACATCTGTAGTACTAGCTACTTGGGAGGCTGAGGAGGGAGGCTCACTTGAGCCCAGGAGATCAAGGCTGCAGTGAACTGTGATTGTACCACTGCACCCCAGCGTGGATGATAAAACAAGAGCCTGTCTCTTAAAAAAATTTTTTTAATAGCTAAAAAAATTAAAATTTTAAAAATAAAAAGAATTAAACAAATAAAAGAATGTGGTAGGCTTCCCATCTATTTCACTTCTAGGATCACCATGATTAATTAACCAATGCCAACAGGAACACCATGATTAATTAGCCAGTGCCACAGGTCAACAGGAGGCCAACTATTCTGGTTGTTGCTTTGCCTTTGTGATCCATTATGGTAAACACGCCCATCTTGCCTTTGATGGTTAGTGCTGCCACTTGGCTGCTGCCACCCCGGAATCAATTATTCCCATTGCATTTAAGTTTTCCAGTTGAGTGACTGCAGTTCCCACTGTAAGGTCTGGCCTACAGAGAAGAACAATTACAGAGCTCTTCAAGGATGCTAGTGTTCCCCTCACAAATCTATTTCTCAAGCATTAGTCAAAGGCATATTTTCTGGTCCCTCCCAGTGTGAGTGTGTGACAAATCTACTCTATCATCCCAATCTCCCTAAACCTTTAAATCTCTTCTTGCATTAAACCAGGGGAGATCAGGCATCTCCAGCTCCATCATGGTGGGCCATCTTTTGACCCATGTTTCAGCCAACCAGTCAAGGAATCAAACTATTCACATCTTTTCTAACTCCCCAAGCTGCAACAATAATGCAGACTCTCTGCTTAGTGAGCCTATGTTAGTAAATTTGGCCTGATCTAACTTTCTGTTCCTTCCACCATTATCCCACATCCTGAATATCCTTTCCCACACATGTTCTCCAGATTTCTGTGTGTATAAATTAGAAAACTCATGTAGTTCTTTTGGTGTGTAGCGTACCTTCTCATGGGTCACACTTTGTGCCTCACCTTTATGGGCCTGCTGGGATTAGAGACAGGTTATAGGTCTAGAAGTAAAAAGGGGTGGTGGAGCTAGGTCCAGAGGAGAATCAGCATTGTCTTGCCTGGCAACTGCCTTGGAGGAGGCCACTTCTGTTTCCTCAAGCAATGCAGGGCTTAATCCCCCTAGACAAGGGGGATTAACTTATAAAACCTGTAAGTGGTGTAAGACCTATACCACTGCAGACAGGGAGGTCACTTCACTTGGGAAATAAGACTCATCAGAATCTAAGAGCTCAGAGCAGTAAGCTATGATTGTGCCATGGCATTCCAGCCTGAGCAACAGAGCAAGACCCTGTCTCTCTTTTTGAGACGGAGTCTTGCTGGGCCATCCAGGCTGGAGTGCAGTGGTGCCATCTCAGCTTTCTGCAACCTCCGCCTCCCAGGCTCAAGCAATTCTCCTGCCTCAGCCTCCCGAGTTGCTGAGATTACAGGCGCCGGCCACCATGCCTGGCTAATTTTGGTGTTTTTTTTTTTTTTTTTTTTTTTTTTTTTTTTTTGAGACGGAGTCTGGCTCTGTCACCCAGCCTGGAGTGCAGTGGTGCGATCTCGGCTCACTGCAAGCTCCGCCTTTCAGGTTCATGCCATTCTCCTGACTCAGCCTCCCGAGTAGCTGGGATTACAGGCGCTAGCCACCACACACGGCTAATTTCTTGTGTTTTCAGTAGAGATGGGGTTTCACTGTGTTAGCCAGGATGGTCTCCATCTCCTGACCTTGTGATCCACCCACCTTGGCCTTGCAAAGTGCTGGGATTACAGGTGTGAGCCACCTTGCCAGGCCAATTTTTGTATTTTTTAGTAGAGATGGGGTTTCACCATGTTGGCCACGCTGGTCTCAAACTCCTGACCTTCAGTGATCCACCCCGCTCAGCCTCCCAAAGTGCTGGGATTACAGGCGTGAACCACCATGCCCGTCCAAGACCCTGTCTCTTAAAAAAAAAAAAATAGAAGTTCAGTGTCCCAGCCTCCTCAGAATCCTCCCACACATCCCTCCCAACTTACAGGGCCCATTCTTTCCCAATCAATACCCTCACCTTAACGGTAGACACCCTGAGGGGCTGAGTTTACCTTTCATTGTAAGTCAGCCAATTGGAGGATGAGGGCTTGTGTTTGATTTTCAGCACTTTCAACCCTATGACCATACAGGAGAGAAGATTCTGCTTCAGGGCACACTTAGAAGCTTCCAGGCTAATTGTGTGCATCTAGAGCTGAGAAATTGAGTCCCTGTCCTCATTCTTTTCTTTCATCACTTTGTCTACCGATGTTAGGAGCAACTAACCCACATCATTCTATGCCTTGGCTTTCTACAGATGCTCAAAAGTATCATGCACAGGGTCACTAAGTTCCTTGCTTCTTCTTAGCAGTGTACTAGGAGTATCAAGTGCATTTATTTTGTGTATCTCTATTAACAGTTCATGCCATGGACTATCAATGCTCTCCGTACTATGAGAAGTAGAATCTTTAGCATTTTGGGGTTTAATCAGATTACAGAGCCAATTCCAGAAACCCCAAAACCAAGTAAGGAACTTCATTCTTAAAATTGTTTCTCTAAATGGTTGGGCGCAGTGGCATAGGCCTGTAATCCCAGCACTTTGGGAGGCCGAGGCGGGCAGATCATGAGATCGGGAGTTTGAGACCAGCCTGCCCAGCATGGTGAGACCCCCATCTCTACTAAAAATACAAAAAAAAAATCAGCCGGGCATGGTGGCGGGCGCCTGTAGTCCCAGCTACTCGGGAGGCTGCGGCAGGAGAATCGCTTGAACCTGGGAGGCAGAGGTTGCAGTGAGCCGAGATTGCGCCATTGCACTCCAGCCTGGGCAACAGAACAAGACTCCATCTAAAAAAAAAAAAATTGTTTCTCTAGAACTACCTCCTGGTACCAAAATCTGTATTAGGATTCTCCAGAGAGACAGCCAGTAGGATAGATGGAAGGGGATTTATTGAGGAGGAGTTGGCAAACACAGTCACAGAGGTGAAGTCTCAGGATAGGCCAACTACAAGCTAGAAAACCAGAGAAGCTGGAGTGTGGCTCAAAGCTGGGAGTGTGGCTCAGTCCAAGTCCAAAGCCTCATAACCAGGGAAGCCAGCAGAGCAGCCTCCAGTCAGACTCAAGAGACCCCAAAGGCCACTGGTGCAATCCCTAGAATCCTAAAGCTGAACCTGGAATCCAATGTCCAAAGGCAAAAAGAGAAAAAGTGTCCTACTCTGGAAGGAAGAGGGAGAGCAGAGAGATGACCAGTCCCCCTCCTTCTGACCATTTTTTCCAGTTGGCTCCCTGCCAGTTGTTTGGTGTCCTCCCACACTGAGAGCAAGTCTCCCTCTCTCAGTCCACAAACTCCCATGTCAATCTCCTCTGGCAATGCCCTCCCAGACACATTCAGAAACAACGCTACCTCCGGGATTGAGGCATCCCTCAATCCAGTCAAGTTGACACCTAAAATCAACCATCACATCAACTTGATACTTTCCTATACAGTATTTTTGAAGGTTCTAAAGTGATTGAAAGGTAGCTAACATATATGGAATGCTTATCATGCGACAAACATTTTTCTAACCACTTGTATGAGGGAAGTATTGATTTCTTCCCATTTTGCAGTTGAGAAAACTGAGGATTAGAGGGGTTAAGTAATCAGCATATAATCACACAGCAACAGGTCTGGAGTCTGAACAACAATGCATCTGAATTGAAAGCCATGAAATGAACTGGCATCTATTGCCTCTTTTATAATTGTGGTGAAGGGGTAAGGGACTTTGTTTAATTGATAAACAACATTTTTTAAAAGCTAATAAATTAAGGGAGATAGATGATTGACAGATAAATAGATGATAGAGATTAGATAGACAGACAGACAGAGGGAGAGAGATAAAAGAGAGAGAGAGGGAGAATCTTAATGGAACTTCAAGATGCCATGAACACAGTGTATGTATTGGGAGAGAGAAAAGATAGGCCACCACTCAATAAATACAACTTTAAGAAGCCAGAAAATACATACGGTGTAACAAAGAGACGCCTACAACCTCCAAATGACAGCAAAGATCATATTTGTTAAGTGAAGAAATTGTTTACTTTCTGGCCAGAAAGCTTGAGGTCTAGAACAGGGATTGGCAGGTGACAGCCCGTGGGCCAAATCTGGCCCCTTGCCTATTTTTGTAAATAAAGTTTTATTGGCACACTGCCTGGTCCAGTCCTGTATTTCTGGCAGAGTTGAGTAGTTGTGACAGAGGCTGTGTAGCCCACAAGTCCTAAAATATTTACTGTCTACCTCTTTTTTTTTTTTTTTGACAGAGTCTCACTCTGTCACCCAGACTAAAGTGCAGACACCATCTTGGCTCACTGCAGCCTCAAGCTCCTGGGCCCAAGCGAACCCCCTGCCTCAGCCTCCCAAGTAGCTGGGACTACAGGTGTGCACCACCACACCTGGCTAAGACTTTATTTTTTAAGTAGAGATGGGGTCTCACCATGTTGCCCAGGATGGCCTCAAACTCCTGGCCTCAAGCAATCCTCCCACCTCAGCATCCCAAAGTGCTAGAATATAAGCATAAGCCACTGTGCCTGGCCTGTCTGGTTCTTTATAGAAAAAGTTCCCTACCCTGTCCAGAGCAGGGTTTCATAAACTTTAATATACACACAACCCACCTGGGACGCAGAATTGATTCAGCAGGTCTTGGGGGGCCTGAGATTCTGCATTTCTAATGTGCTACCAGGAGATCCCCGTGCTGCTGGCCCATTGACCATACTTGTGTTTGAGCAAGTAACAAATATCTTGTGTGTCTCCATTCAGAGAGGGTACATGAACTGATTTATAAAAACCTTCAGGCATCAAAATACAACACAGATAATTTAGGAGGTTTATTTGCCAAATCAAAGGATTCTCCACTTTTTAGAAGGATTTCTAGTGGCCTGCTTTGGACCACTCTTCTCCTTCCCACTTAATGTGTCCACACCCAGAGAGACATTGCTATGGTTTGAATGTCTGTCCCCTCCAAAACTCAAGTTGAAATTTAATTGTCATTGTGATGATATTGGGAGGCGGGACTGGTACTGAGTAATCAATGGGCTTGCTACCCAATGTGCCCAGAGGCCAATATCATGGCACTGGCTTTTAAGAAGAGAAAAGCTTTATTGCTAGTCAGCTGGCAAGGAGACAGGAGGAAAGGCTCAAATCTGTCTCCCCACGCTAGGGTTTGGGTCAGGTTTTATAAGCATAGGGTAATGAGGCATGATCTGATTGGATCTTGCAATGAGATGATGTGGGGAGGCATGACCTGATTGGATCCTGCCATGGGGTAACGTCAGAGCTCAATCCGATTGGATTCTGGATCCTGCCATGTAGTGTCTGCTTCTGAATTCAGTCCCTGCTCCTCAGTCTGAGCACTTAGGTTCCCCCTGTGGTTGCACACTTGGTTCATCTGGGCATGCTCAGGTTACATGACCTTCAATCTGAGGGTCCATGGCAAATGAAAAACAACTCACAACTTTGTTACGTAAAAGTTGAACTAGACTGGTCCGATGAGGTTACAGGACTTTTAAGAGGTGTCTGGGTTATAAGAGCTCTTCCCTCATACATGGATCAAAGATGTTATCACAAGAGTAGCTCAGGTATGGCAGGAGTGGGTTCATCCCCTCTTTAAAAAGCTCTGTCTCTCTCTCTCTGTGACTCATCTCTCTTTTACCCTCTCACTATCCACCATATGATGACTCAGCAAGAAAGCCCTCACCAGATGCCAACACCTTGATCTTGGCCTTCCCTGTCTCTAGAACTGTGAACCAATAAATTCTGTTCATTATAAATTACCAGTCTCAGGTGTTCTAGTATAGCAGCACAAAACAGACTAAGATAGACACTTTTAAATTCCAAGCAGCACCCAGGAACATGACAGCAGGAGCCCCCAAATTTCAGCTTGCAAGATGATAGGGAGTAGGGAGAAAATATCCAAACTTTCTTCCACATTTATATCTTTTATCAACCTTTAATAATGTCCAATGTGGGTGTGTGTGTTTTATAACAGAAATAATATATTAGTACAGTGAGTCGTACCTGCACATCACTTATAAACATGTAATAAATATATCCCATTTATAAATAAGTAAGTGTGCATGCTCTGGGATATGCACCAGTACACTAGTTTTGAGGCAACAGATCTACCCGAGGAGGCATCCTGTAGGTTGAAGCTGAGCCTGAGCTGTGCTCATATTCTGAGTCAGACCTTGGCAGACTTTCAGCTCCAGTGCCAGCAGGCAAGGCAAGCTGTGTGGGCACAAGTTAAGTTATTTCTCACAAGCACAGCAGCAGGTGTTCCAGAAAGACTTGGAAGCCAAACAGACACATTCCAGTCCCTGTGAGTGCCAGCCACATGAGGTGTCAGGGCACCTGGCAGAGCATTTCTGGAGAGGAATAAGGGAGTGCAGGGGCAGGGGATGTGGGTGATGCCAAGGAAAGCCTTGCACTAGATCAATGACAACAATAGCAAATGTTGCTGTCATTTATTGAGCACCTACTACTTGCCAGCATCTATGCCAAGTTTTAGAAACAAATTACTTCATTTAATCCTTGTGAGGTAGGTACTCTACTTATCCCCCATTTTACAGAGGAGGCAACTGAGGTTCAGAGAGGCAAAGTGACTTGTCTAAGGACACAGAAAGTGGGGGAGAAAGACTGTGGTTTTTAGAAATATTGATTCTCCAAAAGAGCGATGAGATCCCAATGAAAACACTAGGGGTTTTTAAACATTGAATTCTGAGCAAGCCACACAGTAGAGCTATGCACTAGTGATGACACTTGCACCTCTTTGTGGAGCACTTATTCTGTGCAACACTCTGTTGAATCTTCTACAGATGCCTCCTTTAACCCCCGGAGGAACCCTGAGAGACCCTGAGAGGTGAAGGGAGAGGAAAGGAGGCTGACTCACACAGGCTTCCTGGTGCTTCCTCAGCGGTGGATGCTGTCAGGATCAGACCCATGGGGTGGAGACCTTGGTGAACCGAAGCTCAAAGAGCCTGGCTGAAAGAGATGCTCTTTCTCAGCTCCATGCAATTGTTGCCCTGTAGAAATGAGGGCTATGTTTCGTTAGGTCTTCCGATTTTCCAATAGAAGGCAGAAATCCGGACTTATACCTAGCATCTCTTGGTTTTATACCTTAACAAATTTTTTAGAATTTAAAACTCTGCAGACCAAACAAATGACATCCATGGCCCAGGAGACCTCTGCGCTCAATGCTTACTTGCAGTAATTTTACCTTCCAGTACATATCTACTCTGAGGGAGGTGAGATGCTTTGTCTCCTGTGACAGGCTGGAATGTGAGTTTCGTTACCATCCCATTTTACAGAGGGGGAAACTGAGTCTCAGAGAAGTGCACACCCAAGGCCACAGCGTGACTCAGAGACAAGACTGAGAGCTAAATTTTGTCTTGGTTCAGAGGCAAGCTTGGGAGCTAAAATGTCTCTTGGTTCTTTGAGGGGGGCTGGCCTAGGCTGCTTTGCTTTCAGCTGTCATTCTGAGCTGTCTCCAACAGTGTGAAGAGGAGGGAGGAGAAAAGGAAGAAAAGAGGAGGGGACTGGAGTCCATCCAGTCTGTCCCAGCTCCTGCCAGGCTCCATCTGACCCTAGGAGAGCAATCCTGGACCCAAGCTCCAGCCAAAAAGCCTCTCTCCTCCACTCAGGCTGGGAGGTTGCTTTCTAGGAGCTCAGGATGCAAAGGTGGACACTGTGGGCTGCAGCCTTCCTGACCCTCCACTCTGCACAGGCCTTTCCACAAACAGACATCAGTATCAGTCCAGGTAAGTGCAGGGACCAGGGCTGGGAGCAGGTGGAGAGGAGTACACTCTCAGGAACTTATTCTATCGGTGAGGCCTGGCAGCTTCTGTTGGGGGGTTGGGGTGGCCTGACCCGAGTCTCCTGACAGCTTTCCCCCTACCAGCTTTGTCATGGGCACTCTTCTAGGCCCAGACACAAAAAGTCCTGGGTTTGAATCCCAGTTTTGCAGTTTACAAGCTGTGTGACATAGAGGAAGTTTCTTGATCTCTCTGAGCCTCAGCTTCTTCTAGAAAGTTGGGTCGCAATGGCATTCTCTTTGGGCTACTGTGCAAGGCAGATAAGATAACATGAGGAAAGTGCTTTGCACAGTGTCTGGCACTACAGGAAGATCTGAACATGGTAGTTTTGTGAGGGATTTGGCATCTGGGCCCCAACCCCACCTTGGCTGTGACAGCCTTCCCAGGGAGCTTTCAGAGCTGCTGCAGTGCCACCAGAGGTTAGGTGCGCAGGGAGGGAGACTTGTCCCTCTAATGGCCTCCCTGGAGGCCTGGCCCAGCAACCCCCAGCCTTGTGGGGCATCCCCAGGGATGAGAACCTGTCAGCCTTGGGCATGTGGCCTCCCAGTGTCCCATATGGAGGGTGAGGGTCTTCAAATGAGCTCAACTTCTTCCACTTTGCAATAGGAAGGCTGGGTTACTGATTCTGGGGGACCCTCATCTGGATGAGAAGAGTTCTGAATCCTATAATTTGGTGGCCAAGAGTCTTGACTGTCACCTCTACCAGGTTCTTTCCAGGCTTGTTTATGTTCATATATGGATTTATTTATCATAGCAGTGGCAGAGATATCATTTTTAAATCCCCGTTCAAGTAAAACTAATAATGAAATACCTAGATGGAGATTCTCATAAGGCCAAATTATTGGGTTGTGATAGTGTTAGAGTGACTTTAAACAGAGGGTTGATAGGGTTGTCAGATAAAATACCAATAAATAAATATTAATAAATTATTTCTTAGTGTAAGCATGCCCCAAATATTACATGGGACGTATTTATACTAAAAATTATCTGTTTGTTTACCTGAAATCAAATTTAACTAGGTATCCTTCTTTTTTTTTTTTTTTTTTGTTAATCTAGCATCCCTAGTGGTAACAATAAGGGATAGTCTTAGCTCATTTGGGCAAGGGGTTTCAGTTCTGTCCTAAACTCTCTGAGTGTATTCATCAGCTCAGGCTGCGAATATCACAGACTGGGGAGCTTAAGCAACAAACATTTATTTCTCACAGTTCTGGAGGCTGGGAAGTTCAAGATCAGGATGCCAGCAGATTTTATTCCTGGTGAGGACTCTCTTCCTGGCTTGCAGATGGCCGCCTTCTCACTGTACCCTCACATGGCAGAGTAAGAGAAAGCTCTGGTCTCTTCCTCTTATAAGCACACTAATCCCATCATAAGGATGGGATCCCATCTAAATCTAATCACTTCCCAAAGGTCCCCCCTCCCAATACCATCACATTGGGAGTCAGAGCTTTAACATATGAATTGGGGGCAGGGAAGAGGAGAGACACAGACATTCCATTCATAGCAGTGACTTGCCTCCTTACTCTCGGACCTCAGTTTCCTCACCAATACAATAAGCAAGTAGGAAAGAAGTTGAACAAAATATCCTTGCAGACTGCGCCTCGTATATCCCAAGATCTTGCCTTTCTGCCCAGCAAAAGTGGGAAGGGGCCAAGACTGAGTTTGAAAGCGGGAGTAACTAGGGGTATTTTCTGTCCTTCACTAGCTTGTGCCCATGGGACCTCTCTGAGACTCAAGTTTCCTCACCTCTCTGAGCCCCAAGTGGGGATAACAAGGGTCCTTATCAAGGGTTTTGGAGATCTTCAATGAGCTCGTGCAGGTGAAGTGCTTAGCACATAGGAAGCATTTAAAAAATGAGTTATTGCCATTACTATGTTTGCCACTGTGGTTGTTGATGTTATACTAGAATTGGCCAGGAGACAGTTTTCTATTCTGACAAAAGTCTTCAACATTGAAAGGAACTTCTGAACATCAGTCCCCAAGCCTCATCCCTACTCTATAGATAAGGGGACTGAGATTGTGTCAATCTCAGCTACCTGGGAGAGCTCGCAGTTTGGAAATGGAAGGATGGGTCTTAAAGATCCACTCAGCCCAACCTTTCCATATTAAGGCTATGGAAACTGAGGCTACAGAGGCCAATTGAGCCAACCATGGTCATCACTGTCCAAGTGGCAGTTCAACTGCTTCCCAGGCTCCCAGCCCTACAGGAAGCCCAGTTTCAGCCTATGCAGATAGATTCTCTAGAGGAAAGTGATTTCAACACAGAGGGAATGTGTGTGAGTTTATGGGTGCATATGGGCAGGAGCGTGTGTGTTGGTATGTTGTAGGGAGGATTTAGGGGTCTCTGTGGGCCCCGGCCGACCATGAGAATACATGTACCTCCAAGGTCCTCCTTATTGAGAATAGGCTTGGTTTTTCATCTTCTTCTGTGGACCCCCAGCCTTTAGGTACAATGCATAACAGGGCACAGGTCATGGGTCATTCATCCCACTACTCCAGACCTTTCATCACCCACCCCTTGCATATGCAAATATACGCAAATAGCACAACTCAGCCACCCCCTATGTTTTGGAGGAAAAAAAACTTTTTAGACATCTCTTAGAGACTTGGGAGGATTTAGACAGACTAAATCCTTTTCCCAAAACCTTTTCTCTGAATCTGCCTTTGATCTCATTGTTTAAGTGGATTAATGAATGTAAAGTCCTCAGAACAGTGTCTGGCACCCAGTAAGAGCTACGTAAACATTTATTATTCTTCTTCGACCATCAAAAAGTTTCCTTTCCCTGACTCCTGAGCCCAAGAACTCTCTATAGCAAAGGAAATTTATAGCAAAGTGTTTTGAAGCTCAGGATCTGCTTCTGCAGGGCTTCAGAAGCGTAGAAGGGGAATAAGTCAGGTTATGTAGCCTCTTCCTCACCCATCCAAGAGCCTGGCATTGCACTCTCAGCTCTGGGAAGGTTCTGTGACCCAGACTGTTTCTACTGTAATAATATCTAATACTTACTAGAGTCTCTACCTCTGAGCTGGAACTGGCTTTTCTGTGAAGTAGGCACTATGATCATGCCCATTGTACAGATTAGAAAACTGAGGCACAAAGAGCTGAGTTTCCCACTAGGACCATCTGACTCCAGAGTCCAAGCTCTGAAGTTGGAGCATAGAGACATAGGCAACGGTGTTCCTACCTCCTAGAGCAGCCCGGATCCTAAAGTGTCCCTTGGACATTCTATCCAGTTCCCCCTCCTCCTCTATGGTCACAGAGCAAGCACTTTGTACATACTTCTAGAATACTTAGTATGCGATGACTCTGCCATGTGCATGTTCCTCCTTCCAGACTGAGAGCAACCTAAGGACACAGACCTCAAGCCAAATAGGCACCCAGGAAACATCGACTTATTTGCTTAATTGTTACATTTGGTGTTTAATAGATTTATTTCACAAATGAGAAAACTAAGACCAGAAAGAAGATATCTTTTAGAGGCGCTAGTCTGTTCAGGAGTTTCTGAATCTGTCAGACTCAAGTCTCAATAGAGTCTCAATCATTGCTCTGCCACTTTTGAGCCAAGACAGTAAGTGACTTACCCTCTCTGAGCCTTAGTCTCCTCATCTGTAAAATGGGGATGATACGGATACTCCCTCCTAGGCTGATCTCAAGGAGTCACATACTAAACACCCAATGAATGGCTGCTATTATTAGCAATATAAGAAATTGTCTAATGCTTTTTTCTGTGTTTCATGTGGCCTCAGGAGTGGCTCACAGAAGGGGCAGCAAAGCTTAGATAGGAGAGACCTGGTGCCACCAGTTCCGCTTCCCAGAGCCAGGGCTCACTGTGAAGGAGGTGGTAGAACCCGTAGGACAGCAGGAGGGCACTGAGGGTGACTGAGTCCTCAGAACGCAGCAGCCACCTTCCTGGAGTCTGTGAGACACTTTCTTCCAGCCCGCTGGGAGTGTCTGGGGCCTAGTATGGGGACTGGGTGGACAAATGTGGCCCCTGAGCCTCTCCGCCTCCCCTCCTGGCTGGGTCCCAAGACTGATCTGGGCAGGAGGCAGCAGGGTAGTGCATTTGTGGGCGGCTGGATTGGGGCCAGGGGAGCCAGCAGCCAGATTCAGTAGGAAGGTGACAATTTATTCCTTTAAAAAGAGTGGGGGTGGGGGGGAGCCCTGAGTTCCACTGATGTGTTTTCTTTTCCTAACAAGCTCAGAACTCCCAAAGGCTTTGACCCCCCACCCCAGCTGGGAGACCTTGGGGGCCTCTGATGTTGCTAATTGAAGGAAAAGACCATGTGGTTTGGCCTCCTGGTTTCCAGAGCAACAGCCCCTTTGTGCATCCCCTCCCCTCTGCCTCTCTCCCTCCACTTCCCCTCCCCCACCACCAGTCTCATCTCTTCCCTCTTCTCCTTCTCAAGTTCCCGGCCATGCTAAACCATTTCTAATTCTCCAAAGCTCCATTCTCTCTCACACCTCCAGACCTCTGCACACACTGTGTCCTCCCCCCGGAACACTCTTTCTCTAACTCTTGTTCATCCTCCGGGTCTCAGTTGAGACAGCACCTCCTCTAAGAAGCCTCCCAGATCTCCAGGTCTGGGTTATGTTCCACTTTTAGGTGTTCCTGTGGCAACACCCTCTTTTCCCCCATCCAGGAAGGGAACTCATGACGCCGTGTCATAATCACCTATGGGATCCTTGAAGATGGGGACAGGGCAGCCACCAATTCAACTAGGGAGAGAAAGGGGCAAACAGCCAGTTTCTAAAATAATCGAGGGGGCTGCTCCCTGAAGTTTTTGCTGGCATGATACACATCCACAAATTACATGCTAATGACATCTTTATTTTTGCTCCTTTTTCTTTTTCTTTCTTTCTTTTTTTTAGAGACAAGGTCTTGCTCTGTTGCCCAGGCTGGAGTACAGTGGTATGGTCATAGCTTGCTGCAGCCTGGAACTTCTGGGCTCAAGTGATGCTCCCTCTTCAGTCTCTTGAGTAGCTGGGACTACAGGCATGTGCCACCACATATGGCTGATTTACAAAAAGTGTTTTTGTAAAGGTGGAATCTTGCTATACTGCCCAGGCTGGTCTCAAACTCCTGGCCTCAAACGATCCTCCTGCCTTTGCCTCCCAAAGTCTGGGATTACAGGCATGAGCCACTGCACCTGGCCTGTGCTTATTTTTCTTAGGTTTGGTCTTCATAGACCATAAGGCTCATGAGGTCAGAAGGCGCATCTGTGTAGTATACCACACAGTATCTTCAGCTTGTAACCTACTGCCTGAGACCAAGTAGGTGCTCAAATAGTACTTGTTGAATGGATAAAGGAATTAATGAAGGACCAGACCATCAAGATTGGAGCAAAAGGAAATGGGCTTAAATGCAGTAGGACTCTCTAGGTTTGGAGCTAGACAGGCTGGCTTCAAATCCCAGCTGGGAGCTGTGCGATCTTGGGCAAGTTGGCCAACCTTTCTGTGCTCTGGTTTCTTCATCTGTGAAGTGGGGGTGATAGTGGCACCTACCTGGTAGGATGTGTGAAGATTGAGTGTATTTTTCTGTATCAAGCATTTAACACAATGCCTGGCACACAGTGAATGCTGAGTCAGAGTTGGCGCTGATTGTTGTGTTGCCATGGTTACCTGACTGTCAAGCTATAAAGCTAAAGAAATCCCTTCACAAGAGACAGATTAGCAGAGGCTGGCTTGGGGTCAGGCTGATGAAAGGCCTACTATTCCCAATTCCTTAAACCCAAGAGGTAAAGGAGGAGGGGGAAATGCCGTGCAGGCTGGAGTTAATGATCGTTTTGGTGCAAGCCAGCGCTCTTTTCCACCTCCCAGGTCCTCACAATTAAAGGCCTTTGCCTGCCCTGTTGGAAAGGGGAGTAATTGAGCAGTGACCTGTCACAGCCCCATTTTCTGGTGTGTTTCACCCCTGGCATCCATAACCACCAAATTACTCAGTGGAGAAAACCTAAAGGACCAGAATGGGGAGGTGGGGTGTAAATGGCTCAAGGAACTTGTTTTCCACTCTGGGAGGAGCAGACAGGGTTGGAGGCAGGGGTTCTTTTTGAAATATCCACAGTCTTTAAGACCAAGGACCCTTTTCCCCTTCTCACTCCACTCAGCCCCTTTCATTTAATTAATTATTAATTCCTCTTTGCCAGGCTCTGTTCAGTGAGAAAATGAATGAATGAATGAATCAGTAATTCTACAGGCTCCATCTTTCAGTCTGGCACACTGTAGACCAGGGCTTCCCAGATTTTCACATTCACAAGAATCACCTGGGGCTCTTATGAAAATGCAGACTCCGATTTGGAAGGCCTGGGGTGGGGCCTGGGAGTCTGAAGGTCCCAGGGGATGCTGAGGTTGGCCTTCGTAGCAATCGTTGTCCTAAACAATATGCAAAACCAGGATCTGGCAACCTCTGCTTTCAGGACTTGGTTAAAAAAACTCCAGGAATGCCATCGCAGTGTCAGGACTCCTGGTTTCAAAGGCATGAGTTATGCACACAGCCTTCTCACCATTTTCCCAAGAGGCTGCCCTCAAGAAGTGGTGTTTGATTCCCTACATGTATTTATGCATTCAAGCCCAGTCATTGTGCACCTACTACGTGCCAAGGCACCAGAGGAAGAGGAATGATCACAACAGATGCTGATGGGGATAGAGGAGGAATGTGTGAATGTTGAGGTGCAAGGGGCTCTAAAAGCATTTATCAGAGGCTCCTACCTCATCTTCCCTGAATAAGTCACTGCAGCAGAGACTCAAAGGAGAAACAGAATTGGCTGAAGTCAGGTCAAGGGAATTATCTGCAAAGGTCAGAACATGTCTTTGAGAAATGGCAAAAGTGTGGGCAAACCTGGAGCACAGAGTAAGGAGGGGGTGAATGACAGAGAATAAGCTAGGGGCAAGCAGTTCCCAAAGGCAAAGGGAACACCTGTGAGGTTTCAGGGAAATGAGGTCAGGCTGTTCCAAGGAGGAAGAATGCCTCTGGACCTGGGAGGTGAGACAAAGCAGGAAGAACAGCTAAAAGGTGTTGAGAAGGTCTTCATGGGAGAAGGTCAAAAAGAATGCAGAAGGGGAAGAAAGAACAGACTGAATTAGAGACGTGTTTAGGAGATGGA
Source organism: Homo sapiens (assembly GCF_000001405.40). Classification (NCBI taxonomy): domain Eukaryota; kingdom Metazoa; phylum Chordata; class Mammalia; order Primates; family Hominidae; genus Homo; species Homo sapiens. The sequence continues at coordinate 19,293,089 of NC_000016.10, forward strand.
ATAGACATGACTTGAAAATTGATTGGTTGTAAAGAGGGGAAAAAAGAGATTATTTTTGGCAAATTATCCAACAATGCTAAGAAATTCTGAGCAGTTCCAGCCAATTCTTGTCAATTTTATCTGATCCCAGCCAATACTAGAGAGAGTAGTTTATGTCAAATAAAACATGCAGGTAGAGTCAATGTAACAGACATCCTAAGTTGGATCTGAGCACAAAAAAGGAAAACACTGAGTAACGTCTGGAGTTTAGGTAATCATGTTGTAGCCATGTTCATTTCTTAGCTTTTTAATATGTTAACATCAGGGGAAACTGGGTGAACGGTATACAGGAACTCTCTCCACACACTATCTTTGGTACTTTTTAATTTTTTTAATTTTTTTTTTTTGTTTTTGAGACAGGGTCTTGCTCTGTCACCCAGGCTGGAGTGCAGTGCTGCAATCCCAGCTCACTGAAGTCTTGACCTCTTGGTTTCAAGAGATCCTCCCACCTCAGCCTCCCAAGTAGCTGGGACTACAAGCACATGCCACCACTCCTGGCTAATTTTTGGTAAGAGACAGGGTCTCACTATGTTGCCCAGGCTGATCTCAAACTCCTGGGCTCAAGCGATTTTCCCACCTTGGCCTCCCAAAGTGTTGAGATTACAGGTGTGAGCCGCTGCGACCAGCCTAATTTTTAATTTTTATGGGCTATAGTAGGTGTATATATTTATGGGGTACATGAGATATTTTGATACAGGCATACAGTGTGTAATAATCACATCAAGGTAAATGAGGTGTCCATCACCTCAAGCATTTATCATTTCTTTGTGTTACAAACACTCCAATTATATTCTTTTAGTTTTTGTTAAATGTACAATAAAGTATTGTTGACTGTAGTCACCCTGTTGTGGTATCAAATACTAGATCTTATTCATTCTGTCTAACCATATTTTTGTACCCATTAACCACCCCCACTTTTCCCCTGTCTTCCCCACTAACTACCCTTCCTGGCTTCTGGTAACCATCGTTGTACTCTCTGACAACTTTTCTGTAAGTCTAAATTTATTCCAAAATAAAAAGTTTATTTAAAAAAAAAAAGAGGTAGAAGACAAAGAGAGCAGAGACGTCCAGATTACACAATATGGTGAATTTGAGACTACAAGCTCTTCCCACTACCGCCGTGCAGAAAGGTCACATGAACATCTGCAAACATCCTGCTCAAGTTAGACTGGACTTCTAAGGAAGTGAGGGGGGGTGCCCAGGGGCCAGAAACCAAGATAGAGATAGAGAGCAAAGCAAGCATATTGCTCCAGAGCCCTAAGTAGGGCATCAGCCTTCGTAATGCTTGGACTGGGGTTTTAACACCCACGTGGGGTAGGAGGGGAAGTCAGAGCTATCTGAAGCAGGGAATTGAAACTTGAACCCTTTCTTAGTGCAGAAACTCATGAAGAGTTTCATCTTCAGTGGAAAGGAAACCAGGGGAAAAACATCCTCCTACAGTCAGAGAAAGATGACAAAGAAGTTTACCTCATTCTAAACTCAGGGGAGAAAGTGCTAGACTTCCCTTCTGCAGACTTCTTTAGTGAGGTCCATGTCGTTAAATTTAAACACAATGTTAAAGCAATGTCTTCAGTGCTTTTAAGCCATGGGCTAGGATTAGTAATACATTTTAACTCTAAAATTAGAGAAATAGCCCACACTATACTTCTCATTAGTTGCGGGGGCTGTGTCTTAATTTTTGTTCAAGAAAATAGGAACAGGCTAAGAAATGTGAATGTTTGCTGTGATGTTTTGTGTTGCTGTGCTGTGGGGTTATTTTACATTTTTGGAGTCCTGCCTTCCATCTGGGGCAGGGTTTCTCAGTCCTGGCACTACTGACATTTCGGGTCGGATGATTCTTTGTTGTGGGGAGTTGTTCAATATAGGATGTTTAGCAGCATTCCTGGCCTCTACCCATTAGATGCCATTAGCACCACCACTTCCAGTGGTGATAACCAAAAATGTCTCCAGACATTGTCCAATGTCTCCTGGCAAGGGGCGGCGATAAAATTCCCCCTCACTGCTTGAGAGTGATCAACCAATTTCAGTTCGCTGGGAACTGTAGGAGTGCCCAGGATGTGGGACTCTCAGGGTTTTGTTGTTGTTGTTGTTGTTTTGAGTCAGGGTCTTGCTCTATCGTCCAGGCTGGATGGAGTGCAGTGGCGTGATCATGGCTCATTGCAATTTCGATCTTCCATACTCAATCGATCCTCCCACCTCAGAGTAGCTAGGACTACAGGCACACTCCACCACTCTCGGCTAATTTTTGTATTTTTTATAGAGATGGGGTTTTACCATGTTGCCCAGTCTAGTCTTGAACTCCTGGACTCAAGCAGTCCACCCACCTCAGCCTCCCAAGGTGTTGGTATTACAGGCGTGAGCCACCACACCCAGCCAGGACTCTTGATTTTAAAACTGGGATGGTCCTGGTCACACTGGGATGGCTTGGTCACCCTACTTTCATCTCTAATATGAGTATGTAGGGTGCCAAGTAATTTTAGGACACGTGGGAGTGAGAAAAGTGGTTTATCACCAGCAAAAACTGAGTCATCCCAGTCACTCCTGGACAAACTTAGCCAAGTTCTCATGGATGAGTGTCCTTGGTTACTGAGTGGAAAGAAGGTAGAAATGATTTGCTGGTAGAAATGATTTGCTGCTTCTCATCCATGCTAAGGGAGAAACTGCTGAAAAAGTCGTCCCAAGCAGCGATTCAGTAGAGCCTTTTTGTGTTGTAGGCAGTGCTCAAAAGTCCCTACAAAGAGCTCAGCAACACCCAGCGTTACAAAGGGTCCATCAACTCTCTTGGCCATTGACGCTTTAACGCATCAAGATGATGTCCTCCTAGACCAATGCTCTCCATCAAGAAAGGAGGGACCTGAGTCCCAGAAAAGGGTGGGGACAGGCCAAGGTGCTGTGCCCACTTACCTCCCCCAGCAGAGCTCCTTCCTTTTGACATATAGAAGAGGATTAAGAAAGCCAATTCTGAACCAACAGGCTCCAGTTTGGATACTGGCATGCATTGAAAGAGAGTTGGCCAGGATTGATCAGGAGGGATGGGGAGGTACCCCTGGTCAGCACAGCCGCTGGGGTTGGGGACAGGCTGTTCTGGTCAAAGGGGAAAGCCCAGTGGTACTGACCAGCCCTGAGAAGCATGGCCTGGAAACTGCCTGCCTAGCACAGCTATCTTGATGAAAGCAACTGTCCCTTTCTTTCCCCAGAGAAATGCACAGAGGTGCACACACACTTTTTATTTTACATTTGATTTTGGGAAATTCACTGGATCCCTGCAGCCCATAGTTTTGGTTATAAAACCCTGAGCTAATCATTAATAGCCGTACATTACACAATCCATATATCCCAAGTACTTGGTGACTTTATTTGGCCCAATCAGTTGACCCAGTAACTCCATGAAGCAGGTGCTATAAAGACTGTGAACTATTCTTAGACCCGCTAATTTCCCATCATGAAGCATCATGCCAACTTTATGAGCAAAAACTTGGGAGTTGGGAAGCCTAGGTTCAAATCCTTACTATGCCACTTACCTACAGGATGATCTTGGGCGAGTTACTCAACCTGCCTTAGCCTCAGTTTCCCTATATTTCCTTGGCATACAGGGAAACTATAACAAATGCTCAATGAATGCTGTTCACTACTTTATTACTTCATGAGTTCAGCCAACCACTATAGTGGCTTGAAGGCAAAGATTCCACTAAAGGGTGACCTTCACCCACCCCTGAGTGGATGGCTACAAAAGGGACCCCAATGATCATCTAGTTTGAAGGTCAAGATGGGAAAGAATGAGCCAGCATCTCACGGCAGGTCAGATACAGAGCTGGGGGTAGGACCCAGGCTCTCAACCCCAGTCTAACAGATTCCACCCCTGCCCACTGGCTGTCTTCATGGATAAGCCATCCAACCTAGTATGAGAAAGGTTCTCAGCCTGCCTGTCTCCTCTCGCCAGTCATCCTGAGTCGTGGTTTCCAAAAAAAGTATCTCTTAAGAAGCTTTCAGAGGGGCTGAGACTTGAGAGAACTTTACTGTCTCAAACATGGGGTTTTTAAAAATTTGTTTCTTTTTAGAATTAAGAACAAATCCTGAACTCCAGGAGTTCGATGGGCAAAGATATAAATAGTCTTGGCTATAGCTTGGCAATAAACATGTGGGAAAATGTGCAGTCTTGCCAGATAGTCCAGCATTGCAAATTGAAACAAGATACCCTTTTTTTGCTTATAAAATTTGCAGATTGCCATGAAAGTGATAACACTGAGCTCTGGCAAGGGCAAAGTGAGATGGGCACTCTCAGACGTTACCATGGGAGGATAAATTGCTTTCAGGAGACAATTTAGCAAATTGTATTAAAGCCTTAAAAATCTCTCCTCAGAAAATCAGCAGAAATGCCAAAAAAGCTTTATGCACAAAACTGCTCATCTCAGAATTATTTGTAATAGTTGAAAAAACAGAGAAACTATCTAATTATCTAAAAATAAGAGAATGATTAAATAAACTCTAGGAGAGCCACTCAGTAGAGGATTCAAGAGCTATTTAAAACAATGTTTACAAAAATGTATAATGACATGGGGGAAATGCTTATACTCTTTAATTTTTAGAAGTCAGAATATCGACTGGTATGTAGAGTACCATATAATCACATTACATTAAAACATCACTGCATACAAATGTGACATGAGAAAAAAATGTATCAAAGCATTAACATTTTCCAGGTGTTCTATGATGTGCACATATTATTTTTATAATTTAGTAAAACGTAGGTATGTATATGTTTTTTGGACCTCAAGCATAGAATTGCATAGATCATAATGGGACATACTTTACTTTCATTCTTAAAAGTATGTACAGGTGGCCGGGTGCGGTGGCTCACGTCTTCTGTAATCCTAGCATTTTGGGAGGCCGAGGCGGGCGGATCACCTGAGGTCGAGACTTTGAGAGCAGCCTGACCAACATGGAGAAACCCCGTCTCTACTAAAAATACAAAATTAACCGGGCACGTGCCTGTTATCCCAGCTACTTGGCAGGCTGAGGCAGGAGAATCGCTTGAACCCAGGAGGCGGAGGTTGCGGTGAGCCGAGATGGCACCATGGCACTCCAGCCTGGGCAACATGAGCAAAAACTCAATCTCAAAAAAAAAAAAAAAAGTATGTACAGGCAGGGCTCGGTGGCTCACGCCTGCAATCCCAGCACTTTGGGAGGCTGAAGCAGGAGGATCACTTGAGCCCTGGAGTTCAAGACCAGCCTGGTCAACATGGTAAGACCTCGTCTCTACAAAAACAAAACAAAACAAAAATCAAAAAATGTAGGCAAGCATGGTGGTGCACACCTGTGGTCCCAGCTACTCAGGAGGCTGAGGTGGGAGTATCACTTGAGCTGAGAGTTGGAGGCTGCAATGAGCTATGATCAAACCACTGCACTTCAGCCTGGGCAACAGAACGAGACCCTGTCTCTTAAAAAAAATTAAAAGATTGTAAAGAAAAGAAAATAGGTTCTAAGCTATGGAAACAATGTCAGCACTGCCAACCTTCCTCCCAGTCTGTTTCCTTTCTGCCCCCAGCCCTGCCAGAGCTGCCCCTGCCTTCCCTGTGCCCCCTGTTCTGGATGGAGTTCAAAGGCCACTGCTATCGATTCTTCCCTCTCAATAAGACCTGGGCTGAGGCCGACCTCTACTGTTCTGAGTTCTCTGTGGGCAGGAAGTCCGCCAAGCTGGCCTCCATCCACAGGTAAGTGGGATCCCCAGTGCCCCATAGTTCAACTAAGCACCCCCTTGGGAAATGGGGTGGAGAATGGTATTTCCAACTGGCATTTCTCTTTGGTAATTGAAACTATTTGAAAAAAATGGAGATGGAGTCTTGCTATGTTGCCCAGGCCACTCTTGAACTCCTGAGCTCAAGTGATTCTCCCCCTTAGACTCCCAAAGTACTGGGATTATAGGCATAAGCCAAGTGCCTGGCCAATTGAAGCTACTTTTTATCCAACCCAATTTCTCATTGAAACCATCCTTGGCTATAGAAGGCAAAGCATTCAGCAGGGGTAGCAAATAGCATGCCAGAAGATCCACCTTTATAAGTGCCAGTCTTGTGCTGTCCTCTGCTCTGTATCCTGTGATACAACTGATACACTACATATATAAAGAATATGATGTAAAGAATATGAGAAATCATAACTGATACTTATTTGCTGCACGTTTCATGTACATCATGACATTAAAACTCCCTCAAACCATATTACATAGGTATCTTCATTTTACAGATTAGGAAGGTGAGGCTCTGAAAAGGTAAGTAACTTGCTCACATGACACCACTCTTAAGTGGGAGAAACCAGTTTTGAAAGCGTGGATTCAGATTCCATAGCCCACCCTCCAAGGCCTCCTTCCACATTCCTCTGTCTCCGAAGCCCCAGCTACAATGACCATCTCAGAGTTCTCCAATTTGGTCCAGCTCTTTTACTTCTCCATACTCTTGGGCATTATATTCCCCCTGCTGGGAATTCCATCCCTATCTTCTCCTCCAGGTAAATACCTCCTCAATCTTCAAGACAGCTCTGACAACATCTCTTCACTGAAGTTACTTCTGACCCCCTAATTACACTCATTACCCAGCTCTCCTGGCACACTCCCTTTATCACAGCTTTGCTACCTTTTTTGCATCTGACTTCCCTGCTGATTTGTGAGTTTTCTCAGGCCAGGTGTGATGTGTTCCATTGGCACCCAAGCTACAAATCACAATCTTATCTCTGTTCTTCAAGAATCTCAGAAACTACTTTAGAAAGGGGGTTGGTTTTTTATGTGTAGAGCCGCTGACTTTTGTTAAGAATAAGGAAAGGGGGCCAGGTGTGTTGGCTCACGCCTGTAATCCCAACACTTTGGGAGGCCGAGGCAGGCAGATCACCTGAGGTCAGGAGTTCGAGACCAGCCTGGCTAACATGGCGAAACCCCATCTCTACTAAAAATACAAAAATTAGCCAGGTGCAGTGGAGGGCACCTGTAATCCCAGCTACTCGGGAGGCTGGGGTAGGAGAATCGCTTGAACCCAGGGGGCAGAAGTTGCATTGAGCTGAGATCATGCCACTATACTCCAGCCTGGGTGATAGAGTGAGATTCTGTCTCAAAAATAAATAAATAAATAAATAAATAATAAAAAAAAGAAAGGGGTCGGGTGCAGTGTCTCATGCCTGTAATCCCAACCCTATGGGAGGCTAAGATGGGAGGATTGCTTGAGTCCAGAAGTTCAAGACCTGCACAGGCAACACAGCAAGACCCCATTGCTACAAAAAACAAAAAATTAGCCTGACGTGGTGATGCACACCTGTAGTCCCAGCTACTCGGTAGGCTAAGGTGGGAGGATCACTTGAGCCCGAGAGGTTGAGGCTGCAGTGAGCCATGTTCAGGCCACTGCACTCCAGTCTAGGTGACAGAGCGAGATCCTATCTCAAAAAAAAAAAAAAAATAGAGAAGGAGTATTTTATCTTAGTTTCCAAATGCATCTTGAATCCACTCATCTCTTCCTCCAACAGATGTATTGAACAACCAGTGTATTTTCAGTGGGGCTGAGGGATATATTGAGACAGTCAGGGTCCAACCAGGAAAACAAGAACCACTACAGGTGTCTAAAACAGATAATATAGGAAAGTGATGGAAGCTCAGAACTGAAAATGGAGTAGTGAGGCAAACTAGAGATACATAGGAGCAGAAAGCCAATTCCATGCCTGAGTTGGAGGACAGGCCAGTCCTATGGGAGTTGGAGCCATGGAGGAGAGGCAGCCCCTGCCAGAGACTCCCAAGCCGAGGGGGAAAGAAATACTCTGGTTTCTCCCTCCTACCCATCCACCAAAGACTCATAAGTGCCTCCCATTAACTGAAAGCCAGCTAACATGGAGCCCTATGAAAGGCATTCTTCAGGGATCAAATCTGCTATGAGAGCACAGCACAGTACAGGATTGGCACTTGTAAAGACAGAAGACATCAATTCTCAAAGAATTCCTAGCCTGTAGAGGAAAATGAGATATATTCAATAAAAAGCAAATGCAAAAGTGATTCCAAATCAAGGCTTTTCTCTAGACAGCCCTCATTGTACTTGCAACCTCAGTTGCATCAGAAGGACCCTGAACATGGAGAACCAAACTAACCAGCCAGCCCCTGGGAGAACAGGAACTTTGGGCTACAAGCTGTCAAGGATTGGATAGAAAATAGTCATGGAAGCTTTCCTGGAAGTACTGGTCCTGGATCAGGATCTTGAAAGATTGGGAAGCGTAGGGAATGAGGGCAGCAGATGTTCAAAATGAAGAAAACTGTGGGGGACAGTATGAGCATTGATTAAGGGCATCAGAGTCAGGTAGTTCTAGACTGTAGTCCCAGCTCCATCACTTCCTACCTGCACAATCTTGACCAAATCACTTAAACTCTAAGCCAAGAATTCTCAACTTGGAGATAGCAATAATCACACTGATCTTTATTTATTTATTTATTTAGACAGAGTTTTGCCCTGTTGCCAGGCTGGAGTGCAGTGGCGTGATCTCGGCTCACTGCAACCTCCGCCTCCTGGGTTCAAGTGATTCCCCTGCCTCAGCCTCCTGAGTAGCTGGGACTACAGGCGCATGACACCATGCCCAGGTTTTTTTGGTTTTTTTTTTTTTTTTTTTTTTTTTTTTGTATTTTTAGCAGAGACGGAGTTTCACCATATTGGCCAGGATGGTCTCAATCTCTTGACCTCGTGATCTGCCTCCCTCGGCCTCCTAAAGTGCTGGGATTATAGGCATGAGCCACCGCGCCCGGCCTCACACTGATCTTTTAAACTTGTGAGGCATTAAAAGTGATCATGCCTCTAAAGTTCTTACACAGCACTTGGATAACTCCATGCCCAGCAGTAGGAGTTATTATTATTATTAGTTATAATAAACTATAATTCTGCCTCAAGGAGGCCAGTGTTTTTTAACGTTCCATATCAGTTCATCTTTCTGAGAGTGAGCAAGGCTTGTCTCACTCTTCCACTTTCCTTCCTCTTTTTCCTCTTTCCTTTCCTCCAAGAGTGTATGTTAAGTAACTCTCTGCAGTGACTGGCTGGAGCACTGTGTTAAGACAAATTCTGAGTGCCAGAATTCTAAGTGCTTCTAATCTGGAATTGATTGGCAATCAATTCCACTTCACTAACACAAAACTAAGGAGAGTGACTATGAGTGCTTGGATTTACTACTAATGCCTCAAGAAAAAAGAAATCTTCTAATGGTGGGTATTTTAGATAAGGTGGCAGCCTTCATAGAGCAGTCATTTGGAAGAAGCTGATGGGAGCAGATACACCTTATTGCAACATAAAGGGTACCTCAACATAGCCCTGTTTTGAAGTGAATTATTGAAGCTGATGGGAGCAGATACATGTTGTTGCAACACAAAAGGTACATCGACATGGCCATGTTTTGAAGCGAAGTATTAGGTCTATGGCTGATTATTATCATTCTGTATTGATTTCTTTGACATACTAAAGTTCGCCTTTTAGTGCCATGTGGAAGCCAATAGTGGGAATCATTTTTTTCAGTGGGATCTGTCATCTGGGCCTGTGAATGATTTGAGTGAGGTGTGCCCACCATTTGTCCATTTGCTGTCACATCCCTTGCCCATTCTTCTAACCTCTACAAACAACCTGTTTCAGGCTCGTTGATATGGGCCCTGGATGAGCAGTTGTTTTGGCTTTCCTTCAGCGTCTTCAATGCAGCAGTTCCAAGTTTTGCGTCCAGACATGGCTACAACCTAAGGAGAAAGGGCAGTGCTAGAAACTTGGGTCTTCTCCACATACCTCCCTCCTTTCATCATGGAGAAAAATATTTCCAAGATGTCCCCACAAACATTGCCTTAAATCTAACTGGCCATGCTTGGTCATATGGCCAATGTTAGCTGCAAAGGGAGCTGGGAAAATAAAATTTGGCTTTTCTGGGTCATAATGAAGGCAATGGGGTAAGGGATTAGGAATGGCTATGGGATAGACAACCAGTAGTATCTGCCCCAGTGCCTGGTTGTTGTGAGAACGAAATGAGTTCATGCACTTAAGACACTCAGCACAGTACCTGGCATGAAGTCAGTGCTCAAGAAACATTTTAATGATAGGATGAAAATAATTGTGTTCATTTCTCTACCTCTCTGTTTATCAGTCTATCTATTCATCTATCCATCCATGTATTCATTCATCCACCCATTCAACCACCTATCCACCTACCCATTCATCCATTTGTCTATCCATTCATCCATCCATTCATTCATCAATCTATCCATCCATCTCTACTTCTTTGTTGTTTTTGGGAGTGGACTCTCACCAGGGTCCTCCACTGATTCCTTTTGTTGGGTGAATTATTTGATAAGCTCTTTGAAATAGAGGATAAGAATCCCCCCAAAAGACACCCATGACTTCTAAGGATGGTGGGCTGTTAACTGAGGGACTTCGTTTTGCTAAGTGGGCAATGCAAGTTGAAGCCTAGAGCTGAGTTTCCCAGGAAAACAGAGATTTTGGAGATGGTATGTGAAAAAAGACTAGGAGAGAAGGGGATATATTATAAATGGGCAGTTTAAGGAGGGTCTCTGAGAGAGAACAGAAATGACTAGTGGAAATTTTCATTTATTTATGTGATGTATGCAATGCAATGTAAACTCCTTTCATTGTCTCTTCATCATATCTTCAATATAATCCACCTCATTTGCTAGTGTTTTTGAGATGGATTTAAATTTTTAGGGATGAGTAGCAGTACTGAGTCCTTCTTTGAACTGGCATAGGTCAAATCCAGAGATGCCCATGTAGGACCGGCCACATATGGGTGACTTAATGAAAAATGGAGGCCGAATTGGATCATATCCTCTATTTACTTTGGTCCAGGAAGGTAAATATGGATTGCTTTCAATTTTTGACTCCATCCTATGAAAAGAGGCCATGAGGAATCAGCTACTATTATTCTTAAATTCGCAGCTGGGAGGAGAATGTCTTTGTATATGACCTCGTGAACAGCTGTGTTCCCGGCATCCCAGCTGACGTCTGGACAGGCCTTCATGATCACAGACAGGTGAGAAAGCAGTGGCCATTGGGCCCCCTTGGAAGCTCCAGCCAGGATTCTATTTTGATTTAATAAGCTTTTCACATCAGTGCCAGGTCACGGCTATGCACACAGCATATAGAGAGAAATCAGACACCAAGATGTCACAGTTACAGCATGACCAATTTGTGAAAGACATTTAATGATGTCCTACTAAATGATGGGAACAGATAGCATGGTCAGAGAAAACCTGTTTGGCTTGGGTTCTCTTAAAAAAAAAAAAAAAAAGACACTAGGCCGGGTGTGGAGGCTCATGCCTGTAATCCCAGCACTTTGGGAGGCTGAGGCTGGTGGATCACGAGGTCAGGAGTTCAAGACCAGCCTGGCCAGCATGGTGAAACCTCGTCTCTACTAAAAATACAAAAATTAGCTGGGCGCTGTTGTGGGCTCCTGTAATCCTAGCTACTCAGGAGGCTGAGGCAGGAGAATTGCTTGAACCCGGGAGGCAGAGGTTGCAGTGAGTGGAGATCATGCCACTGCACTCCAGCCTGGGTGACAGAGCAAGACTCCAACTTGAAAAAAAAAAAGAAGACACTAAAACATGATTAGATGTGCAAGAGATGTTGGAGGGGAAATATTTGTGAACAAAAAAGAGGAAGGAGGCATAAGTAGGCAGGGAAGGACTCCAGACAACACCAAGGGTCTAAGACACGTGAAAGAAGATCAGAGAGGAAGGACTGGGTAGGGAGAGCCTCAGATCACAGCACAGTGCTGAGAAAGTCTTGGCTAGGCCAATGGGGAGTCCCCAAGGAAAGATGCCCAAGACTGGAATCCTGCACTGGGCAGAATCCTGCACCAGCACCATTACCCCTGACATGCTGAGTCACTGGCTAGGAACAGCCTGGAGGAAGCATTGTCTCACTGTGAATGCAGTGGCAGCTCCAAAGAGGCAGAGGCATGTGCTTATCACAGACAAGGCAGTGAATCCAAGGCGGCAGGAGACCTGGGGCTGTCCATCATCAACTCTGCTTTCTTCTGGTCCTCCTGAAGGCGATCTGGGTAATGTACTTCTGTGGCTGCCACAGCCCTCCTTAGTAAGAGATATTTAAGTTAGTGTCTAATGGGTAAATAGGAGTTAGCCAGAGACAGCATATTCCAGGTAGAGGGAACAGCATGGGTCAACATCCTAAGGAAGAGGAGGTCCTGGCACATTCAAGGAAGTTAATTAAGGAAGACCATTGTGATTAGAGCGCAGAGTGGGGTAGGGGTGGGTGTATAATAAGGCTGAAGAGGATAGCTTGGACCAGATCTCTGCAATGTCACAGCAAACTCCACCTGGAGATTTTTGTCCTCAAATTTTTCCTGGGCAAACCACATACTGAGTCTCTATTTTGCGTGTATGCTTCTTGCCTTGCTCAGGGCACTATAGGGAATAAGGTTCCAGTGCCAGCTCCTTTTCTGCCACTTACTGGCTGGCAGGTGACTTTGTGCAAATTTAAAAAACCTCTCTGAGCCTCAGTTTTTGTGTCTGTAAAATGGGGATGAAAATAACAGTGCCTTGTGAAAAGAAAAATAAGTGAGCTAATGCATGTAAAGAGCTTAGCGTGGTGCTTAGCATATTATAGGAACTCATTAAGGATGATGAATATTGCTCTTAAAGTAGCAGAAGTAACAGTGTAGTCAGACCTGAGTTTTTTTGGGTTTTTTTGCTGTTTTTTTTTTGTTTGTTTGTTTTTGAGATGGAATCTCGCTCTGTCGCCCAGGCTGGAGTGCAGTGGCGCAATCTTGGCTCGCTGCAACCTCCACCTCCTGGGTTCATGCCATTCTCCCGCCTCAGCCTCCCAAGTAGCTGGGATTACAGGAAGCCGCCACCATGCCCGGCTAATTTTTTGTAGTTTTAGTAGAGACTGGGTTTCACCATGTTAGCCAGGATGGTCTTGATGTCCTGACCTCGTGATCCGCCCGCCTCAGCCTCCCAAAGTTTTGGGATTACAGGCTTGAGCCACCTCGCCCGGCCTATTTTTTTTTTTTTTTCCTTGAGACAGGGTCTTGCTCTGTTGCTCAGGCTGGAGAGCAGTGGTGCAATCACAGCTCACCGCAACCTTGAACTCCTGGGTTCAAGCAATCCTCCCAACCTAGGCTCCATAGTAGCTAGTACTATAGGCAGGCACCACCACACCTGGATTGTTTTTTAATTTTTTGGTAGAGACAGGGTCCCACTATGTTGCCCAGGATTGTCTCTAACTTCTGGCTCCAAGTGATCCTCCCACCTCAGCCTCACAAAGTGCTGGGATTACAGGCATGAGCCACCATGCCTGGTGATTTTTTAAATCAATAGACTTCAACTGGCAAGAACACATAGAGAAGTTATAATTTTAAAAACACTAAAATGTCCATTTATAATAGCAACTCTAAAATTGGATTATAATTACATTAAATCAGAGTTAAAGAAACTTGTATTGAAAGACCTAATAATAATAATAATAATAAATACAAGAAAATGCCTTTTCTTCTTTTCAGAGCTGGGCACCATGTGTCAGGCATTGTACTAAGTCCTTCACATGCTTTAATTTTTTCAACCCTCACAACAACTCTCTAAAGGACACATTAACTCCACCACACAGATGTGGAAACTGGGGCTCAGAGAGGTTAAGTAACTTGCCCAGGTTGCAGAGCTAGGCAGTGGGTGAACATGGGACCTCAAGCTCTAGTCTCTCTCTCAGAAGTAGCATGCTATTCCCATTACATGACGTAGGCTCCATAATTATCAGTGCTTTGGGGGTACTTTTCTTAAAACTTAAATAAATGGAGAAATGGCTCCTGTTCCTGGACAAGTTGTAAAGATGTAGTTTTTTCCACAGTTAATTTGCACATTTATTGCAACACCAATCAAATTCCCAACAGGACTTTCCTTGCAATTGGACAGAGTAGTTCCACCTTAGGCAAGAAAAACACGGACTATTTAGACAAAAAGAAAACAGATGGAAAGTGACTCCCATCCACTGGCAAAGTGTAGTAGTTAGGGGTCTTGGGTACTTGACTCAGATAGACCTGGGTTTGATTCCCAGCACTAATGCTTTATTTGCTGTGTGAATTTGGGTAGACCAATCTGAGTCTCAGTTTTCTTATCTGTAAAATGGGGCTGATGACGCCTGCTTTTCAGAATGGTGAGGATAAAATGAGTAAAGTTCCTGGCATGGCACATAATAAGCCCTCAACAAATGGCAGCTAGTAATAGTAGTAATAATAGCAGTCAGATTGGTAGCAGTAGTGCCAGATAGCAGTAGCCTCAATGAAGACATCTGTGCAGAGGTGTTAGAAATTAAGTTGCTAAGACGTCTGAGCTGGAGCTGCCTGGCTCAAATGCCTGATCTTCTTCTTGGCTTGCTTCTTTGTCTCTTTGGGTGGAACCCTCCCAGGAAGGGCAGTTTGAATGGACTGATGGCTCATCCTATGACTACAGCTACTGGGATGGCAGCCAGCCAGATGATGGCGTCCACGCGGACCCAGAAGAAGAGGACTGCGTGCAGATATGGTACAGGCCTACCAGTGGTGGGTACCCCTGAGACCAAGGCTCTTGCAGGGGAGCCCAGGAGGTGTCACAGGTGGGGAGAGCGGAGAAGGGCCTTGGGGGAAGAGGAGCACCTGATGGCCTGAGACTGGCAAATTGTTCAGCACCTTGGAGAGCGGTGGAGGTCACTAGGGTGTCGGGGGCATGGCCATTCGCCACAATGGATATGCTTTAAACAACATTAAATGGGGTTTGGTTGACACATAAACTCCAACTTGAATGAAAAGATGTTATAAATAGAAGCATGGGGGGAATAAAGACTTGTATAGAGAGTAGTCAAGGGGTGATGCTTCCATGTCAACTCAACAACACATCAAAGTGCAAGCCCCTTCCACAGACTCATGCTCCTGAAGCAAGCCACATGTGTGGTGGCATGAGGGTGTGGGTAGTGAGAAGAGTATAGACTTGAATTCAAATTCTGGCCCTGTTTCTTTCTAGTTCTGTGTCATTGCAGAGAATTACTTATCCTCTCTGAGATTCTGTTTCTTCTTCTATAAAATGGGCTTAATAATTTGTCCTACCTACAAGACTGCTGTGAGGATTAAAGGAGGCACAGTTGATATAGCACCGTGGCAAGAGCATGGACTCGGGAGTTGACTGCCCTTGTGTGAACCCCCGCTCCATCCTTAATGTGTAGCCCAAAGAGAATGCCTTAACCTCTTGGTGCCTCAGATTCTTTGTCTTCAAAATGTGGCTAATGATACTTAACTCACAGGTTAATGTGAATAAAAAAAGAAGATAGTGCTCATAGAATAGCTGCCATGCTCAGTATTCAGTATTAGCAATCACCAGCATCATCATGAATCATCACTTTCACACCAATGTTAAGAAATAGAAACAATATTCCCACTTTGCTGATGAGGAAAACGAGGCTCAGAGAAGTTCAGCAACTTGTTCAAGGTCACACAGCAAGCTAAGTAGTGGAGCTGGGTTTCAAATCTAGATCTACAGAACTCCAGACCCAGACACTTAATTGTTATTCCCTCTTTGCTCTTTTTTCTTTTCCTAATTAGGGGAGGGAGGTAGAGAACAGCTTATTTTCCTGGGAGCCCTCCTGGAGCCCTGGGTAGCCAGAGTTGGGCCAAGCCTCTGGCTGAAGTTCATCCTCCCATCCAAGGTGACAAGCCAGAATCAGCTTTATGCAAGAGTAAGGCTGGACAGCAGGCTTGTCAAGTATCAGCAAGAAAGGGCTGCCAGCATAGACACAAGGCCTATTGGAGATGGCTTTTACTTCAGAGGAGTGGTGGGGTTACTTTTATCTTGGCGGATGGATTTTCACCCAGATTCTCTGCTTCTTTCCATCACAGCTCTGAGGTCATGGAATGATAACACCTGCAGCCGGAAGTTCCCCTTTGTCTGCAAAATCCCATCTCTGACCATTCATTGATCCTGTCTTGTCCTACTGGTGTGAGCTCAACTCTAGTATCATCTTGTAGCTGTAACCAGTGTAGAATTGACATTGAATACATGTAAAACATACATAGGAAGTAAATCTCTTGGACAGAGATTTTAAACAAGCAGATCTTAATTATACAGGGTGGTCACTTGGCCAAGTGTCAGGAAAGCCAGCTCAAATTGGCTTAATTTTTTAAAGTGTTTTTTTTTTTAAATTGACCCAAGTAACAAAAATCCAGGGGTTGTTCTGATTCAGAGTTGAATCTCACTGGCCTGGCTCGGGTCACGTGCCCATCCCTGAAGCAATCACTTTGGCATATGCTAAGTGGCTAGCTCCTGCTTAGCTGTACATCTTTGGACAAAATGGGGTGGAAGTCACATTATCAGAGGCGCTGGGAGTGGGGGAAAATGCGGGGGGGTGTTGGTCAAAGCATACAAACTTTTGGAAATAAGATTAATAAGTTTGGGAGGCTTAATGTACAGCGTGATGACTATAGTTAATAATAATGTATTGTATTCCTGAAATTTGCTACGAGAGTAATTTTTTTTTTTGAGACAGAGTCTCACTCTGTTGCCCAGGCTGAAGTGCAATGATGCAATCACAGCTCACTGCAGCCTCAACCTCCTGGGCTCAGGTGATCCTTCCACCTCCAGTCCCCAGAGTAGGTGGGACTACAGGACGCTACAGGCGCATGCCACCACATCTAGCTAACTTTTGTATTTTTTTTTTTAAATAGAGACGAGGTTTCATCATGTCATCCAAGCTGGTTTCGAACTCCTGGGCTCAAGGGATCCACCCACCTCAGCCTCCCAAAGTACTGGGATTACAGGCATGAGCCACTGCGCCTAGCCAAGAATACATCTTAAATATTCCCGTCAACACATGGGCTCAAAGATGAGGCTGGTTCTTCAAAGGAAAACAAAAAGATTACCAAACTCATAAATTGCTGGTGGGAATGTAAAATAGTGAAGCCACTGTGGAAAAGTTTGGCAGTTCCTCAAAAAGTTAAACATAGAATTACATCTAAGCCAGCAATTCCACTCCTAGATCTCGACCTAAGAGAATCGGAAACAGGTATTTAAATATAAGTGGTCGGCCAGGTGTAGTGGCTCATGCCTGTAATCCCAGCACTTTGGGAAGCTGAGGAGAGAGGATCACTTGAGCCCAGGAGTTGAAGATCAGCCTGGGCAACATAGTAAGACCCCATCTCCATAAGAAAAATTTTTTAATTAGCCAAGCATGGTGATGCACATCTGTAGTCCCAGCTGTTTGGGAGGCTGAGATGGGAGGATCACTTGAGCCCAGGATATCAAGGCTGCAATGGACCATGATTGTGCTTCTGCACTCCAGCCTGGGTGACAGAGCAAGACCCTGTCTCAAAAAACAAAAACAAAAAAATGTGATCACAGCAGCATTATTGATAAAAACCACAAAAAAAATGAAGACAACCCAAGTGCTCACCAACAGATGAATGACTAAACAAATGTGGTCTATTCATAGGGTGGAATATTATTCAAGCATAAAAAGGAATGAAGTAACGATAGATACTACAACCTGAATGAACCTGAAAAACATTATGCTTCCAGTCACAAAAGACCACATGTTGTATGATTCCATATATATGAAATATCCAGAATAGGCAAGTCTATAGAGATGGAAAGTGGATTAGTGGTTGCCAGGGGATGTGTGGAGGGGGAATAGAAAGTGAGTGCTAATAGGTATGGGATTACTTTGTGAGGTGACAAAAATTATCTGCAATTAGATAGTGGTAATGGCTGCACAATATTGTAAATGTACAAGAAGCCACTGAACTGTACATTTTAAAATAATAGTTAAAATGATAAATTTTACATTATATGAATTTTTATTTTTATTTTTTGGAGACAGGGTCTCACTCTGTTGCCCAGTCTAGAGTGCAGTGATGCAATCACCTATCACTGCAGCCTCGACCTCTCAAGCTCAAGTGATCCTCCTGCCTCAGCCTCCCAAGTAGCTGGGACTACAAGAGCGCACCACCTCTCCCAACTAGGTTTTTTTTTTTTTTTTTTTTTTTCATAGAGACAGGGTTTCCCCATGTTGCCCAAGCTGGTGTCAAACTCCTGAGCTCAAGTGATCTGCCTGCCTCAGCCTCGCAAAGTGCTAGGACTACAGGCGTGAGCCACTATGCCTGGCCCATTACATGACGTTTACCTCAATTTTTAAAAATGTTACCAGAAGAAAGAATGCATGCCGGGCAGGAAAAGCAATAGATATTTATTAGCAGAAAGAACATTGGACAGAGAGGCAGGAGGCCTCAGTTCCATTTCCAATTCTGTGAGCCTTGTTTCTGCTTTGGTATGGACTGGGGTTGGGGGGAACCTGAAAATCTGGGCCCTCCAGTACCAACAAGGAAGCACAGAGAGATTAAAATGCACACAAAAAAATCAATTGGCATTTGGTAAATTGTGCCGCTTCTCAGATTTTTGCAGGAATATTCTTCTGAAAAGGATGTTAAAATGGGACTTTCCTATTGCTTCAGAATTGGTCCTGGGACCTACAACTGAAAGCAACAGGTACTAATTACCTCTCATTCTGAAGAGAGCAATGAACACATGGGACCATTCAACTACCCTTAGAGCTTATATAATGGTTTGCAGACCTGGCCTTACTACAATCGACCACATGAGTAGAGAAAGACAAACACTGAGATCGTTGGCCTTGTGGGGAGCATAGCGCCCACAGTTGAAAGGGTTTTTACCTTTTCTTCCTTTGAAAGTAGGAGGGGTTGCTTTCTCTCCATCTACAGTGTCAAGTGAGCAGAGCTTTAGGAAATTGCTTGTAGAGATTGGAGTGCCCATAAGAAAGATGCACTGGCTTCTCACTTCCCAGCAGAATGCTGGCTATGCTGTTAAAAATTCTGCCCTCCCCAGTACTACACTGGAGAGGAACTGGGTCAGAGACTCCTCAAGAATGCTTAATGCACCCAGACATGGTGGCTCATGCCTGTACTCCCAACACTTTGGGAGGCCAACATAGGAGGGTCACTTGAACCCAGGAGTACGAGATCATTCTAAGCAATATAGTAACACCCCACCTCTAAAAAGAAAAAAAAATTAGCCAGGTGTGATGGCATACACCTGTAGTCCCAGCTACTCTAGAGGCTGAGGTGGGAGGATTGCTTTACCCCAGGAGGTTGAGGCTACAGTGAGCTGTGATCATGCCACTGCATTCTAGCCCAGGTGACAGAGTGAGATCCTATCTCATTAAAAAAAAAAAAAAAAAAAAAAAAAGATGCTTTAAACATTTATCCTGCGAATTTAGGAGTGTAAGGAGGAAAACTTTTTCTCTATCCTCTTATGTTCCTTTCTGGAGGCCTGTGAATCAAACTGTCAAAAGACAGATTAACAGAAGAAAAGGTATAAGAGTTGTATAGATGTTTTTACGTGGAGAGGGACTTCATAGAAAAGAAGTGAAAACCCAAAGAGGTGGTTAGACTTGGGGGCTTATCTACCATTTTAACAAAGGGGGTAAGTTGTGGAGAAGTGACTAGACAAAGGAAAAGAGGGTTGGCTTTCTAGAGGCAGCAAATTGTGGGAAGGTGACTAGGCAATGGATGGTAGATAAAGATTGTTTAGTAAGGTTTGTTATGTAGACTCAAGTGATCTCCAGGGTCATTCACCTCTTCCTGGTACAGGAGAGGGGACCACCTTTACAATGGAAATTTATGTTACATTTACAAAGGGAAATTTATGCTCTGCTTTTAGGCAAATGTGGAGTCCTAATTAGGGAAAATGAGTCAGGCTGCTGGGACCAAGGGAAAGCAAAAAGAGAAAGCTGATTAGCTATAAGTCTGCCTTTCTTCATGGTCCAGGACACAGAGCCTTCCTGCACAAAAAGCTCACAATCTTCATGCACCCAGCACTCACCAGACACACCTGCAAGTTAGCTCACTTCAACCCTGGCATTATCAGTGCTGCCCGTAGCACTCTTCAGCATAAGCACCATTCTATAACATCCCCAGCAAGCCTTTGTTTCCTTGCAGACAGCCCCTTCTCTGCTGTGCTGCCCATTGCAACCTTGCAACATACTTTCATAGTTTCTCTAATAAATCTGCCTTTCTTTACCTACAACTTCTTGGTAAATTCTTCTTATCTCTGCACCACTGGCCCCAGATAGTTGCCGATCACCCATGACAGCAATAGGGGGAGGACAGAGAGCTCTTCATTTGTCTGCCATTTATTTTTATTTTTTATAGAGATGAGGTCTCACTATGTTGCTCAGGCTGTTCTCAAACTTCCAGCCTCAAGCGATTCTCTTGCCTCGGCCTCACGAAGTGCTGGGATTACAGGTGTGAGCCACTGCACCTGGCCTGGTATTTCTTAATTGTCTTTAACTCAAAACAGTCCTGATGCCAAAGTGGCGTATTTTGGGATATCATATTCTGATCCCTCTTAGGGGCATCCATGAACAGATTCTGATGCCTACTGGGACCCCAAGTTAGGAAGCTTCTTGTAATTTCCCAAAGCAGAGAGGGGAAAGAGGCAGTGGCAAGTGGGCCTGGAAAGGAAAGGATGGACACATGAGCCTGGATGGTTCAGAAAAGGACTTTAGTGGCTCCCCTTGGCTCCACGAGAAGAAGCACAGAGGTTAGAGTTGCTGCTCTGTGCCTCAGCTGCCCCTTCTGTAAAATGAGGACAATAAGTATGTACCTCACCAAGGTCAGAATTCAATGAAATAACATATGCGGAGGCTTTGAACAATGCCTGCACATCGCGCTATGTAAGTTAGGTATTATTCTTACTGTATTTTTTGGCAAATGCTATAAAAATGCCATGGAACAAGCCACCCCAAAACTCAGTGGCTTAAAACAACCACTGTTTATTATAACATACGCATGTCTGTGGGTCAGCTGGCCTATGCTGGGCTTTGCTGGGCAGCTCTGTGACTCATTGCAAATCTCAAAGATAGCCAGGGTGCCTCTGCTTCACCATGTGTCGGGAGTGCCAACCTCGCTCTTGGGCTGGCATTACAAACTGCCTTAATTAGAAGGTTAACTGCCTTTGAAGTTCAGCACTCTGAGTTCTGAGTTTGTGTTGTGCCAGACTCCTGTTGACTCCAACAGGGATGGCACCATGTCTGAAAGGCCAAAGAAGAGACCCAGAGCCAGTGAAGGAGGCATAGCATTTATTGGGATTTATGTACAGGGCGGTCTGGAAGTGTCAAACTGAACAGGAAAAACACTATCACCATCCTTGAAGGGGGATCTGGGTGGCGCATCTCCATGTTACCACATCCGGAATCAAAAAGGCATGGATTCAAATCCCCCATTGACACTTATTGTGTGAGCTCATGGAAGTGGCTTAACCTCTCTGAGTTTTGGTTTCCTCTGTAAAATGGAGACACAGTCCCTTCCAGCCCTGACTGTGATTTATCTGGCAGCTTTGGGGCCTGAGGAACTCTGCATAGGTGACTTTTTCAGAAAACTAAAATTTATTCCTTGAGCATCACAAGTATCTCTATTTTTCCATTTTGGATGGAAATCTTTCTAAACCATGTTACGCATCTCCCTGCTTCCTTAAACAGAAGATCCTCAAGGAGATTCACCTTTTCTTGATTCAGGGTAATACGCGCTGCATCTGCTTCAGGCATTTTTGTCTTCTGTCATATCTGGGTGCCACTGTGCCAGTCTCTGACAGCCCGCAGGACTCACAGCCTTTCCTAGATTGTTGCTTCTGGGACGCTGTGGGCAGGGAAGCCAGGCAACCAAGCCTGAGAACAACCCCAGGCAGAGAGAGAGAGAAGGAGGAGGAGAGGGGAAGGAGGAGGAGGGAGAAGAAGGGAGAGGAAGGAGGAGGGGATGAGTGGAGGGGGAGGAGGAGAGGGGAAGAAGGAGGAGGAGAGGGAAGAAGAGAGAGGAAGGAGGAGGGGGTGGGTGGAGGGGGAGGAGGAGGAGGGAAAGTGGAAAGGGGAGGAGGGAAAAGAGGGAAGGGAGGAGGGGGAGGAGGAGGAGGGAAAGTGGAAAGGGGAGGAGGGAAAGGAGGGAAGGGAGGAGGGGGAGTGGGGGTGGAGAGAAAAAACAGATGATAGGTAACAGATTAATAATAAATAACAGATAAATGATGGATGGATGGATGGATAAATGAACATGACAGATATTGTTAGAGATAGATGATAGGTAGATAATAGTCTATGATATGGTAGCCATGTATCTATCTATCTGTCTATATATCATATCTATATGATAGTCCTTGGATAGTCATATATGGATAGGTAATAGATAGTCTCTCCCTTAGGGAAGATAGAGAGACAGACAGATAGATGGATAGGCAGGTGCTCATGACTATAAATATATGTCACCTATACAATCATTGTTAACAAAACATAGGACCATATTGTGTGGATGCATCAAAGTATTTAACTATTCTTGTTAGCTATTTAGATTGCATCTAATTTTTCACTGTTACAAATAACACAGTGATAGGCATCTCTGTACACATGTTTAATTATATTCTTGGGGATATATTCCTAGAAGTGGCATTGGTAGTTCAAAATGTATGCACATTTTAAAGATAGAATTACTTTTTATTATACAAAATAATGCAGGTGGCTTTTGGAGGCAGTGAATATGTTTATCAGTGTGATTGTGGTAATGGCATCACAGGTGTATGTATGTGTCCAAACTCATCAAATTGTATGCCTTAAACACTTGCAGTTTTTAAAATATACAATTATACCTCGATAAAGCTGATTTTTAAAAATGTATGTGGACTACAAAAAAAGGGAAGGCTGTGTGTGTGTGTGTGTGTGTGTGTGTGTGTCTTCTACAATCCCACCAGCCAGAGATAACTACTACTGACCACAGTAGTGGACTGTTTTCCAGCTATGTATACTGTGATGGCCATGAGAATGCACCACGCAGACCTCCTACTACCAGGGCCATGATTGACTGAGGGCCCCAGGTTTTGTGTTTGAAACTCTTCACTTCATTTGCATTCCCAGGTAATGACAGAGCGACCTGGAGTACTAAGGCAGGCATATTCCTGGGAGACACAAGATTCCTTTGGTGGTGAACTTGGCTGAAGGAGGCCCCAATGGGCCTGCTGAACTTGCCTTAGGCTGCAGGATGATCTAGGACGCCTCCACCCTCTCCTTCACATGGCATCACACTTGCATCATAGTCTGACTATAATAGGGAACATTATGTCATTTATGTTCATAAACTCCCACAGAACTACACTCTGTATTTCTATAAACGCATATATCTGTAAATAGAGATTAAAAGGCCTGGAAAGATACACAC
This sequence comes from Homo sapiens, assembly GCF_000001405.40. Lineage (NCBI taxonomy): Eukaryota > Metazoa > Chordata > Mammalia > Primates > Hominidae > Homo > Homo sapiens. The sequence goes on from NC_000016.10 coordinate 19,316,372, forward strand.
GAAACTGATAACAGAGAGGACTTCAGGGATTGGGGGAAATGGCCTCAAGGCAGAATTTTAGATTTGTCTGTAATGCTTGATTTTTTTAAAACTATGATCATATATTCATGTATTACTTGTGCAGCTAAAAATACAGAGCTATTTTTAAAATGAAACATATTTCAACCCAATTCTCTCTTATAACCTTTAGGGCTAGGTTTGGCTTGGCCACAAATCAGGACCAGCTGCAGTGGATTGGGACAAAACACTGACATGTCTAGCATAATTATTGCCAAAACGCTTTCAAGAAACAATGCCAATGTACACCCTAATCTAGGCAAAGATGACAAAAATAATAACATTCATTGCTGGTTCTGGTTTTAATTGATGATTCTTTGATTGCTACTGAAGATGAGCATTTTTTTCCCATGGCATTTTGGCCATCTTCTGGATGTGGTAGGGAGAGGATGCCAATTTTTCCACTTGCTCCTAGGCTGGGAAATGCCCACCTCCCACAGCCTAGGGACCATTTAATTAACGCCTGCCCCACCCCCTCTAGAACCAAAGAACAACCAGATGTTCAGTGGATTCCGCCTCCGCAGAAACCTATACTTTACCCCGCACCCACCAGAGTCATCACTATTTGCTTTACAATAGAAAGAATCCACCAGTCACATGGGCCTGTCAAAGCCAAGACTTCTGGGGAGCATTGGTCTGCATTAATAATACAATAGATCCACTAGGGTGAGTCTCCAGCTGCGCTGTATGTGTGGATGCCAGGGAGAGATTGGGAGAAGCCCTGCAGGAGCCCTCAGAGACTCCATATGCCCCGCTCTCTTCCATGTAGGCCTTGGCAGCTTGATATGAGCTGGCACCTCCTTGACAAGTCTCGCTGTGCCTCATCCACCACCAGTGTTATTAACTCATTACCTTTCATCCATGTGGGCCAGCCCACTGCCAGCCCCAGCCATTAGCCTGCACCCTCACCCTCCGTGGGCTGTTTCATGGAGGAGGGTGTTGCAAAAAAGTTGCACTACAACCTGGTCCTGTTGGGAGAGTCCTTTCCTGCTCTGGGCTCCACTCGAAGCTGACAACCCTTCATGCTTCCTGGAAGAGCATCCCTAGGTGTAGAATTTGCTGCATCCAGCACCCAAAGAGCCCTGCCAGTCATTGTGCTTCTCTCTTTACCAAAACCCTGTCTCTAAAAAAAAAAAAAAAAAAAAAAAAGCCAAGCATGGTGGCGTGGCTCTGTAGTCCCAGCCACCTGGAGGCTGAGGTGGGAGGATAGCTTGAGCCTTTGGACAAGGAGGTGGAGGGTGCAGTGAGTTATGATTGTGCCACTGCACTCCAGCCTGGGTGACAAAGTGAGACCTTGTTTTTGTCTCAACAAAAAAAAAAAAAAAAGAAAGAAAGAAAAAAGAAAAAAATATGAAATACCAGTTCCAATTTCCAATGTCTGTAAATAAAGCCTTATTGGGTTACAACTGCACTTTAGTTGTATCCCAGTAAGATTACAAGACATGATAATTTGTCTTTTACTTTGGAGTAGATATACCAGCATTCTCCTGATTCTTGGACTCCTAAAAAAGCTTTTGGGTTTTGTTAGTTTGTTTTTCGTTGAGACAGGATCTCACTCTGTCACCCAGGCTGGAGTGCAGTGGCGTGATCATAGCTCATTGCAGCCTCGACCTCCTGGGCTCAAGCAGTCCTCCAACCTCAGTCTCCCAAGTAGCTGGGACTATAGGCATGCACCACCACATCCAATTTTTTCTTTCTTTTCTTTTCTTCCTTTCTTTCTTTTCTTTTTTTCTTTCTTTCTTCTTCTTCTTTTTTTTTTTTGAGACCGGGTCTCTTGTGTTGCCCAGTCTGACCTCAAACTCTTGGTCTGAAGTGATCCTCCTGCCTTGGCCTCTCAAAATCCTGTATGCCAGGATTACAGGCATAAGCCACCATTCCCAGCCCTAAAAAAAATGTTTTTTAGGAGTCCAAGGATCTTTTTGTTGTTGTTGTTGTTTTGAGACAGAGGAGTCTCGCCCTTTCGCCCAGGCTGGAGTGCAGTGGTGCAATCTCGGCTCACTGCAACCTCCGCCTCCCGGGTTCCAGTGATTCTCCTGCCTCAGCCTCCCAAGTAGCTGGGATTACAGGTGACCACCACCATGCCTGGCTAATTTTTGTATCTTTTTTTTTTTAGTAGAGACGGGGTTTCACCATGTTGGTGGCCAGGCCGGTCTCAAACTCCTGACCTCAAATGATTTGCTTGCCTCAGCCTCCTAAAGTGCTGGGATTACAGGCGTGAGCCACCATGCCTGGTCCAGGAATCTATTAAATTTATTATAGTAATAATAGAATGGTAGGAGAAAAATGGTAAGCACCACAATTTCTCTTGGGGACAGAACTGCCTTTATTCAGGAAAACGTCTTGATATTACACTTGATGCGAGGAGAAGAGCCAAGGGAACAAAAGAGGTGGCCAAACTGCATATTCAAAACGAATTGGAATTTGGGAAAGAAGTGAACGGAGAAGCTAGCTCACAAGGATTTCTGTGACATGCACCCAAGTATAATTGTCAGAAGGTTAAAAAATAACTGTCATACAAATACATGGTGAATATGTATCAAAGAGTTATTTAACTCATTTATGAAGGAAACAGCAGGAGGGTAAACTGGTTCAGAGATAGGAAAACCAGTGCACACACCCCACCAAATTTACACACACACCCATGCACATGCATTTAGTGGGACCAAGAAAGATGGAATGAATGTCTGAGTTAAATACAAAACTAGTCAGTCATCTACAGAACAATAAAACCTTTAGGCTAATCCACCATCTGTTCTTGCATGGCCCATGAACTAAGAATTTTTTTAAACAGTTGACAAAAGTACAGTATTTTGCGGCATATGAAAATGATACGGGGCCAGGTGTGGTGGCTACGCCTGTAATCCCAGCACTTTGGGAAGCAGAGGTGGGAGGATCACTTGAGCCCAGGAGTTCAAGACCAGCTTGGGCAACATAGCAAAAACATGTCTCTACAAAAACAAACAAACAAACAAAATTAGCCAAGCATGGTGGCGTGGACCTGGAGTTCCAACTACTTGGAGGCTGAGGTGGGAGGATAGCTTGAGCCCTCGACAAGGAGGTAGGGGCTGCAGTGAGTTTTGATTGTGCCACTGCACTCCAGCCTGGGTGACAAAGTGAGACTGTTGTCTCAAAAAAAAAAAAAAAAGGAAAAAGGAAAGAAAATAATATGAAATACCAGTTACAGTGTTCATAAATAAAGTCTTATTGAGATACAGCTACACTCATTCATTTATGTGTTTTCTGTGGCTGCTTTCACATTGTAATGGCAGAATTGACAGCGACAGAGCCTGTATGGCCCACGAAGCCTAAAATATGTATTATCTGTCTCCTTACTCAAAAAGTGTGCTGGCCTCTGTTCTAGGATAATGACATGTCAATAATCTTTGAGGTTATTATCTTCTCTACTGGACAGAAATCAGTTGCACCCCTACAGGACAAAAATCATTTGCAACCTCAATTTTCTACAATTTAACATCAAATGTTATAGAATCCAAGCCCTAATCAATAATAAAATCAACATTACATCCTCTAGAGAATCAGATAACCCTTAGGCAGACAGTTTTCTAATTTGATTTGGAAGTTACGCAGCTATCTTTTTTACTTTATTCCAAACTTTCAGATAATTGGTCTTCACACTTGAAACCAAAAGATCAGTAATATAGACTCGATGGTCTACAATTTGTGATCTAGAAGGCCACTTCCTCCACGGGACTTCTCTGAATTGAAGCTCTGAAAGCCCTTTTAGGAAATTAGAATGTTGAGGCTTCTCACTGAGCGGAGGACAATCAGGTCTGTTGAAAACAGGAGGGATCGCGGAAAGAAGGTGGCTTGAAGGTTGAAATTTGTGAGCCTTGATGCATGGTGCCACCCTCAACAGGTGGCTAGGGCCAGTGGCTGACTGGTGTGGAGGTACAAGAGCTCTGTTCTCTTGCCTCAAATCACAGTAAACTCTGGGGTGCAATTTAGACTCTAGAGCTCACCATGGCTTCAGGTTGAGGGTAGATTTCCCTTTCTTACTTAATTTATTCCAGGCTTTTTTGCTTCTCTTCTTTCCATACAAATTTATCCGGCGAGCACGCCCTCAATAAGTCACATACACCTTTGTCTTAGACTCTGCTTTTAGGTAATGTGAGCTCAGAGAGCAGGAATTCCTGAGTATCTGGAAATTGTACCTGTTAAGTGCTGGTCTGGGGGTTCTGAGTAGATGATAGCAACTTTCCATCCCTCTATGAACATGTGAAATGTCAAATTCTAACACGTCTATCTCATAAATTCAAAATATCCCCATGCCCCTTAGATGTTTCTGTATTGATAAGATATATGAAAGAAGGGAAGCAAAGGTGGGGTGTGCTATGGCACCATATGGTGACTTCACCCTCATGACCCCATCTCAGAAACATGTGGCTAAGAGGTGGGAGGCAGGGGCTAGAAACAGGAGAAATATGAACTGGCATAAATATTCCAGTGGGATGAAATCCCAACATTAGCACTTGGACTTTGGGTCCAGCCTGCTGGGAACAAACTGTGAAACTCCCTGGGTCGGCAATGACTCTGTGATGTATTGATAAACCTAAGATCCAGAGTAACCCACAGTTAAATATAAAAACCCACCTACCCTAGGGCTGGTGAGGTGGGGGTTGGAGGTGATGGCTAAGGAGTACAGGGCTCTCTATGTGGGAGCATCTCCACAGGCTGCTTGGACCTCCTCACAGCATGGTTGCTAGATTCCAAGTGATAGGAAGTAAATGCTGGGAATGAGTTTCTTTCTTTCTTTCTTTCTTTTCTTTCTTTCTTTCCTTCTTTCTTTCTTTCTTTTCTTTCTTTCTTTCCTTCTTTCTTTCTTTCTTTCTTTTTTTCTTTCTTTCTTTCCTTCTCTTTCTTTCTCTCTCTTTCCTTCTTTCTTTTTCTTCTCTCTCTCTTTTCTCTCTCCTCTCTCTCTTTCTCTCTCTCTTTTTTCTTTCCTTCTTTCTTCCTTCTCTCTCTCTTTCTCTTTCTTTCTTCTCTGTCTCTTTCTCTCTCTTTTTCTCTTTCTTTCTTTCGTTCTTTCTTTCCACCTTTCTTTTGTACAGGGTCTCGCTATGTTACCCAGGCAGGCCTTGAACTCCTGGGCTCAAGCAATCCTCCCACCTCTGCTTCTCTGAGTGCTGGGACTATAAGCATGAGCTGCTGCATTCTACAGCTGTGAGTTTCCTGAGGTCTGGGCCTGGAAACTGGCATGGAGTCACTTCTGCCATATTCTTCTACATGAGATTAACCTTTAAATCAGTAGACTTTGAGTAAAGTAATTACCTTCCTATGATGGTAAATTTTATGTGTCAATTTGACTGGACCATAGGGTGCCTGGATATTTGGCCAAATATTATTCAGGGTGTGTGTCTCTGAGATGAAATTCACATTTGAATAGGTAGACTGAGTAAAAAGATTGCCCTTTCTAATGTGGGTGGCCTCATCCGGTCAGCCGAATGCCCAACTAGAACTAAAAGGCTGACCGTCCCCTGAATAAGAGAGAATTATTCTTGCTTGACAGCCTTTGAACTGGAACATCAGCCTTTTTCCTGCCTTTGGACTCAAACTGAAACATCAGTTCTTTCTGGGACTCAAGCCTGCCAGCCTTCAGACTGGAACTACACCAGCAGCTCTCCTGGATCTCAGGCCTTCATATTCAGGCAGGAAATATACCATCAGCTCTCCTGGGTCTCCAGCTTGCCCATCCACCCTGCGGATCTTAGGATTTCCCAACCTCCATAATCATGTGAGCCAATTTCTTATGGTAAGTATATCTCTTCTCTGTGTGTGTGTGTGTGGTGTGTGTATCCCACATCCTATTGGTTTTGTTTCTACAAAGAACCCTTACACATCTCCATAATGTGGGTGGGCCTTATCCAATCCATTGAAAACCTTAAGAAAAAGACTGATCTCCCCCAAGCAAAAAGGAACTCCACCAACAGACTTTGAACTGCAGCATCAATTCTTCCCTGGGTCTCCTGCCTTCCTACCCTGCAGATTTTGGACTTGCCAACCTCCCTACTTGTGTGTGTGCCAATTCCTTAACATCAAAATGTTTAGATATTTATTTATTCATTGATTTTATGCACATCCTGTTGGTTCTGTTGCTCTGGAGGACTCTGACTAACATGCCTTTCAATGAGGAATAACTCTGCCCATTAGTCGTCATGGCTTCATCAGTGACTTGTTATCTGGCCACTCAAAGTAGAAGCTCATCTGTGAGAAGGAGAAATAGGGGTAAGCAAAGAGTCAGGCAGAGTGTCCACCCCCCTTAAAGGAGAAGGCTTTAGAGGGTCCAACGCAGGTGGTAAGACCCTTCAGACTGTCCTTCAGATTCTTCCACCCACCCAGGAATGTCAAGGGCACCGTGGACCCAGAGGTCTTTCTCAATGTTGTCCTCCCAATGTGACAGCCTGTACGGCCATTGCAAAGTAGGACACAGAATTGCAGGAGGAAGTGGATGTTCTGGGATTCTTTAGCCGTATCTTTGGGGCTGTTGACTGGTCAAGGAAAGAGAGAGCCTCAGAGCATAGCAAAAGGAGGGCAGGGCTAGGAATCAGAAAGCCCCAGTTCTTGCAAGAGTTCCAACACTTACTATTGCTGTGAGTTGAGTCCATTACTCAAGTATCTGTCTATTCTTCAATAAAATGGGGATAACAGCATCTCCTCTGCCTGTACATGGACTAGAGTGTACACACTAACTGAGCTAACAGGTCTGAGAATCTGCATATCAGTCAGGGCTGCATTTCAGTCAAGAGAGGCAACATCACCAGGAGATATATGTCCTAAGGGATTTATATAGTGATTTGACTCTACGCAATGGTGGGAGCTGGGGGCACAGTCTACATGAGGCCGCTGTTTCTGTGTCTTGTGCTAGAACCTGACATCCATGGGACACATAGGCAGGAAAGGATGATGGACATGAAGTGGAGAATCGCGAAGACAAACGGGAACCTGAGAGACTGAGCTGGAACTAAGAGGACAGGCCAGAACTCACGTAGGTCTGTCACTGCCTCCAAGTCTCCAGCATCAATGATGGGAGAATCCTGCAGCAGTAGCTGATGCTCTTCATTGTGCAGTTTAACGAGCATCTGAGCCAGGAGTGGAGAGAACGGAAAGAGGATCCAGGAACTGTGGGCCTGGCTGCTTCCCCACCAACCCAGTGAACCAGCAGATAAGAGACAATGTGCGTGAGCTGCATCACCCCCTGCAGGCTCCGGCCTCCCCCAGCACAGAAAACAACATGGCTGCTGCCCCACATCCACCTTCTGAATCTTACTCAGAATGTCCCTGTGGCTCAAGTCAACCTGGAACTCTGCAGGGAAGTGAGTTCTGAGAAATGAAGTTCAATTTTCGCTAAGTTGGCACAATACAAATCCATCACAATTTGTCACATCCAAATTACCAGGACAATAAAAGGGGAGAAAAATCCAAAAAGCTTCTTTCCAGCAAAGCTCACTTAATTGGAAGCATATTGGGGCCATGAAATAGCTTGGTGTCAAGCCAGACCCCTGTTGTCTCTAATAGGTTTGGCACCATGTCCACCAGGCCAAAGGAGATACCCAGAGCCAGTGAATAAGACACAGGGTTCATTGAGGATTCAAATACCGAGCAGTCCAGGAGTGGCAGGCTGGACAGGAGGACCACCACCATTTGTAAAAAGCATGCAGTTTATATGCCAGTTTTCACTTAGCATCCTCCACCTAGCAACCTCCACCTAGCAATCTCCATTTAACCCAACACAAAGGGCCTCGATCCCCCAGACAGCCTGCATTTCAAGGGATAAGCCAGAAATTCAGACGCCCTTCATAGATAAGGAGTGAATCTTCAAATTGGCCACTCCCAGATTCCTTAGCTCAGAAATCCAAACACACATTCTTCCTAAACCATAGTATCATTCTCAGTGTCTGCTTGAGTTTTCGCTGTCAGATGCGTCTGCCATTCACTTGGTTATGGACAGCTCTCTGTAGAGTGGAGGTAATAATATTACCATCATGAAATTACACACAAGTGACTTTTGTTTTTCCCCATGCAGTTGTTGAAGCACTTTGGAAAACCCAAGGCCTACAGTTTCTTCATTTCTTCTATTAAAAATAATTAAGAGGCCGGGCCTGGTGGCTCACGCCTGTAATCCCAGCACTTTGGGAGGCCAAGGCAGGTGAATCGCTCGAGGTCAGGAGTTTGAGACCAGCCGGGCCAACATGGCAAAACCCTGTCTCTACCAAAAATACAAGAGTTAGCTGGGTGTGGCGGTGCACACCTGTAATCCCAGCTACTCAGGAGGCTGAGGCAGGAGAATCACTTGAACCCAAGTGACAGAGGTTGCAGTTAGCTGAGATTGCACCACTGCACTCCAGCCTGGGCAACAGCATGAGATCCTGTCTCAAATAATAATAATAATTATAAGGAATATTATTCAGCCATAAAAAGGGAATGGAGTTCTGATGCATGCTACAACACAGATGAAGCTTGAAAACATTATGCTAAGTGAAGCAAGCCAAACACAAAAGGACAAATATAGCACGATTCTACTGAGAAGAGGTACCCAAAGCAGGCAAATTCATAGAGACCAAAAGCAGACTGGGAGGGCTAGGGGGAGGCAGGAATGGGGAGCTATTGTTTAACCAGTGAAGAGTTTCTGTTAGGATGGATGAAAGAGTTCTGGAAATGGTCCAGGAGTGATGGCTCACGCCTGTAATCCCGGCACTTTGGGAGGCCAAGGCTGGAGGATCACCTGAGGTCGGGAGCTCAAGACCAGCCAGACCAACATGGCGAAACCCTGTTTCTACTAAAAATACAAAAATTAGCCCGGCATGGTGGCATACGCCTGTGATCACAGCTACTTGGGAGGCTGAGGCGGGAGAATCGCTTGAACCGGGAGGTGGAGGTTGTAGTGAGCCGAGATCACGCCACTGCACTCCAGCCTGAGTGACAAAGTGAGACTCCGTCTCAAAACAAAAACAAAAACAAAAACAAAAACACCAAGAAACAACAAAAAAAGTAACACTTCTGGAAATGGATAGTGGTGATGGTTGCACAACATTGTGAGTGTGCTTCATGCCCTGAATTGTACACTTAAAAAATGGCTAAGGTGCTCAATTCAGCAGCACATATACTAAAATTGGAATGATATAGAGAAGATTACCATGGCCTCTAAAAAATGTAAAAATAAGAAAAAAATGGCTAAGCTTGGAGGAATGCTGAGAAGATTGTCAAAGCATACAAAATCTCAGGCAGGAGGAGTATATGTTGTTTTGAGTTCTATTGCACGGTGAAGCGAATATAATTAATAATAGAGTATTGTACATTTCAAAATTGCAAGAGAGTAAATTTCAAATGCTCTCACCACAAAAACATGTTAAATATTTGAAGTGATGGATACGTTAACTAGCTTGATTTAATTATTCCACATTGTATTCATAAATCATAGCATCACTTTGCACCCCACACATTTATGCAATTATAAATTGTCAGTTTACAATAAATGACTTTTAGGTTTAATGGTAAATTTAAAGTTAATGGTAAAGCTAAAATGGTAAATTTTGTTGTGTATATTCGATCACAATTAAAAAGTAAATAAATGAGTGGGTACCTACTATGTGCCTGGGAAAGCTTCATTCTCTCCTGTGGTGTCTGATTTAAAAGAACTTCCAGGGCCCAAATCCAGAGGATTTGCCCAGAGGTAAAAGAATCAGTTGCTGGGAGCCTCTGCTATATTTCTCAACCCAGCCTCTTCCATGGAGGTGCCAATAATCCAACTGGACAGATGGAGGGCCATTTTTACCCCAGTCCCAACAGAACATTCACCAAATAAAAATAGCCTTGCCCAGAGGGTTTCCTCTCAACCAGGCAGGTTTCTTCCCATCCAAATAGGGAGGGATCCCCACTGATTGTGATACTTACCATGAATTCCAGGAAGCCAGAAATAGGAATGAGCCTCTGAACCTCTACGCTGCCGTCCTTTGTTTGCAGCCCTGCTGGCTCCTAGAAAGGGCCTGTACAATCCCATCCACCCACCTACATCTTACCTATCTTCAAACGATAGCCCAAGTTTTGCCTTCTCCAGGAAGTCTCTCTCACTGCCCAAGCCTGGAGTCTGCAAAGGGCTGGAGGAAATTTCTCCCCTTTCCTGCAGTCAAAATATACCTCCTATTTGGCCATATTGTTTCCTTGATTTCCCTATTAGACAGAATATTCTAATTCTAATGGTGCCAGTGCCATTCATGAAATTCTTACAGTGTACCAGGCAAGATGCCACCCAATTTACATTAACCCTCTCATTTACTTCTCACAACAATCCTATATAATGAGCCTTACACTTATCTCCATTTACAAATGAGGAAACTGAGGTTCAGAGAGGTTAAGTAACTTGCCCAAGGGCATACAGTCAATAAATAGAAGCACTGGAATTGGATCCAACTCTGACTCCAGAAACTATGCACAGAACCACTAAGCCTTGGCTTCCACACTTTTTAGACAATGACCCTCAGGAAGATATACATTTTACACGGTGACCCAGTACACACCCACATGTGCACCAATGCACACACACAACAAAAACAAAATTTCACAAAACAACACTTACCATATCTATTCTAATTATTATTTTTTGAATAACACATTTTTATGTGTTATTGGTGAAATGCACATAACATAAAGTTTATCATCTTAACCATTTTTAAGTTTACAGTGGTATTAAGCACATTCACATTGTTTTGCAACTATTATCATAATCCTTCTCCAGACCAGATCTCTATCTCTCTCCTCTTTCTCTGTTATAAAATAGTTATAAAATGTTACATGAAATATATATAAATACATATACATCATATATATATATATATATATATATATATAGAGAGAGAGAGAGAGAGAGAGAGAGAGAGAGAGAGAGAGATGAGGTCTTTCTGTGTTGTCCAGGCTGGTCTTGAACTCCTGGCCTCAGGCAATTCTCCCACCTCAAATTACAGGCATGAGCCACCACACTAAACCTCCAGATATTTTTTCATCTTGCAAAACTAAAGCTCTTTGTTCACTAAACAATATCTCTCTATTCCCTCCCACCTCAACCTTCTCCCCACCCAACCAGCATTCTACTTTCTCTCTATGAATTTGACTACTCTGGGTACCTCATATAAGCAGAATCACACAGTATTTGTCTTTTTGTGACTGGCTCGTTCATAGCCACCTTGCTGTCTTCTGGTTACTATTTGCTTTGAATATCTTTTTCATCCTTTCACTTTCACCCTATTTGTATCCCTAGATCTAAAGTATCTTGTTGACAGCGTATAGTTGGATGGTGTTTTTTTAAGTGATTCATTCTGCCAATCTCTGTTTTTAGATTGGATAATTTAATCCATTTAAATTTAAAGTAATTACTGAGGGACTCAGTTTTTGTCATTTTGCTATTTGCTTTCTATATGCCTTATGCTTTTTTGTCCCTCATTTCCTGTGCTCCTGTCTTCTTTTGTGTTTATTTGATATTTTTGAAGTGACATGTTTTAATTCCCTTCTCATTTCCTTTTATGTATAAATGTATATTCCACTATTTTCCTTGTAGTTACCATGGGGATTACATTTAACATCCTAATGTTATAACACTCTGATCTGAATTTAAACCAGCATGACTTCAATAACATACAAAAATTCTGCTTCTGTCAGCTCTGTCCCCACCCCTGTTTAGTTATTCATGTTGCAAAGTTGTGTCTTTATACATTGTGTATCCAAAACCAAAAACTAGTAATTTCTTATGCATTAATCTTTTAAATAGTGTAGAAAACAAAATGTACACTAATACGAACCAAAGTTACTATAATACAATCTTTTATAATTACCCATGTATTTATTTTTATTAAAATATTTATTTCCTCATACAGCTTTGAATTACTGTCTAGTGTTCTTCCATTTCAACCTGCAGGACTTCTTTTAGCATTTCTTGCAGGGCAGGTCTAGTGGTAATGAACTTCTTCAGTTCATTTTTGTTTATTTGGGGATGTCTTAATTTCTCTTTTACTTTGGGAGGACAGTTTTGCCAGATACAGAATTCTTGGTTCACAGTTTTTTTTTTTTCAGTACTTTGACTATATCAGTCCACTGCCTTCTTGCCCTCAAAGTTTCTAATGAGAAATCTGCTGATAATCTTATTGAGGATCCCTTATATGTGACAAGTTGCTTCTCTCTTGATATTTTCAAGATTTTTTTCTTTATCTTTGGCTTTCAACTGTTTTATTATAATGTGTTTTGGTAGGAGTCTCTTTGAGTTCATCCTATCGGAGTTTATTGAACTTCTTGGATGTTTATGTCTTTCATCATTTGGGGAAATTTTCAGCCATTAGTTCTTTTTTTTTTTTTTTTCTCAGTGATTATTCCCTTTATTTTTACGTAATGTAAATGTAGCTAGCAGGTTTAAAAAAAAAACTTTTACTAGAAGCTGATATATATCTCTTAACATCACTATCTATTTAATTTTTTTTTTTTTTTGAGACAGGGTCTCTTGCTCTGTCACCCAGGCTGGAGTGGCAGTGTTGCAATCTCAGCTCACTGCAACCTCCGCCCCCCAGGCCCAAGCGACTCTCTGGCCTCAGCCCCCCAAGCAACCGGGACCACAGGTGCGTGACACCACACCTGTCTAATTTCAGCCATTATTTCTAAAAAAAAAAAAACAAACAAAAAAATCTCCCTGCCCCTTTCTCTCTCTTTTCTTGTGGGACCCCCCCCCTCCCAGGTTGAGGAGAGCAAAAGAAAAGAAAAAAAAAGGGCCCTTTAAATCCCCTGGAAGTTGCTTCAGCCAGAGGGGGAGGAGCTTGCAATAGCATAGGGAGGTGGGCAACAATGGCTACCCACCATGTGTCCGCACCGTCATAATCAGGAGCAGCAATCACAATCAGAACACAGAGCCCCAATTTTTTAAAGACAAAGCTCCTTTTGTTCACCCTGGCTCCCTTGCAACCTGCAAGCTGCTATAGGAACATGTGGACAGTTCCCTGCCACCATGCTGAGGATAGGTAACTGTTATCTTGCTACCAGCTGAAATTGACTGAAATTAACCACAATTTACCATCCAAGCCTTCTCTTGGAAGTTGCAATCCTTCAAATAGATGCCAGTGTTATAAAATAGTTACATCAAATACAAATATATATATATATATAATATATATATATAGAGAGAGAGAGAGAGAGATTGAGAGAGAGGGAGAGACAGAGAGACAGGAGAGAGAGAGAGAGAGAGAGAGAGACAGAGAGACAGGAGAGAGAGAGAGAGTGTGGGCCGGTCTCAAACTCCTGAGCTCAAGTGATTCACCCACCTCGGCCTCTAAAAGTGCTGGCATTGCAGGTGTGAGCCATTGTGCTCAGCCAAAAATAGTTACATCAAATAGATTCTGCCAGTGCAATTGTTATTTAGGTAGGGAGACGGATTCCTGATGTTTCCTGCTCTGCCATCTTCCCAGAATCCTCCTCTAATTATTTTTAAATCCACTAAGTCCACTAAATTCATTTCCCAACCCACTAATGGTTTGCAACCTGCAGCCTGAAAAATTACTGGACTAAACTATGCCAAATTGTCAGCACTTAAAAATTTTCTAAGCACCTACTATGAGTCAGCTGTGAAATCTGGCTGATGGTCTCAAGAGAAATGAGACAGGGCCCCTGGCTTCAGAGATTTTGCATTCTAGGACAGGAGTGTGGAAGAGACAGAGAAAGAGATGACTCGTCATTTGAGCATCTATGATATACCAAACTCTTTGCCAGGCACTTACACATCTGATGTCACTGGTTTTCAGACCAATTCTATGAATTAGGTCAGTGTTCCTCAAACTCTTATGTGCATAAGAGTCACCTGGGGATCTTGTGAAAATGCAGATTCCTGTTCAGCAGGTCTGGACCAGGGCCTGAGAGCCTGCATTTCTAAGAAGTTCCCAGGTGATCCCTATGCTGCTGGTCTAGGGAACACATTTTGAGTGACTAGGAGTCATGTGTTTTAAGACTTGTTTTTGTAATCCAGGTGCAGTGACACTCACCTGTAGTCCCAGCTACTCAGGAGGCTGAAGCAGGAGCATCACTTGAGCCCAGAAGTTTGAGTCGAGCCTAGGCAACATAGAGAGACCTCATCTCTTTAAAAAAATGTTTTTAATAAGAAAATAAAAATAAAACTATTTATTGACTCATTCCTACATAACAAGCACCATACTCGGCACTCAGAATGTAATAATGAAGCCACAACTTGAACGCAGAGCTCTCTGATTTCAAACTTATGCTCATACCCAAAGAAGTGGGAACAATTGTTCTCAATACACAGGAACGGAAACAATAGGAGATGGCGCTGGGAGGGAGGGTAGAGACCAGGTCAGGACCAGTCTCCAGGGCCAGGCTGGGGGACTGGTGGGCACTTTAGCTGTCATGGAGGGCATGATTTGATGCAGTCTGACTGGTGGTCAGGGTAAGCTGATGCCGCCCTTCTGAGTTCCTTGAGGCCAAAAAGCCTATGAGTCACACGGCAAGTCACTTCCAATACATGCCCCATGAGGCAGCACTTTCCGCAGTAGCCTTGAACTATTCGCTCTGTAGCTTCCAAATGAGTCTTTGGGGGCAGGTTTGCCAAATAGCACAGCGGGTCCAACCCACCAAAGGCCTCCATAGCCTGTGATCTGTCAGTCTCAGATTCTTGCCCCTCAGCAAGACACTTGGCTTAACAATCAAAGCCACCGTGGCTCTGAAATGCTCAAATATTTATTCCACTCACTGTTTGCAATTTGCTTTGTGTGATTTCTAAAGCTGGAGTGCTTCCAACCACAAGGAACAGCTTGGCAAGACCACTGCTGACTGCAAAGAGACTCAGTGCCCTTCAGCAGATACAAATGAGCACCAACCTTGTTCCATTTCCTGCAATAGGCATTAGGAGCATGGGGAGATTTGAAAATGTGATACAGAGGCCCCAATGTCATTATATGGGCTGTGTGTCCCTCTCTGCTCAGAAGTGGCTCAGAGAAAATCCAAATGGCCAGTAACCATGGCCAGCTCCATAATAAGATACAGGGAACCAAAACATCAGCAGGATGACATGATTCTTCCTTCAGAAATGTAAAAGATAGAAAACATTTGGTGTTGGAGGTGTTGTAGTGAAATAGACACCTTCATATACTGTTATTGGGAAGGCTGATTTGAGAAACTTTGGAAGCAATTTGGGAGTTTTTGTTGGGAGTCTGGACATGTTCAATGGTTTCTGACCCAATAATTTTACTTCCAAGAGCCTATCACTAAAGAGACAAACACAGGACTTGATGTAAGAATTGAGAGCTCTGTGTTCTGGGCACACATGCCTTGGAACTCTTACGGCAAGTTGTGAAGGAATCAATAGCTTGTGCGTAGTTCTCCATAGGGTATGGGACAGATCTAAAGAAATGTGCTTCAAGATACAGGTCATAAAGACCTTCCTGATAAAACAGGTTGCAGTAAAGAAGCTGGCAAAAACCAAGATAGTGACGAGAGTGACCTCTGGTCATCCTCACTGCTACACCCCCACCAGTGTCACGACAGTTGACAGATGTCACGGCAACATCAGGAAGTTACCCTACATGGTCTAAAAAGGGGAGGAACCCTCAGTTCTGGGAATTGCCCACCCCTTTCCCAGAAAACTGATTAATAATCCACCCCTTATTTAGCATATAATCAAGAAATAATCATAAACATGGGTAACCAGCCCTCAGGGCTGCTCTGCCTATGGAGCAGCCATTCTCTTATTCCTTTACTTTCTTAATAAACTTGCTTTCACTTTAAAAACAGAAAGGAAGGAAGGAAGGAATGAAGGAAGGAGGAAGGGGAAAGAAGACAGAAGAAAGGAAGGAAGGAAAGAAAGAAAGAAAGATGTGCTTGCAACCTGTTTGATGATCCTTCTTGCTCTCTCTTTTTTTTTTTTTTTTTTTTTTCTTACTGAGATGGGGCTTCACTGTGTTGCCCAGACCGGTCTTGAACTCCTGGCCTTAAGCAATCTTCTCTCTTCAGCATCCCAAAGTGCTGGGATTATAGGCCTGAGCCACCGTGCCCGGCCTCTGATCCTACTCTTGTGGCTGCCAGGCTGTTACAGCTCTAAAAACACGAGATTATATTCAGCCTCCTTCCTTGAGGGGCTCACAATCCAGTAGGGAAGAAACATGTTTACATAAAAATAACAGACTTGAGGTTGGGTGCTGTGAGGGAGGGACAGTACCAGGAACCAATCCTTACCAAGAGCCCACTGTGTGCTGGGCACCTCATTTGTGTTATCTCAGCTAAGCCCCATTCTTCTGGCCACTGTGGTTGTTTCAAGGGGAGGCACATGACTCCCCTGGTCCAATCAAATGGTTCTCTGAGATTTTACCAGGAGAGAGTAATATTTCTTCCCTCTAATACCAAGCTGTCTTCCCTCTAGAATACCTAGCTGAGCTGACTGATGGCAGCTTGGTATGGCCTAAGGACTCCTTCTTCATTGAGGCCAAAGCACAGAGAGGAGCTCAGCCAAAAGACAGAGATTCTTGACGTTGTTGTTTGAGTCCCTGGGCCCACCGCTGAGATTCCTAATTACAAGAACCAATAAACTTCACTTACTGCTGGCTTGTTTTGGGTTTCTGTCACTTGCAATAGAAAAAATCTACATGGAAACAAATACAAACATGGCAGGCAATGTGAACATGTGTCTCTTCTTGCTACTTTAAGTGCCCTTCCTTAATGCCCACTATGGCAAAGCCCTTTCCTCCATGGACTCCTCCTAACAAACTGGCAGACATTATTAACTCCCCTTTCCACAGTGGAGGAAACAGTTTGAGAGGCTAAGAACTTTTCCAGCATCACCCAACCGTTCAGTGGCTGAGCAGGGATTTGAATTCAGATCTGCCTTACACCAAAGCCCACGACTTAGCTGCTACCCTATACCATGGGAGGACCTGGGTTCCTCCCACCCTAGAAAGAGTGATTGTACCTGGTAGTTCTTTGGGTTCTGATCATTCTTTTGGGTTTCCTATGGGGCTGGGAACATTGTAGGGATTTAGTAAATAAGGCAATGACTCATTTTCACAATAGCAAAACTCTTGCAAATATAGAAAGACAGACCACTCCATTCTGCCGCTTTCTAGCTATGTGATCTTGGATAAGTTGTGTTGTCTGGGCCTCAGCTTCTTCATCTGTAAAATGGTAATAAAAACAGTGCCTACCACATAATGATGTTGTAAAGATGGAATGAGGCCCAGTGTGGTGGCTCACACTGGTAATCCCAGTGTTTTGGTAGACCAAGGTGGGAGGATCCCTAGAGGCCAAGAGTTTGAGGCCAGCCTGGGCAACAAAACAAGACCCTATCTCTACAAAAAATAAAAATAAAAAAATTAGTTGGGTGTAGTGGTGTGAGCCTGTAGTCCCAGCTACTCAGGAGGCTGAGGTGGGAGGATCACTCAACCCAGGAAGTCAAGGCTGCAGTTAGCCACGACCGCACCACTGTACTCCAGCCTGGACAACAGAGCTAGACCCTGTCTCAAACAATAATAACTAAAAAGGATGGAACAAAATGCATGTAATGTTCTTGTCATAGAGATAGCATTTGATTAATGTTTGCTATTATTATTCTTATTGACAAATGTCTGAATTCCAGGAGGATTCTAGAAATTATGAAGCAGACAGCATCATTGGAAGAAAAAAAATGTGCTGCTGCCCATAGCAACTACTATGAGACCATCACACTACTGACTGTAGAGGAGTGATTGTGAAGAAGGCAGCCACTCTCACCAGCTGGGGCTGATGTGCTGGTATCTTGGCCAATGAGATGGGACCAGCACTCTTGTCTGATGTCTCATTGGTAGCCTTCATTAGAGGAGCTTCCTGGGCTGGGTAAGTAACTTTTGCTTAAACTAGCTGGGCAGAACCGCAAAATGAGTGTTCTTTTTGCCTTGGAATAAGTTGAGAAAGGGTACAGGCAGCAGGAAGGAAGACAAGATTTGGAGTAGAGAAAAAAGAAACAAATACTCTATATTAGTGTATAAGCTAAGCTGCTATAACAAAGAGATCTCAAAATAGAATGGCTGTGGGGTTTTTAAAGTTTATTTCTTGCTTTTATTTTTGTCTTGTTTTGTTTTCTTAAGAGACAGGGACTTGCTCTGTCACCCAGGCTGGATTGCAGTGGTACAATCCTGGTTCACTGCAGCCTTGAACTCCTGGGCTCAAGCAATTCCTCCCCCTTAGCCTCCCAAGTAGCTGGGACTAGAGGCACATGCCACCACACCCAGCTAATTTTATTAATTTATTTGGGATGGGGTCTTGCTATGTTGTCCAGGCTGGTCTTGAACCCCTGGCTTCAAGCGATCCTCCCACCTAGGCTGTTTCTTGCTTTTGTAAGAGTTCAGAAGTGAGCAGTCCAGGCTGACGAGGTAACTCTGAGCCACACAGTCCTTCAGGGGTGAAATTTTCTTCCAATTTGTTTCATGTAATAGATGTGGCCCCACCCTATCCATCACTCACCTATGGGAAAGAGAAAAAGAAAAGTAGCAAGGCAAGAAAGTTCCTTTTAAGCAAGTGATGCAGATGCTTGCTGACATCATTTCTGCTCATATTCCATCAGTGAGGACTTATTCCCATGGCCGCACCTCACTGCAGGAGAGACTGGGAAATACAGCCTCAAGCCGGCAAATCTGTGCCCAGTGAGACTCCATTATTATGGAGACAGTGGAGAACAGGTACTGGGGGACAATAAATGGTCTTGTGCTGCTGGAAATCATCCTGTGTTACCTCTCTATGTTACAGATGAGAAAAATGAAGCCCAGAGATGTAAAGACACTTGTTCAAGAGTACACAGCTTCTAGGAGGAAGCACTGGATTAGAACTGGGTTTCCTGACTCCCTATCCTTTGCAGCCCACAACTTTGGAGAGCATAGGTCTCAAAGACCAAGACAGGAACCAGAAGGGGTGGACGGAGTCATGCTCCATGGTCTTAATTGGCTAGCCCACCCTTGCCCTTCCCTCCTTGTCTCTTCTACCAGCTTGTGAGCTCCAGGCGGGCAGGGATAGTCCTTGTTCATTTCTCGATCCCCAATGTCCAGGATTAGCACTCACTAAGTGTTGTTGCTGAAAAACTGCATCATACATGGATGAAAGGATCACCCAGGGATGACCTTGACATCACAAATAAGGAAGGTAAGCTTGACCAGTTAGGAAAAGAATCTTCCATATAGCCTATCCCCCTGCTTGGGTGGGTGAGGCGACCTTGCCAGGGACTCCTCCAGCACTCTGTGTGGATCCTGTATTTCATCACACTTCATTGTCTTGGTTTCCAGGCACACTGGCCTCCCCACTAGAGTGAGAACAGAGGAGCTGTCTTATTAACAAAAGGCAGCCCAGCATAGCAGCTGAGAGGCCAGACTCTGATAACTAACTGCCCGGGTTCAAAGCCTGGCTGTGCTATTGACTAGCTAGGTGGCCTTAAGCAAGCTACTCCATCTCCTTGAAGAACAGCTTATCTATAAAAATAGAAAAATAATAATAATAACTTTTTTGTCTTTAGCCGGGTGTAGTGGCATGCACTGGTATTCCCAGCTACTCAGGGGGCTGAGGCAGGAGGATCACATGAGCCCAGGAGTTCGAGGTTATAGTG
Organism: Homo sapiens; assembly: GCF_000001405.40. Taxonomy (NCBI): domain Eukaryota; kingdom Metazoa; phylum Chordata; class Mammalia; order Primates; family Hominidae; genus Homo; species Homo sapiens. The sequence continues at coordinate 19,336,041 of NC_000016.10, forward strand.
AGCCATGATTTTGCCATTGCACTCAAGCCTGGGCAACACACCGAGAACTTAATTCTAAATAATAATAATTCTGTCTTAGTCAGTTCGGATTTCTATAACAAAATACCCTAGGCTGGGCTATAACAAAATACCATAGCAACAGACATTTATTTATCTCAGTTCTAGAGGCTGGGAAGTCCAAGATCAAGGTGCCAGCAGATTGGGTTCCTGATGAAGCCTTTCTTTCTGACTTGAAGATGGCTATGTTGTTGCTGTGACCTCATATGGCACAGAGGAGAGAGAGAGAGAAAGAGAGAGGGAGGGGGGAGAGAGAGAGAGAGAGAAAATGATCACACGCTCTGGTCTCTCATTCTCTTCTTATTAAGAAGAGAATTCTCTTCTTATTAAGACATTAATCCCCTTATAGGAGACCTACTCTCATGACCTCATCTAAACTTAATTACCTCCAAAAGGATCCACCTCCAAATATCATCACCTTAGGGGTTAGGGCTTCAACATATGAATTTGAGAAGGGACTAGAAACATTAATTCCATAACAAACACCTTCAGGAGGTTTTTGGAAAGCTTAAGTCGAATCTAAAGCACCTAGAACAGTAGCTGGCACACACTTAACACTATGTAGATGTTTGCTGTTATTTTTGGTGTTGGTATCTCCAACTCCAACAGCGCAAGTATTTGCTGAATTAATGAATGAAGGTATGAGTGCGTGAGTGAAGTAGAATGAATGAATGAATGGTGTGGGTTACCATGCAAGTAATAAGTCAATGGATGAGTGGGTAGATGGCTGGGTGACTGAATGAAATAAACAAACAAGTGAATACATCAATGCGTAGATGAATGATTAAATGAAAAATGTGATTATATAATAGAAGACCTTTTTTCTAAGATATTTTCTCTAGAATTCCCACCCCAGTCTCATGAATTGCCCTTGCTATGTAGGAACAGGACAGCCTGTGAGGTCACTGCGGTGACCTCCTTCGCAGAGGACCTCTGGTACTGCTCCAGCCACCAGTAAGCCCACTGCCTCTGGGCACTGCTCAATGCTGCCCTTACCTGGACCCAGACCATCAAGCTTGTCACAGGCTCCCCCCAGGCATCCCAGACATGACATCCAAGACAGTTTCCTGTTACTCTCCATCCTGCTGGAGAGTTCCAATGACCTATGGCATGAATACTCCAGACAAAGTGTTCCAGCCTTCCCCAGAAACCTCAAAAGTCTCTCAGGCACTCCAAGACTTCCAAGGCCAAAAAACTCAAGATGTCTTTAAACAAGACCAAAGACCCCCTCAGGAATCTGGCCAAGAAGCCCCCCAAGAAGGCTAGGCCCAGCACTTTTGAGCCTAGATCTTTCTACTGCCTTGACCTCTGCCCCCTCCCACCAGAGCAGCTACAGGCCCCAGAGCCCCAGTTACCCTTATCAATCTCAGAGGCCACAGATGTCTATCTCCCTGAGGATTTCCCAGCTGAGCCCAAGCTCATGGACCAGTCCTGGGTGTCCAGGAAGAGCCTGAAACCATCCAAGAGTCATCTTATGGAGCCACCCACTCCAGTGGCCAAGCACCAAAAGGCAAAGACCCGACATAGGAGTGAGAAGAAACAAAACAAATAAATGCTTGGCATCTCCATCGACCTGGTCCTTTTCAGCCCAGACCTATCAGCTCCAGACATCCCAAAACATCACCCTATTCCAGAGGCCACAGAATTCATGATTCCAGATAATTCGTGTTAGTCTTTGCTATTCAATAAACTCCTGGCTGCAGCTTCTACTTCCTGTATCAAAGCTAAGGCTCACAGTTGAGCAGGTTGTGCACTGCACCATGTTAGCCCTGGTACAGTACACAACCTGCCCAACTGTGAAAAACTGGCCCTTAGACTGACCCAGAGTCTCAGTCTAAAGGGGCACTGTTTACATCACTGCATTATAGATTTGTGTACTGTACTTACTTTGGCAATTTTCAGCAGATGGCAGTAAAGTGTCTTGAAGAAGGGGAGGTTTTACTAATTTAAAAAAAGGCACCAAAATGGCTACTGGTGACCCTGCCAAATACCTTCCTGGGTGGGAAAATGAGGCCCCAAGTTGGATCTTTGGCAGAATAATATGGTTAAGAGCTCATGCTCTGGTGCCAGAAAGACTGGGGTTGCATCCCTGCTCTGCCATTGAAACTGGCTACCTGACCTAGACAAGTGATTCTAAGTTATTTGAGACTCAGTTTGCCCATGTGCAAAATGGGGATAATAATAAGACCTCAAAATGTTGTTGAAGGGGCAAAATGGGATAAGCCATTTAGCCCAGTGATTGGCACATAGTAGGTGTTCAAGGAGCCCCTGCGAATAGTAGACACTTAGACCTCTACTGCTTTATCTCCACAAACCAGCAAGCAGGCTCCCTCCAGGAAATGATCCTTGGCTTTGCACTAACCACATGGCTTAAAAGGGACCTGCTCCCTTCTTTCAGAGCCTTTCCCTTGACGCCCATTGATTGGCCTGGAGGTGTCACCTGACCTAAGCTAAGCCAATCAGGGGACTTTCCTGCATTTTTCAATTTAGTATCCAAGGGAACAAGGTTCAGTGCTTAGCAGGGGATGAAGCTGAGACAGGTGGCTCGAGAGGAGGTGACAGGAGCTGCACTGAGGAGCTCAGCTACCATGAGGAAGATAAGGATCTGGAAGAAAGAAGCCAGTAGGAGGGAGAGGGGCTGGGAAGACAGAAAGAGTGAGTCGCCTGGTGACATCTGAGTCCCTGAGACCCAGAGTGATACTTGCCTTCCCCACACTTATGCCACAACTTGGAGCAATCTTTTTTTTTTTTTTTTTTTTTTTACAGGGTTCCTGTCACCCAGGCTGGAGTGCAGTGGCATAATCATAGCTTACTGCAGCCTTGACCTCTCAGGCTCAGATGATCCTCCCATCTCAGCCTCCTGAGTAGCTGGAATCACAGGCACACATCACCATGCCTGGCATATTTTTTTGTAGAGACAGGGTCTTGCTCTGTTGCCCAGGCTGGTCTTGAATTCCTGACCTCACAGAATCCTCCTGCTTTGGCCTCTCAAAGTGTTGGGATTATAAGGATGAGACACCATGCCTAGCCTGGACCAATCTTTATATTTGGATCAGACCTGATCACTTTACCCTAACAGGCAAAAATCTTCAATAGCTCCCCATGGCCCACCAGATAAAAACAGGGATTTTCTCATGCTGGTAGTCAAACATCTCTAGAATCTGGCTTCAACCCACCTTTCAAGCTTCATCTCCCTCTCTTGCTTGGTCAACTGGATGTTCCTTCACTCTCCAACTTGTGTGACTTTCTTCCTGTCTTTCCTCGTCTAGAATAGCTCTCTTCCCATTACTCCTAGTGGACTTTGGGTAGTGCTGGCCCTACAACCTCTAATTCTCCCTTCATCTGGTACGGTGTTCTGACTTCCTCTAGGGAAATCTCTCTTTTTTTCTTTTGTAGACAGTGTCTCACTCTGTTTCCCAGGCTGGAATGCAGTGGTGTGATCAAGGTTCACTGCAGCTTCGACCTCCTGGGCTCAAGTGATCCTCCCGCCTTAGCCTCCCAAGTAGCTGGGGCTACAGGCATGTGCCACTGTGCCTGACTAATTTTTTAATTTTTTTGTAAAGACAGCATCTTGCTCGTTTGCCCAGGCTGGGCTCAAACTCCTGGGCTCAAGTGATCCTCCCATCTTGGCCTGGGATTACTGGTGTGAGCCACCACGCCTGACCTGGGGAATCTCTTTACCCAACTAGAGATGGATTTCATGGTGTCTTTTCCTGGTCACATGGCCCAAGTAAGGACAGTTGGTTGCTCACTCTTGGGACTTGGAATCTTGAGTAGAGGACACACCACTACCAACAACAAAATGGTTTGAACTGACAAGACTCCTGATGAGTTCCATCTAAGGCTATACACAGATCTCTCCTCCTCTCAGCCCTCACCTTTAAAAAAAAATAATTCCTTAGTCTTCCTTAGTCTTCTGTGATATTACAGTTTTATATATGTTGGTTTTCATCCACAGCTCCTGGGTCATAACTCCCATAGTCCTTGTTACAATGTTGGGTGCTTTAGGTTTTAGGAGGCAGAATCTTTCTCTGATCTTCTCCTGTCCTCTTTTTTTTTTTGTCTTCCTCTGTCCCCTAGACTGGAGTGCAGTGGTGCAATCTCAGCTCACTACGAACTCTGCCTCCCAGGTTCAAGTGATTCTCCTGCCTCAGCCTCCCGAGTAGCTGGGACTACAGGTGTGTGCCACCATGCCCAGCTAATTTTTTGTATTTTTAGTAGAGATGGTGTTTCACCGTGTTAGCCAGGATGGTCTGAATCTTCTGACCTCATGATCCACCTGCCTTGGCCTCCCAAAGTACTGGGATTACAGGTGTGAGCCACCGCGCCTGGCCTCCTGTCCTCCTTTTACCTGATAAGGTAGGACTCTAATCTGATTGTGGTCAAAAGACCTTCATTCCAGAGTGGGTCCTGCCCCGTACCCTAGAGGAAGGAATGCTACACAGAGGGGCCAAGAAGTCTGAGCAGACAGGCCTTGCTGGGTATAGATCATGCACTTTTGTCTAATCACATTTCTACATGGTTGTCAATCATGCCTATGTAATCAAGCCTCCATAAAAACATGAGGACTGGGTTCGGAGAGCTTCTGGATAACAGAACACATGGAGTTTCCTGAAAGGTGGCTCACTTAGGGAAGGCATGGAAGCTCCATGCTCCTTCCCCTATACCTCGCCCTACACATCTCTTCATCTCTATTCTTTATAATAAACCAGTAAATGTGTTTCCCTGAGTTCTGTGAGCCACTTCAGAAAATTAATCCAACCCAAAGAAGGCATCATGGGAACCCCAACATACAGCTGTTTGGTCAGAAGTTCTGGAGGCCTGGACTTGCAACTGGTGTCTAGGGGAAGGGGACAGTTTTGGGGACTGAGCCTTCAAGCTGTGGGATCTGACGCTATCTCCAAGTAGGTAGTGTCAGAATTGAATTAGAGGACACCCAGCACGTGTCCAGTGCCTGGTCGTGGGGAAAACCCCACGCATTTGGTCACAGAGGTCTTCTGTGTTGATGTCTGCGATGTGAAAGGAGAGAAAAAGTCAGTTTGAATGTTTTTCTTAAGCAACTTCCTTATATCTTTCCAAAAAATTCCTTCTTTTCTAAAATTAGCTTGAACACTACAATCAAAGAACCCTAACTCACATGGGTTCTTGTCCAAATCCTACCTAATTTCCAAGACCCATTTCAAACACCTGCTAGAAGTCATCTCTCCCTTCAAAATTGGACTCAAGAAGGCTGGACATGGTGGCTGATGCCTGTACTCCCGGCACTTTGGGAGGCTGAGGTGGGTGGAACGTTGGAGCCCAGGAGTTTGCAACCAGCCTGGGCAACATGGCCAGACCCCATCTCTACAAAAAAATTTTTTTAAAAATTTAAAAAATTAGCCAGACATGGTGGTGCATGCCTGTAGTTCCAGCTACTTGGGAGGCTGAGGTGGGAGGATTGCTTGAGTCCAGAAAGTCGAGGTTTCAGTGAGCCACGATCACACCACTGCACTCCAGCCTGGCCAACAGATCGAGACTCTGTCTCAAAAGCAAAAACAAAAATGAATTGGACTCAACAATAATTTTCCCTTTCCCCTGTTGTCTTCTCTCTCTTGCTTTCTCTCATTCTCTCTCCACATCATTCTTCTTCTAGTCACTCACAGATTCCCACCCTGGAAGGTACGATGGAAACTTCTAGTTGCCTATGCATTATTACCCCTTATTCCTTCCAAAGGAACTCTGATTATGTTGGGAGAGGCAATATGTTGGGCTAGAAAACTACATTACCCATTCAGAGATCATTCTGGCCAAAGAGGTGGAAGTAGAAGTTATTGGGTAGAGACTCTGCTAAAACTCCCTAAAAGGGGGCTGTCTCAGATGAGAGTCACACTTTTGCTCATCTCTTTCTTCCTTCCTGCTACTTGGCATGCAGAGGGGACAGCTGGAGCTGCAGTGACCACTTGTGACTTTGCCGTGACCTTGAGGTTGAAAGGCACATGTTAACCATGGTGAGGCAGGGGAACCTGGATCCTTGCTGCCATACCAACCCTGGACACTTGCCTGCAGAATTTTTTTATATGAGAGACAACTCTATCTTTTAAAGACACCATTGATTAGGTTTTCTGTTTTATGCAATGGATACAGAAAGTCAGGGCTACATAGGTAGGAGAATAATCAGCCCAGAACCAATGTCTGGGCTATTGTTACTCAGAGTCATGGTATAATAATAGAGAAGAAAACACTAAATGTAATTCATGGGTCTGGTTCTAGTCCTAATTCTGTCTTTTATATAAGAAAGAACCTATGTCCTTGCTGTTCACCTTCTAAGCATCACTGGACTCTCCAAAATTCTTTTGGTCCCCAGCCAAGCAGTGGTCACCATCAGTCTCCCTCATCTTGCACAACTTCCCATGACCCAAGCATCCTTTCCCGCCAGGAAAGTTCCCCAAGACTCCTCCACCATCACCCAAACAAAACCCATCTCAGTGTTAATATCTAGTGTTTTTTGAGTGTATATTGTGTGCCAGGCATTGTGCTGGGCACTTTCTACTTATCTCATTTGAATGCACCCAGCAACCCAACCAGATTTTCTGTATGAGAAAAACAGAGTCATAAGTGGCAGAGGTAGAATTTGAATTCAAGTCCACCTGGCCTCTGTAACCACACCAGACCAATCTGGTTCAACTTTTATGTAACAAAGTTGTGAGTTGTTTTTCAGTTGGTATCAACCCCCAGGTTAAAGGTCACATAACCTGAGCTTGCCCAGATGAACCAACTGTACAACCACAGATGGAACTTAAGTTCTCAGACCAAGGAATGGGGACTGAATTAAGAAGTGAACACCACATGGCAGGATTCAGGATCCAATCAAATTGAGCCCTGGTGTCACCCCATGGCAGGATCCAATCAGATCATGCCTCCCAGCATCACCTCATTGCAAGATCCAATCAGATTATGCCTCATTACCCTATGCTTCTAAAACCTGACCCAGTGCCCAGCTCAGGAAGACAGATTTGACCATGTCCTCCTCTCTCCTTGCCAGTCAACTTGCAGGAAAGCTTTTCTCTCTCTTTCTTTCTGTCCACTCTGTGTCCATGTGTTCTCATCATTTAGTTCCCACTTATAAGAGAATATGTGGTATTTGATTTTCTGTTCCTGCATTAGTTTGCTAAGAATAATTGACTCCAGCTCCATTCATGTCCCTGCAAAGGACATGATCTCATTATTTTTTATAGCTGCATGATATTCCATGTGGTATATGTACCACATTTTCTTTATCCAGTCTATCATTGATGGGCATTTAGGTTGATTCCATGTTTTTGCTATTGTAAATCCCCAAAGGAAGCTTTTCTTTTCCCCAAAGCCATTGCCATGGTATTGGCTTCATGAGCATCCAGCCGTGAGTGCATTGATTGTTCAGTAATACTTCTAAAGTGGTGGTCCTAATGGCCGCCCTGTTCTGTACATGAGGAGGAAAGAAATAAAAAATATCAACTTATATCTGGCAGGGATGGCCAACTGTCCCCTAGTCTCTACTCTCCCCTTCTTAAATAAGAGTGGCTCTCCATCAGAGACAATTTTGTCTCCAAGGGGACATTTGACAAAGTCTGGAGATATTTGGTTGTCACAACTTGATGGAGGGATGCTGCTGGCATCTTGTAGGTGAAAGTCAGAGATGCTCCTGAATATGCTGCAATGAACTGGACAGCCCCCTGCAATAAATAATTATCTGACCCAAAATACCAGTAGTGCTCAAGTTGAGAAACCCTATTCAACAGGAGCCAGGGCCTCAATTTTTAGCTGGGCACAGGGCTGCCTAGAATAAAGCCCAGATATGAGTTTGTGTGGCCAGGTGACTAAGTTTTGACCAATGAGATGTGAGCAACTTCTGTACTGTGCCCTTAAGAGAGGCATACTCTCCCTTCCTCTTTTCCCCAATCCTGATGCCTAGAATGTGGACACAGTGGGGTGCCGTCTTGGTGCTTGCAGATGGGGGCAGCATCTTGGGGATGGCAGAGCACCAAGGTGAGAGAAGCCTGCACGCCTGATGACTTCACGGAATGAGTTGCCACACTGGCTGGAAAACTCACGTGAGAGAGAAACAAACTCTTATCTCGCTAAATCCATTATTATCATGAGTCTTGTTTTTAGTGGTCAAAACCTGTGCTAAGACAACGTAAGGATGTCTCCCTCTTTCACCTGCATTCGAGAACTTGCAGTCTCATAAAAATACCCTCTGGAAAAGCTTTGTTTTGGCAGCAGACCTTGAAGGATAAGAAAGCACTAACTGCAATGTCGTCACAACGCCAGGGCATTTATTCTATTCGTACTTGCCCACAAATCAGTTTCATTTGAGTGTGTTAGTTCATCAGATTCCCAGATTTTGACTCAGCCCCATTAGTCTTTGCTTACAGGGCCTCAAGTGGTCTCTTTATGCACAACGACAATCTCCTGAATACACAACAGGTGCACACTTCTGGAATTTTAATCTGTTATCCTGAGGAGAATGGAATGAAGGGGGTAAGTGCCCAGCTTCACTTGAAGGGCTTGCAGCCATAGCTGAGCATGCCCCGGTTCCTTTGTTCTCTCACCAAGTGGCAACTGGAGGCTGTCGTTGATCACTCAGATGCCATTATGATCTCCACTGAGTCATCCACACTGTTTCTTGCAGTCTGGAGAAATGCGGCACTCTCCAGGTTTGGGGCAGAGCTGAGTACTTTCAGAGGTGCAGTGGAAGCAACGCTGACCTAGATATTAAGACATCAGGTTTCTTACTCCAAAATCTGCCTTTAATTAGCTGTAGGATTCTTTTTGTTTGCAAGTGACAATATTTCAATTGGATTTAGCAAAAGAGAAATAATTTATTGGCTCACGTAACTGACAACGTCCAAAATCAAGGTACGGTTGGATCCAGGGACTTGGATGAACCATGTTTCTAGCTTCTGTAAACTTGAAGCTTTAACATCTTCCCGGCATCCATATGCTGGACACTGCTTTTTCTAGACAACCTGATGAGAGGCCTGAGTCCTGAGTCAGGACTTGCCTCAGCCTTCCTTGTCACCTCCCCAACCCGCTTCTTCTGGGAGAAGTCCTCGTCCTGGAGTGTACTTTTCAAAACAAACCAACCATTCCAAGGTCTGACCCCAAGCACCTCCCTTATTAAGTTCTCATGCCCTGGGCCATTACAGACTGCCCTAATCACCCAGCGCCAGGTGCCAGGCAGCCAGAAACATCCCCTATACCCCAGGCCAGAGTCCACTGAAATATTTCTCCTTCCTTCCTTCCTTCCTTTCTTTCCTTCTTTCTCTTTTTTCTTTTAATAGGATCTGACTCTGTCACCCAGGCTAGAGTGCAGTGGCATGATCTCAGCTCACTGCAACCTCCACCTCCTGGGCTCAAGCCATCCTCTCACCTTAGCTGGGACTATAGGCGCACACCACCACGCCCAGCTAATTCTTGTATTTTTTTGTAGAAATGGAGTTTCGCCATGTTGTCCAGGCTGGTGTTGAACTCCTCAGCTCAGGCAATTCACCCACCTCAGCCTTTTGAAGTGCTGGGATTACAGGCGTAAGCCACCGTGCCTGGACTGAAATATTTGAAACTAGCCAATCCTAAGCCCACTCACTACCCTCTCTCATCTACTCTTTCCTGCAGAAACCACAATAAAGGCTCTTGCCCACAGCTCCCTTCCCTTTCTGCCTCCTGCCTGACTCTGGTGCTTCCCCAGGCGGCCTTCTGGGTGGTGACATGTACTCCTTTTGGGATCTTGTGAGTGTAACAAAGCTAATGTATCAATGGCAGTCATCTCCAGGTTGGCCTTGCCACACCTAATTAATAATAAGACCTATTAAAACAGGGACTCGGGCATGGTATCAGGGAGCAGTTTCTCTCCATCTCCTAGCCCCATGATCCCCTGTGCTGGTTTCATTCCCAGACAAGCCTTTCCTGGGAGGTAGAAGAGGTCTGCTGACATCCTGACTGTACATCTTCATGGAGTTAAGTAATCATGGAAGGATGAGTTCTCTTTCCACCAATAATCCTAAACTTGATTTCTGTCAGCCTGGTTTGAGTGACGTGCCCATTCTTGAACCAGTCACTGTAGCCAGGAAGATGGGGTACTCTGTTTGGATAATATAGGAGACTTGCCTACCCCTGGAACCTGGGAATGGGATCTAACCCACTCAAGCCGTAGGATGATAAGCGTGGGAAGGCAGCCTCTGCAAACAAAGTGGAGATGTTGGACAGAAGGAAATCACAGATGGTCACTACCTTCCTTGGAGTCCCCTGAGACAAGGATTTGGTGAAAATAATGTATTTGGGAGGTGATTTCAGAAAGCACCAGCAGGAGATGGTGAAGAGAAGGAACCAATTCGGGGTGCATTAATGAGCAGGTCACTGCTTAGGGTATTTGGGACCCAATCAGCCAGGGAATTCTGGGAGATTTTTAGAACTTGTTTAAGGGGTGAGGGAGTTGGGGTATTTATCCACCAGCTCCCATCTGTCATTGCTTGAGGCTGCTTTCCAGGACAGCATCTGTTACAGTCAGAGGCAACATTTCCCCACTCTGAGCCTCCTAAAGTGTTCCCATTTGTAAAATCAGGTTAGACTAGAGGCTCTCTCACTTCCCTCTTCAAGGAGTATTCTAAGGCTTCCTCTCTGGGTTGAGGCAACGTAAAGTAGTGGCTGAGTGTTCAGACTCTGTGGTTGGATTGCCTGACATCTCCATCAGGGTCCCAGCAGAAAACAGAAGGCATACACTCTAATGTTTATTTTTAAAAGATTTAACAATGGAGACCTCCTATTGCTCGTCCTGCACAGGCAACCAGTTTGATAAATGAGCCACTTTACTACTTTGAGCCTCAGGATCCCCACCTGTAAAATGGGTATACGTGTGGAGATTAAGACTCAGGCGTTTTTATTTTAGCTTTGTGAGACCCTAAGCAGTGAACCCAGCCAGGCTTGCCCACATTTCTCTGACCTACAGAATGGTGAGAGAATAAATGTGTGTGGTTTTGTGGAAATTGTTTAGTTTATAGGTAATGATTTTGTGCTATCTTTGGTACCATTCTTAAGTTTATATTGTAGTGCATGTTTATCACAGTATCTCTAAGTACAATTTGGAAAAAAAAATGAGTAACAATTTTGGTGCCTGGTAATTTAGGGCCAAAGATATTGAAACAAATAAGGCCACCCAATATTCATCTCTAAAAGGTACTGTTTACATTCAACAGAAATAATTATACATGACAAATCATTCACATTTGAACTTAAAAGGATCAACTAAATGTCCAGGACATTTTGGCTACAGAATTTGTATTTTTTTTAATTTTAGTGAAAACATATAACATTAAGCATACCATCTTAACCATTTTCAAGTGTACATTTTAGTGGTGTTAAGTGCATTCTATTGTTATGCAATACAGATCTTCAAAACTGTTTGATCTTGCAAAGGTGAAACCCTATACCCATTAAACAACTCCCTATTCCCCCCTCCCCCAAGCCCCTGATAACCCCACTTTCTGTTTCTACGAATTTGACTATTTTAGATAACTCACATAAATGGAATCATACGGCGTTTGTCTTTTTGTGACTCACTTATTTCAGGGTGATGTCTTAAGCTGCTAAGTTTGTAGTGATTTGTTTCATAGCTGCTTTAGAAAGCATCTTCCACCCTGGCCCTATTTTAGCTAGTCCTCAATTTGGTCCAGTGTCTGAGCCCCTCGTCTGGAGTCAAGTCCTGCCTCCTACCTCATTGGCATATAAAATGCCTAGCATAGTTCAAGCAAAAATACACAGTAAATAAACGAAGGTCCCTGGTTTTTTTCGTTCTTAATTTTTTTGTTTGCTTGTTTGTTTGCTTGTTTGTCTGAGACAAGGTCTTGCTCTGTTGCCCAGGCTGGAGTGCTATGGCACATTCTCTGCTCACTGCACTCTGACTCCTGGGTTCAAGCGATTCTCCTGGCTCAGCCTCCCAAGTAGCTGGGACTACAGGCGTGTGCCATCACACCCGGCTAATTTTTGTAGAGACAGGGTTTTGCCATGTTGGCCAGGTTGGTCTCGAACTCCTGGCCTCAGGAGATCCGCCCACCTCAGCCTCCCACGGTGCTGAGATTACAGGCGTGAGCCACCGCACCTGGGCTATTTAGTTTTTAATTTTGAAATAATTTTAGGCTATAGAAGAGTTGCAAAATTAGTACAGAGAATTTCTGTATCCTCTTCACCCAGCTTCCCCTAAAGTCACTATCTTACTTAACCACAGTATGATTATCAAAACTAAGACATTAATATTAGTACAATGCTATTAACAAAGTTATAGACTTTATTTGGATTTTACCAGTTTTTCCATTAATGTATTTTTTCCTGTTCCAGAATCCCATCCAGGGTCACAGATTATATATAGTCGTCATATCTTCTTAAATCTCTATCAGTCTGTGACTGTTTCTCAGTTTTTCCTTGTTTTTTATGGCTGTGACAGTTTTGAGAAGTGCTGGTTGAGTTAATCATGCCTTTTTACTTTCTGTACTGCTGACGCTTTGATATCCGGGGCCTGGCTGACCCTACCCCTCCCAGGGCTAGCCAATTCCTAGGTACAGTAAATAGCGAGCCTGTGAGCATGCCTTCATACACAAACTAACCAATCCAGAGCCCCAACCATCTGCATATTCAGACTCTTACACTCTTGGCCATTGTCCCTCTCCCCTAATGACCCCAGAGCCAGCTGCTGACTTAATCACATGAACCCTTAAAATCTGGGCACCCCACTGCCCCTCCTCAGAGTCCTCTGGCTTCCCTAACATCATAGTAAGCAGCTGAGCTGGCCCTGCTGCCCAAAACCTCAGCTCACCTAGAAGGGGAGCTAGGAGTAAACAGAGGGCTCTTGCCTGCCCTGCCTACCAGCCCCCCTGGCTCTCTCAGCCTGCTTTGCATTCACGACAACATCAATCTTGTTCAAACCCTGGAGCCCATAAGCCCCGCTGGGCTGGCTGCCTCTGAGTCACCGCACACCGGCAGACGGTGCTAAACTAATTTCCCAGCATCTTTGGGAAGGATTTGGTTTCTGTCTCCCCAGCTAAGAGCCATGCAGACGGTGGCAGCAGGCTGGCAGGACCTAGGGGCTCCCTGCCTGGTCTGGGAGAGCCCAGACTGAGATGCGATGCGATAAGATATTGATTAGCAAAGTGGCTGGGGGTTGGAGAAGGTCCAGGTTGCAGCCTGAACTGGATTAAGGGATGGAACAGCAGGTGCCAAACCTCAAGGATGGTGCTAAAACATCCCTGGAAATGTAACCAGATAGAGAAAAGTGTCATTATTTTTTACAAAGACTTTTTTTTTACAAAGATTAACAGGGCTCTTACCATGTATATGAATGATGTAATCTTCATTAACAATTCTACAAGGTAGGTACTATTTGTTATTGCCAAAGTACTGAGGCACAAAGTGCTAGTAACTTGCTCAAGGTCACCACCTGGTAGGTGATGGGGCCAGGTTTTTAACCCTGACCGCCAGACTCAATAGGATACCTCAACATTAGCCTGTCCAGGTGCCCACACATCTTAGCCGACTCTGCTGAGCTGTCAGAATATGCCTAGAAAGAACACACATATATCCCGTCTTGGTTCAAGGTGATAGAATCTTTCAGATTTGTCAACCTTACAAACCTCATCGGTAAAGTGGGAATACTGATAATACCCACAAATAAGTTTTAAGATATATAAAGGTTTAAGACACTAAGTATTAATAATGCTATTTAGAATCATTATAACAGAAAGGCCGCCAGTCCACTTCAATTTGACCATAACTCTAGCAGATGGACATTAAGATTCTACCAAATGGGCCAGGCGTGGTGGCTCACGCCTGTAATCCCAGCACTTTGGGAGGCCGAGGCGGATGGATCACAAGGTCAGGAGATGGAGACCATCCTGGCTAACACGGTGAAACTCCGTCTCAACTTAAAATACAAAAAATTAGCCAGGTGTGGTGGCACGCATATGTAGTCCCAGCTACTCAGGAGGCTGAGGCAGGAGAATTGCTTGAACCTGGGAGGTGGAGGTTGCAGTGAGCCGAATTCGTGCCACTGCACTCCAGCCTAGGCAACAGAGCGAGACTCCATCTCGAAAAAAAAAAAGAAAGAAAGAAAAGAAAAGAAAAAAGATTCTACCAAATGGACTTCTTTTCACCAAATCCTCTAACAAAGCAAATAGCAATAGAGCGGACATCGATTTCCTTTTTCCTTTTCCCTCATTGTCTAAAAGCTGTGGTGGATGGAATTGACCTAAATCTCAAATCCAAGGGTGGGACTTGATGGGTCCAAGCTTATCAGGGTATTTCCATCAGACTTGCCCTTGACTGGTTCAAGTAACCCAGGCCTAGCCTAAGCGAATCAGCTCAGTGATCCACGATTAGGAGAATTGGTTTAAGACTGGTCCAATCAACGGAGTTAGGATTTGTATTCATCAATTAAGGGCAGTGACTCGCCCTCCTCAGATATGAATAAAGAAGCTTGTAACCTTGTTTGTTGTTGATAGCTACCTTAAAGCCCTGGAGAAAGCCAGTTTGTGGATGAATCCAACTTACGGAGAAGGCAGTGCCAGAAGAACTGCAGTGAAACAGAGCTGGAATCTTGATCAAACCACACCAGAAGTGTCTCTGAAGCTGGCTTTTATTGTTTGACCTGGTTTGAGTTGGTTTCCTGTTACTTGCAACCAAAAGAATCACAATTGATAGACTAAACCATAGATAGCTTAAAAAATTATTGTGCAAAATTATATTAGTTCTTTGAGAAATTGGGAGAAAGGCAGGGGAGACAGAGTTTAGACAGAAAGTTGAGGTTTTTTGTTTTTGTGAGACAGGGTCTCACTCCAGTTGCTCAGGCTGGAGTGCAATGGTGCTATCACAGCTCACTGCAGCCTCAACTTCCTGGGCTCAAGCAATCCTCCCACCTCAGCCTCCCAAGTAGCTGGGACTACAGGCACGCACCACCACACCTGGCTAATTTTTTGTATTTTTAGTAGAGACAGGTTTTCACCATGTTGCCCAGGCTGGTCTTGAACTCCTGAACTCAAGCAATCTGCCTGCCTCAGCCACCCAAACTGTTGGGATTATAGGCATGAGCCACTGAGCCCAGCCAACAGAAAGTCTTTTACTCACCCACTAGGATGGCTATAATTTTTTTAAAGGACAAGAACAAGTATTGACAAGGGTGTGGAAATTGGAGCCCCCATATGCTGCTGGTAGGAATGCAAAATTATGCAGGCACTGTGGGACTGTCACCGTGTGGCAGTTCCTCAATAAGTTAAGCACAGAATTACCATATATGCCAAAAAAATTGAAAACATGGATTTAAACAAAAACTTATCCACAAATGTTCATAGCCAGAAGGTGAAAACAACCCAAATATCCATAAACTGATGAATGGATAATCAAAATGAGAGATACCTATGCCTTGCAATATGCGTTAATATCATTATGCAATAATATTCCTTCTTGGCCGGGCGCGGTGGCTCACGCCTGTAATGCCAGCACTTTGGGAGGTCAAGGCGAGCAGATCACTTGAAGTCAGCAGTTCAAGACCAGCCTGACCAACGTGGTGAAGCCCCATCTCTACTAAAAATACAAAAATTAGCTGGGTGTGGTGGCACACGCCTGTAGTCCCAGCTACTTGGGAGGCTGAGGCAGGAGAATGGCTTGAACCCAGGAGGCAGGGGTTGCTGTGAGCCGAGATCGCACCACTGCACTCCAGCCTGGGCGACAGAGCAAGGCTCCGTCTCAGAAATAATAATAATAATAATAAGATTCCTTCTTATTAAAAAGGAATGAAGTACTGATACATGCTACAACATGGATGAACCTTGAAAACATTACGCTGACTGAAAGAAGGCAGACTCAAAAGGCTACATATTGTGTGATTCCATTTATAAAAAATATCTAGAGTAAGAAAATCCATAGAGATAGAAAGCAGATTTGTGATTCCCAGATATTGGAGGCAGGAGGGAAATGGCAGGAACTGCTTAGTGGGTACAGGATTTCCATATGGGGTGAGGAAAATAATCTGGAACAAGATAGAGGTGATGTTTGCACAACATTGTGAGTGGACTTAGTACCACTTAATTGTACACTCTCAAATGGTTAAAATTGTGAATATTTAAGGTCCTTCTTCTTTTTATTAAGGCAAAATCCGCAAAACATAAAATTAACCATTGAAAAATGTGGCCGGGCTCAAGCCTGTAATTCCAACACTTTGGGAGGCTGAGGCAGGTGGATCACTTGAAGCCAGGAGTTCAAGACCAGCCTGACCATCACGGCAAAACCCTGTCTCTACTAAAAATACAAAAATTAGCTAAGTGTGGTGGCACACACCTGTAATCCCAGCTATCTGGGTGGCTGAGGCATAAGAATCTCTTGAACCCAGGAGGCAGAGGTTCAGTGACCTGGGATCACGCCACTGCACTCCAGCCTGGGCCACAGAGCAAGACTCTGTCTCAAAAATAAATAAATAAATAAAAATAAAATGTAGCATTTAGTGGCCTTTTGTATAGAGTATATGTTCAGCATAGATATACCACTTAGTGGTCACTTTAGTGTAATACTTTAGTATAAAATGTTAAATTTTATGTTCTGTACATTTTACCACAAGTAAAAAAAATTTACTCATTCACTTGTTCATCCTAGAGGTCTGGACTATTTTGGACAGATGCCGAGTGATCCAGGAGTTTACTATTATTATTTTATTCAATAAAATATCACATAGTGATATTCACTAGATCGGAACTGTTTCCTCTGTTATGAGAGCATTTTCTACAGCCTGCAGGATTGTGAATGTGCAACAGTAGAACCGTAAGAAGACTCAGCCAGTGAGAGCTCAGCTCTGTTCAGATCCAGGGCCAGTCGTGAAGGGCAAGACCATTTACAGCCTCCATCCCAGCACCACGGAAGACCTGTGTTGGCAGCCGCGGGAGCAGCCCTTTAGAAACCCCTTGGATCCATTTTTTAAATGATTTCTCTGTGGTTCACGACAAATAATAATTTATAGAGTTAACCATAGCCTGGGCACAGTGGCTCATGCTGTAATCCCAGCACTTTGGGAGGCCAAGGCAGGAGGATTCCTTGAGCCCAGGAGTTTGAGACCAGCCTGGGCAACCAGCCTGGGCAAAAATCTCTCTCTTTTTTTTTTTTTTTTTTTGAGACGGAGTCTTGTTCTGTTGCCAGGCTGGAGTGCAGTGGTGCGATCTCAGCTCACTGCAACCTCCACCTCCTGGGTTCAAGTGACCCTCCCACCTCAGTTTCCCAAGCAGCTGGGACTATAGGCACGCGCCACCATGCCCAGCCAATTTTTGTATTTTTAGTAGAGACAGGGTTTCACCATGTTGGCCAGGATGGTCTCGATGTCTTGACCTTGTGATCAGCCCGCCTCGGCCTCCTAAAGTGCTGGGATTACAGGTGTGAACCAGCACGCCAGGCCAAAAGTCCCTCTTTTATAGAGACCTTTTCTCTATTAAAAATGGAAAAAAAAAATTAGCCAGGCATGGTGGCGTGCACCTATAGTCCCAGCTACTCAAGAGGCTGAGGTGGAGGATTGCTTGAGCCCAGGAGGTCAAGCCTACAGTGAGCTATGATTCCACAACTGCACTCCAGCCTGGGTGACAGAGACTCTGTCTCACAAAAAAAAAAAAAAAAAAAAAAAAAAAAAAATATATATATATATATATATATAATAAAAAATTTAATAGTCAGCAATAATGTATTGTACACTTAACATTTTGTGAAGAGGCCAGATCTTATGTTAAGTGTTCTTGCCATAATTAAATTAAATTAAATTAAAATTTAAAAAAAAAATTTTAAATAATAAAGTTCGACACCCTTCCTCCCAAATGTCAGGCTGCAAAAGACACGACAATCACCAACATTTAAAAACTCAATATCCATGAAAGATTGATGTGAAGGCTTTGGAAGAACGTGACTTTTCCCCAGGTGCCTTCCTCTCTCCAGGTTAAGAGCTGCTGTGTGGCTTTTGGAACTGAGGACACCAAAGCCTCAGGTGTCTGAAAGGTGGCTACTGCAGTTAAAAAGTCACGCACCCTCTGTTCATGTTACATATTTATATTTTGGCAAAGCTTCCAAGTGACTGCTCAGAGGGGCACTGGCAATCCGTCATGCCTAAGGCATTCACGTGATAGCAAGTGGCAATTATGGGTGCCCACCAACACCACCCAACATTCCCAAACCCTCGCTGGAGCACATATGGCCTGCAAGTGCTTCGACACTAATGTTGAGTTTCAGTGTAAAGCTGGAATCTGAGGTCCACACAAAAATCTTTTAACATTTGTTTAAATTAAAAAAAAAAAGAAAGAAAGAAAAGCTCATAAATAGCAAAGAGCCATGTCTATGATTGCCTGAGATTTTGTTTGGTTTTTATTTTCAGAGCCAATTGCAGATTTTATTCCTTCCACTTGGAGAAGGCCAAATCCCAGCTGAGTCCTTTTGATCTTTATCTTGCTTCTGGATCACATACTCTTGGGATAATTGGCTTCAGTAAGCTCAGTAAATTCCAGCCTTCCTCTTGGAAGCTGCAGAAATATGTGGCAGGTTCTGTAAGGGATGCAGGCAGTTCTCCACGGGACATGGATTTTAGGCCTCACCAGGCCACCCCACTTTGAACCCCAGTTCGCAGCATCACTGGGAATAGCAGGGGTCTCCCAGGAGCAAAGAAACTATGATTCAAGTAGAACCTAAGAGATGTGCAGATAGAAGTAATTCAAGATGTTAGTTTTTGTTTGTTTGTTTGTTTTTTAGCGAGGTCTTGCTCTGTTCCCCAGGCTGGAGTGCAGTGGCACAATTATAGCTCACTGTAACCTCAAACTCCTGGCCTCAAGCGATCCTCTCACCTCAGCCTCCTGAGTAGCTGGGACTACAAGCACACACAGCCATGCCTGGCTATTTTTTTTTTCTTTTTTCTTTTTTTAGAGACAAGGTCTCACTATGTTTTCTAGGCTGGTCGTGAACTCCTGGTCTCAAGCAGTCCTCCTGCTTTAGCCTCCCAAAGTGTTAGGATTACAGGCATGAGCCACTGCACCTGGCCTAAGATGTTAACTATTTTAACTGTAACCCTGATAACACCAACCTAGATATAACTAAGTCTTCTAAGATCAATCTTTCCTTCAGTGATGGTGTCTGATGGAGTGCTTTTAGCTGGAAGCATTGAAGCTTGCAGAAAACCCAATTCAACTAACTTAAGCAATGATAAATGCATAATCTAATACCTCAAGATGAAATCATGAATAAGGCAAGAATGCATATTCTCACCACTTCTATTCAACATTGTACTGGTAGTTCTAGCCCTTACAATAAGGCAAGAAAAAATAAATAAAAAGCATAAAGATCAGAA
The DNA here is from genome assembly GCF_000001405.40 of Homo sapiens. Classification (NCBI taxonomy): domain Eukaryota; kingdom Metazoa; phylum Chordata; class Mammalia; order Primates; family Hominidae; genus Homo; species Homo sapiens. Next base: position 19,355,458 of record NC_000016.10, read on the forward strand.
AGGAAGAAGAAAAGCTGTCTCTATTTGCAGGTGACCTAATTCTTTGTTGTTGTTGTTTGTTTTTTTGTTTTTTGTTTGTTTTTTTTTTTGAGATGAAGTCTCGCTCTTGTCCCACAGGCTGGAGTGCAATGGCGTGACCTCGACTCACTGCAACCTCCACCTCCCAGGTTCAAGCGATTCTCCTGCCTCAGCCTCCTGAGTAGCTGGGATTACAGGCACCTCCCACCATGCCTGGCTAATTTTTGTATTTTTAGTAGAGACGGGGCTTCACCATGTTAGCTAGGCTGGTCTCGAACTCCTGACCTCAGGTGATGTGCCTGCCTCGGCCTCCCAAAGTGCTGGGATTACAGGCGTGAGCCACCGCACCCAGTCAACCTGATTCTTACATAGAAAAGGTTTAGGAATCTACAAAACAACCACTAGAACTTATAAATGAATTTAACAAGGTTGCAGAATACAGGGTCCGTATACAAAATAATTACATAGCAAAATGCCTGAGGGTGGAAGAGTTGGGGAGGGTCACAATGGGTCAATGATATCATCAAAGGCTTAAGTTCTTTTGAGCTTTTCATATTGCCAAACATAGCGTTGTTCCTAATGGTTGCAAGATGACTGCCACAGCTATGAACATCACATCTTCACAAAGTAACTTCCAAAGCCAGAGCAAGAAAGGAACACATGTTTCCTCCTTGGGTTCATTCATAAAATGAGAAAAATGTTCCCAGAGCCCCACCTCTCAGGCTTTCCTGCATTGGCCAGAATGGTGTCACATGCCTGTTTCTGAACCAATCACTGGCAGAAAAAAGAGGACTTACCATGATTGGTTTGAAATATTCAAGATCCACTCTCCCATCTCATGGACCTGGGGAGAGGGCTAGGGCTCCTCAGAGCTCATGGCCACTGAATGTCTGAAGGAAACCAGAATTTGGCTGATGAGTAAAAAAGAGAAAATGACTACCAGGTAAGCAATGGTATCTGCCATGCTATCCCACACACAATTTCCAAGAATCAAGCCACTGCAGGACTCCAAGCTGATTATGAATGAGATCTTAGCTTCTGTCTGCACTCATGTGTACTGCCTTGGGGTGGCCTCCAGCCCCTCTGGGGCTTTCAACTCAACCAGCAAAAACCCTTCAGCTATTTATTAATATATTATTGAATGGTTAAAAAAGAAACAACTTCTATTAATAAATACAGTTCTATTTTTTTCAAGGCAATTTCCCATCCTTTGTATTATTTTCTCCACATGAACAACCCCAAGAAGTCCCAAGAGATTAAATGACGTCCCTAAGGTCACCCAGAAACATAGCAGCCACTATGTATGCACCAGAATCTGTGCTAGGCACTGTATGTAAATAGTCTTATCTAATTTTCACTACAACCTAACGCGGTAGACTTTACTGCTATTCTCATGTTATAAAGGAGGACTGAGGCACACAGAGGTTAAGTAACTTGTCTATGGTTACACAGCTAGTGAGTGGCAGAGCCAGGATAGACCTCAGGGCTGTCTGAGCCCCAATCCCATACTGTTTAACCTCTAAGTTATACATATTTTCCCTTTTTTAACCATCGGTATTCCAGATGCCATTACTCAGACTGACTTATTAAGAGATTAACCTATACAATATTCCCTTGTGTTGTCACAAATAAGAACAGCCTCAGAAAGTGGAAATAATGGAATGGGAAGGACAGGGGCTGTCCTTTATGATTTTTTTTTAATAGAGTTGGGGTTCTCACTATGCTGCCCAGGCTGGTTTCAAACTCCTGGCCTTCAGTCATCCTTTCACCTGGCCTCCCAAAGCACTGGGATTACAGGTGTGAGCCACCACACCTGGTCCTCTCGTCCTTCATAACTGCCCACCTACCCTGACTCACCTATTAGCTAGTTATATACAAAACCACCCCACACTCCCCCAAAAGACCAGAGGCCAGGCCTCCATTGTACTCACTTCTTTTTTTTTTTTTTTTTTTGAGACGGGGTTTTGCTCTTGTTGCCCAGGCTGAAGTGCAGTGGCAGGATCTCAGCTCACTGCAACCTCTGCATCCCGGTTTCAAGCGATTGTCCTGCATCAGCCTCCGGAGTAGCTGGGATTACAGGCACACACCACCACGCCCAGCTAATTTTTTGTATTTTTTAGTAGAGACAGGGTTTCACCATGTTGGCCAGGATGGTCTCGATCTCTTGACCTCGTGATCCACCCGCCTCAGCCTCCCAAAGTGCTGGGATTACAGGCATGAGCCACCTCGCCCGGCTTGTACTCACTTTTTAAAAAACATTTCCTATCCTCCATTTCATTAAGAAGGATAATATGAAGATATTACTCCATGAATACTGTTTTCTATCTTCCCAGAGACTTGAATTTAATTTTGCTAGGAGATGAGGAAGAACTCTCAATATTCCTCTTTTATCCTCTGATTTTATTATAAATTGTGAGAATTATAGCAACATAATTAAATCATTTAGGGAAGGTTTTCAGGAAATTGACATTAAAAGAGAACTGAAGAAGAAAAAATCCTGTTCATTTTGTAAATCTATTTAGTGAATATTTGGATAGAATAGCACTCTATACCCATGCATACCTGTTAACTGGCAGTCTTTTCAACGCTATTTGGAGTCTAAATGACATTAACATGAAAAGTAGAAATGTATACCACACAAATATTCTAAGTACTCTAATCCAAAAAAAGAGAGTCCAGCAAAATGTATAAAGCAGGTAAGGCAAATTAATAGCTTTCAGGCAGAATCTGGTCCGTAGACACAGTTGTTTGCTCCATCTGGTGGGACTTTTTTTTTTTTTTTTTCAGACGGAGTCTCGCTCTGTCGCCCAGGCTGGAGTGCAGTGGCGGGATCTTGGTTCACTGCAAGCTCCGCCTCCCGGGTTCACGCCATTCTCCTGCCTCAGCCTTCCGAGAAGCTGGGACTACAGCCACCCGCCACAGCGCCCGGCTAATTTTTTGTATTTTTAGCAGAGACGGGGTTTCACCATGTTAGCCGGGATGGTCTCGATTTCCTGACCTCGTGATCCGCCCGCCTCGGCCTCCCAAAGTGCTGGGATTACAGGCGTGAGCCATCGCGCCCGGCCTCTGGTGGGATTTTTTAAAAAATCAGTTGCACAGCCAGGGTGCAGTGGCTCACGCCTGTAATCCTAGCACTTTGGGAGGCCTAGGCGAGCAGATCACTTGAGGTCAGGAGCTTGAGACCAGCCTGGCCAACATGGTGAAACCTTGTCTCTACTAAAAATACAAAAAGTAGCCAGGCATGGCTACAGGTGACACATGCCTGTAGTCCCAGCTACTCAGGAGGCTGAGGCAGGAGAATCGCTTGAACCTGGGAGGTGGAGGTTACAATGAGCTGAGATCGCGCCTCTGCACTCCAGCCTGGGCAACAGAGCGAGACTCTGCCTCAAAAAAAAAAAAAAAAAAAAATTGCACAGCCTGGGCAACATAGGAAGACCCTGTCTAAAAAAATAATTTTTAAAAATTAGCCAGGCATGGTGGCATGCGCATGTAGTCCCAGCTACTTGGGAGGCCGAGGCAGGAGGATGGTTTGAACCCAGGAGTTTGAGGAGGCAGAGAACTATGAACGTGCCACTGCACCCCAGCCTGGGCAACAGAATGCGACCCCATCTCTAAAAAATAAAAGTAAAAATTTAAAAAAAATCTTTTGTGGTTGGCTATCTCAATGGCTATTCCCTATCCTCTTCTCCCTTGTGCACGACTATAGGGTCTGAAAAAAATAAAATATAGATAAAAAAATAAAATATTACAGATACTTGTAATAATATGTAATTTCTGGATTTTGACCATTGCACTGTGGTTATATATAAGAATGAACTTGTACATGGCAAATAAACTCTGACACGTGCAGAAGTACAGAGCATTCTGTTTACAACTTATTTTTAAATAAACAGAAAAATAATATGAAAAATAGAACTATAAGGCAAATGTAGCAAAATGTTAATTGGAGAATGTGATGACAGATATATAGAAGTTTTTAATGCTATTCTTGCAATGTTGTTGTAATTTGAACTTATATTTCAAAATAAAGTTACCAAAAATAATTAAAATGAGAAAAGTTTTTTAAAGAAAAAGAGAATAAAGGCAGATACTCACTGTCCTATCTTACCTTGAAGCTAAATGTGGTCATGCGATCTAGGTTTGGCTCATGAGCTATAAGACAAGGTATGCTGGGCTTTTATTTACCCTGATAAAATGGAAAGTCCTGTGAGGGGTGCTTAGGGGTGCCACCCCATCCTCCTCTTCACAAGTGGAATACAGATGTGATGCTGGAGCTGTGGTAGCCATCTGATGACCATGAGGCAACAAGACTAAGAGCCGAAAAAGCCAATATGTGAAGGATGAGTGTGCAGAGAGGAAGTGCCTGGTCCTTGATGACATTGTGGAAATACTGGACTACCTCTGTGACTGCCCATCTCTACTTTCTTGTGTCCTTGTGTTTTAAGCTGTTCTCTTTTATTTGAGACAGAGTCTCACTCTATCGCCCAGGCTGGAGTGCAGTGACACAATCTCAGCTCACTGCAACCTCGTGCTCCTGGATTCAATCGATTCTCATGCCTCAGCCTCCCGAGTAGCTGGGATGACAGGCAGGTGCCAACATGCTGGCTAATTTTTGTATTTGTTAGTAGAGATGAGGTTTTGCCAGTTTGGCCAGGCTGGTCTGGAACTCCTGACCTCAAGTGATCCACCCACCTTGGCCTCCTAAAGTGCTGGGATTACAGGCATCAGCCACAGTGCCTGGCCTTAAACAGTTCTTACTATTTTGCAGCTGAGTGCATTCCTAATATGGTCACTGTGCTTGACTTTTTTTTTTAACCTCCCAGCATCTAAACTTCATGTGTTGAGAGAATCCTGAAACAGGTTCTTCTCCCCATTTCAGAAGTCAACAGGGACAGATACTCCCTCTCCTTGTCCCCTGGAAGCCAGGGTACTGGGACACACAACCCAGGTGCTGCCAACAGAAGCACACACCCAGTATTTTGAACACAGGGGGAAGTTGGGAGAAAGCAAAGGCAGTGATATCAGTGGTCTAGAAGGTCATTGTTCAGTGTCCTGGGCAATATGGCCAATGTTAGCTATTTACCACCTGCTATGTCCCCAGATGCTGGGCCCCTCCCGGTTCTTGCCTATTTGTTTTTTTGTGTGTTGTTTTGTTTTGTTGTTGTTGTTGAGAAAGAGTCTCACTCTGTCACCCAGGCTGGAGTACAGTGGCATGATCATAGCTCACTGCAGCCTCAACTTCCCATGCTCAAGTTATCCTTCCACCTCAGCCTCCCAAGGAGCTGGGACTTAAAAGTGTGTGCCACCACATCCAGCTTTTTTTTTTTAGTTAGAGATGAGTTTTCACTATGTTGCCCAGGCTGGTCTCGAGCTCCTGGCTTCAAGCAATCCTCCCTCCTTGGCCTCCCAAAGTGCTGGGATTACAGATATAAGCCATCATAACCTGCCTCTTGCCTACTTCTTCAGTCCAGCTTTCCACCTTGTGGTCAATTTTTTGAGCTACCTGGTAAATTATTTTTCTGCTTAAGTCAGAAAGGATTTTGTTAGCAGTTGTTAACCCTGACTGATATAACTGCTCATATCTAAAAATCAAAACATTCACATTGAAATCCATATTTTTTACTTGTCTTAAAAAATCAGAAGACTGGCCAGACGTGATGGCTCATGCCTGTAATTCCAGCACTTTGGTAGGCCAAGCTGGGCAGATCATGAGGTTAAGAGTTTGAGACCAGATTGGCCAACATGGTGAAACCCTGTCTCTACTAAAAATATAAAAATTAGCTGGGTGTGGTGGCACACGCCTGTAGTCCCAGCTACTTGGGAGGCTGAGGCAGGAGAATTGCTTGAACCTGGGAGGTGGAGGTTGCAGTGAGCCAAGACAGTGTCATTGCACTCCAGCCTGGGCAACAGAGTGAGACTCTATCTCAAAAACAAAACAAAACAAAAAACAAAAAACAGAAGACTATGCAAGATTGGACCTTAATTTCCTTGCAGAAACAGTAGGCTGACACTGAGTAATAGCTACCACCTGCCTTTCAATGGTATATTTTGGTGACCAACATGTTGTTTGGGCTTATGTCTTTCAGTCCTAGTTATCTATGAACTGTTTTTACTCACAATATTTCTGACGCCAAATGTGTGAGTTTTTTCCACACCAACAACCACTTTTCCAGCTCTCTCAACTGGGTATTCTACAATTCAATCCAATTCTGACACTAACAACCTGGAGCTGGCATCAGACTCCACTGGCTTAAGGACTTAGTCCCACAAGAATGGCCTCGCTTCAGATGCAGGTCATAAGTACTGGGTGCTCAGGGAACCCACACTTCTGTCCAACTTGGCCACAAAGTCAAGGGTTCCCACAACTCCTCCTCTTTCAGGTTTGATGTTTTGCCAGAACAGCTCACAGAACTCAGGAATGCTCTTTTTTTTTTTTTTTTTTTAACAGGGTCTCACTCTTGCCCACACTGGAGTGCAGTGGTGTGATCATAGCACACTGCAGCCTCAACCTCCCAGACGCAAGTGATCCTCCCACCTCAGCCTCCCAAGTAGCTAGGACTGCAGGCGTGTGCCACTGTGCCCAGTGAATTTTTTTTTTTTTTTGAGAAGGAGTTTTGCTCTTGTTGCCCAGGCTAGAGTGCAGTGGCGTGATCTCGGCTCACTGCAACCTCCGCCTTCTGGTTTCAAGCGATTCTCCTGCCTCAGCCTCCCGAGTAGCTGGGATTATAGGTGCCCACCACCACGCCTGGCTAATTTTTGTATTTTTAGTAGAGACAGGGTTTCACCATGTTGGCCAGTCTGGTATCGAACTCCTGACGTTGTGATCTGCCCACCTAGGCCTCCCAAAATGCTGGGATTACAGGCATAAACCACCATGCCCAGCGAATTTTTTTATTATTTGTAGAGACAGGGTCTCACTATGTTGCCCAGGCTGGTCTTGAACTCCTGGCCTCAAGCAATCCTCCTCAGCCTCCCCAAGTGTTGGGATTACAGGCACGAGCCACCATACGCAGCCAGGAATGCTCTTTGTGTACTATTACTGGTTTATTGTAAAGGATAAAGCTCAGAAACAGCAAAATAGAAGAGATGCCTAGGGCAAAGTATGGGGGTGTTGGCTGATGTAGACCTTCCATGCCCTCTCTGGGTGCACCACCCTCCCAGCATTTTGATGTATTCATGAATCCAGAAGCTCTCCAAGCCCTGTGGTTTAGGAGGTTTCATTTCATAGGCGTGATTTGTTAAATCATTGACCATTGGTGACTGAAGTCAATCTCGAGCCCCTGGGATGTTGGAGGTAGAGCCAGAAGTTCCAATCCTCTAATCCTGCCTTGGTCTTTCCAGTGACCTGCCTCATCTGAAGAGATGTAGGGGCCCCCAGTCACCAATCATCTCATTAGCATATAAAATACACCCATAGGCAGGTGTGGTGGCCCGCACCTGAAGTCCCAGCTACTCTGGAGGCTGAGGCAGGAGGATTACTTGAGCCCAGGAGCTTGAGGCTGCAGTAAGCTATGATCATGCCACTGCACTCCAGCCTGGGCGACAGAGCGAGACTCCATCTCAAAAAAAAAAAAAAAAAAAAAAAAACACCCTTATCAGTCCAGAAATTCCAAAGGTATTAGGAGCAATGTGCCAGACACCAGGGACAAAGACCAAATATATCTTTCTAAGTATGCCTCAATATCCATATTAAATGTTTCATCTAAAAGTTTTCTTTCCATCATTTATATTAATATCTTATAAGAAATACTCAGAACTATAACATCCAATTAAGCCATTTTAACTCTATGTCAATTTTTTTTGACGTTGGTCAAGTTCAATGTCTGGATGTAGTAGGTTCCAATAAAAATATACTAAGTGGGGCCAGATGTGGTGGCTCACACCTGTAATACCAGCACTTTGGGAGGCCAAGGCAGGCGCATCACTTGAGGTCAGGAGTTCAAGACCAGCCTGGCCAACATGGTGAAACCCCATCTCTACTAAAAATACAAAAAAAAAAAAAAAAAAAAAAAAAGCTGGGCATGGTGGCGGTTGCCTGTAATCCCAGCTACTTGGGAGGCTGAGGCAGGAGAATTGCTTGAATCCAGGAGGCAGAGGTTGCAGTGAGCTGGGATTGTGCCACTGCATTCCAGCCTGGGTGACAGAGCAATACTTCATCTCAAAAAATACACACACACACACACACACACACACACACAAAGTGGGTGAATAAATGAATATAAAGAATGATTATAGCATCAGTGGCGGTGAGGGGAATGTGCAGCCTGGAGAAAAGGGCAGCAAGTCTGTAAACAACCAGAGAAATATTAGGGCAAAGAAGAAGTAGGTGTATTTTGGCTTGACCCAAAAGTCAGAACTAGAGCTGTACTGTGGAATTTATACAGAAGCAAATTTTCATTTAGACTAAGAAAAACTGCAAACAATTAGAGCTGCCCATCGCTGGAAAGGGCTGGCTGCCAAGAATAAGAGCTCCATTACCGAAGGCATTCTTGCAAAGACTGAATGGCCAAGCCTGGGCAACACAGTGAAACCCTGTCTCTACAAAAAAAAAAAAAAAAAAAAAAAAAATTAGACTGCGCACGATGGCTCATGCCTGTAATCCCAGCATTTTGAGAGGCCTAGGTGGGTGGATCACGAGGTCAGGAGATCGAGAACGTCCTGGCTAACATGGTGAAACCCTATCTCTACTAAAAATACAAAAAATTAGCCGGGCATGGTGGCACACGCCTGTAGTCCCAGCTACTCAGGAGGCTGAGGCAGGAGAATTGCTTGAACACGGGAGGTGGGGGTTGCAGTGAGCCAAGATCATGCCACTGCACTCCAGCCTGGGTGACAGAGCAAGACTCTGTATCAAAAAAATAAAAAAATCAATAAAAAATTAACCAGAAGTGGTGGTGCACACATGTGGTCCTAGCTACTCGGGAGGCTGAAGTAGGAGGATCGCTTGAGCCTGGGAATTTGAGGCTGCAGTGAGTAGTGATCACGCCGCTATACTCCAGCCTGGGCAACAGAGCAAGACCCTATCTCTAAATTAATTAATTAAAAATTGTAAAACACTTGACTGGGCACGGTGGGTCACACCTGTAATCCCAGGACTTTGGGAGGCTGAGGCCAGCAGATTGTTCGAGCCCAGGAGTTCAAGACCAGCCTGGGCAACATAACAAAACCCCGTCTCTACAAAAAAAATACAAAAATTAGCTGGGCATGGTGGTGCACACCTGTAGTCCCAGCTACTCAGGAGGCTGAGGTGAAAGGATCGTTTGAGCCCAGGAGGCAGAGGTTGCAATTAGCTGAGCTTGTGCCACTGCACTCCAGCCTGGGTGACAGAGCAAGACTCTGTCTCAAAAAAGAAAAAAAATAATAAGACTGAATGGGTATTGGGCAGGGAAGTAGGAAGTTCTGCACTCTGTGGAGGGCATAGTAAGACCGACACTTCTCAAATTTGAATGTGCACAGAGACCTTGTACAGACCGTGATTCAATATGCCTGGGTTTAGGGCCTGAGATTCTGCATTTCTAACAAGCTCTCAAGGAATGCCAGTGCTCTTGGTCTATAGTCCATATGTTGAGAAGCTAAGGATGAGATGAACCAGACTCCCTTAGGACCCCAAAGATTTATGAATCTCCCATCAATGTGTGAAAGCTCCAAGCCAATAGAGACCACGTCTTCCCTTTATATGTTATATCCCCAATACCAAGCATGGTGCCTGGCACATAGTAGGTGCTCAAAAAATGTTGTTGAGGACCATGGACTATGCAGTCATAAAAAGGAATGAGATCATATCCTTTGCAGCAGCGTGGTTGGAGCTGGAGGACATTATCCTAAGCAAATTAATACAGGAACAGAAAACCAAATACCACATGTTCTCACTTATAAATGGGAGCTAAATATCAAAGTTTGCATGGACACAAAGAAGGGAACGATACACACTGGGACCTATTGAGGGTGGAAGGTGGGGGAGATGACTGAAAAACTACCTTCCGGGTACTATGCTTACTAGCTTGGTGGTGAAATAATCTGTACACCAAACTCCCATGACATAAAATTTACCCATGTAACAAACTCACACATGTACTCATTGAATGTGAAATGAAAGGTGAAAGAAAAAAAAATGTTGAGGAATACTCCTCAGCAATAAAAAGAAACTAACTGAGTAATAGAAGCTGCTCTCAAAAGTTCATCTGCCACATGATCATATCTATAGGACATTCTTGAAAAGACAAAGCCATGACACAGAGCCTGTGAGTGTTTGCCAGGGGTGAGGGGTGGGGGGAATGTAATGATAAAGAGAAAGCATGATGGAGTTGTGGGGACGACACAACTGTTTTGTATTCTGATGATGGTGGTGGTTTCAGAAATCTATACATGTCTTAAAATTCACAGATCTGCACACCAGTCTGGGCCTGGTGGCTCATGCCTGTAATCCCAACACTTTGGGAGCCTGAGACACAAGGATTGCTTGAGCCACGGAGTTCAAGACCAGCCTGGGTAACATAGGGAGACCCCATCACCACAAAAGTAAAAATTTAAAAATTAGCTAGGTGTGATGGTGCACACCTGTGGTCCCAGGTACTTGGGAAGCTGAGGTGGAGGAACATTTGAGCCAGTTGTGTTGAGGCTGCAGTGAGTTGTGATCACACCACTGCACTCCAGCCTGGGTGACATAGTGAGACCTTGTACTCAAAAAAAAAAAAAAAAAAATTCTGCATACCACAAAAAGTCAATCTTACTGTATGATCATTCAAAAAACAAAATAAATATATTGGAAACTAGTAATCATTATTGAAAACAGACATTTCAGAATGACATTAATTGAACACCTACCCCGTGCCAAGCCAGAGCCAGGTACTGAAAATTCAAAGATGAATGAGACAAAGCCCCCACCCCAAACCCAATCCTCATCATTGCTGAAACTGCTCTCTGAAAGTAATTATTCGAGAGTCATAAGGAACAAACAGAGGCTCGGAAACCATCTAAGGTCTTCATCGGTTTGTAATCACCATTGTTTATGCTGGGAATCAAGATAAGTACCGATTACATTCTGGGCATTTGATAGGCTTGGAAAAAATTCCAGGAATGTTGCTCAAATTGCCTTATTTATTAGCCTGTCCCCACTTAACATGTCCACATGTTTGCCTCCAGACTTAACCTTGTAGACTGTCAAATCCATCCAAGGGAAATCCAATTTGCATAATCTAGTCTAGCTGCCAACTGACAAATGAAACACATCCAGCCCAGAGCAGAGAGAATCTTGACTCAGAACTTGTAAAAATTCAAACAACTCAAAACTCTAAAATGCAAAGATCATTTCTGTAGACAATTTGGTGTGTATTCCTCCAGTGCTTTTTTTCTATCCATATACTAAAAAATGTACGTACATTATTTGTTTTACAACAATGTGATCATACTGAATAAACTGTTCCATAACTTGCTTCTTTTCTTCACTTGACAGTACGGACAGTTTTTCATGTCAGTAACAGAAACTGACTTTTTTTTTTTTTGCAAGGGCTGTACAAGTAAACCATTGCTGAAATGTACCATAATTTATTAACTTTGTCCTTGTATTAGTCCGTTTTGCATTGCTGTAAAGGAATATCTGAATCTAGGTAACTTATAGAGAAAAGAGGTTTATTTGGCTCACAGTTCTACAGACTGAACACGAAGCTTGACACCAACATCTGCTTCTGGTCAGGACTGCAGGATGCATTTACTCATGGTGGAAGGTGAAGGAGGAGCAGGCATGTCACATGGCAAGAGAGGGAGCAGGAGAGAATAGGAGGGGTGCCATGCTCTCTTAAACAACCAGCTCTCACATGAACTAATGGAGGGACCACTCACTTATTATCAAAGGGAGGGCATCAAACCATTCATAAAGGATCCACCCCCATGACCCAAATGCCTCCCACTAGGTCCCACCTCCAACATTGGGCATCAAATTTCAACATGAGACTTGTCAGGGACAAATATCCAAGTTATATCAGTCCCTTCTTGGTAGATAATTGCATTACTTCCATCTTTCACTGTTATAAATTCTGTCAGTCAGGATGAGCTAGGTTAGGCTGCTGTAATGAATATTTCAAAGCTTAGTGGCTGAAAATAAGAAAGGTTTATTTCTTGCTCATGATACATCTCCACTGTTGGTCAGCTGGGACTCTACCTTATGTCATCCTCATTCCAAGAACCAGGCTGATGGAGCAGCCATTATCTGGAAGGTGCAGGACAGTGTAGCACAGGAAAAAAGAGAGTTTGACAAGGTGTCTTAGTCCATTTTGTGCTGCTATAACAGAATACCACAGGCTGGGTAATTTATAATGAACAGAAACGTATTGACTCACAGTTCTGGAGGCTGGGAAGTCCAAGATCACAAGACCAGCATCTGGCGAGAGCCTTCTTGTGCACCATCTCATAGCAGATGAGCAAGGAGAAGGTAACAGACAGCCAAAAGAGAGCCCAATTTATTATTTTATAAGGAATCCATTCTATCATTACTCTATCATGAGGGCAGGGCCCCCATGACCCAAACACCTCCCATTAGGCCCCACCTCCCAACACCACCATGTTGAGGATCAAGTTGCCAACACATGAACTTTGGGGGACACATTCAATGGTGGAAGCATCCTGGCCATGCTGGCAGCTGATTAGATGGTACTCACCTAGATTAGCAATGATGGAAGCTAATGTTTTCATTGTTGGGGTGGGAGATTACAGATAAGCAAGTAGAGATGACTAAAATGATCCACGTGGAAACGGATTTGAGTTAGAGACATTAGTACAAAGTCCTGTTTAGTGTACTGTCATTCAGATGGTATATATATATATACATACACATGTATGGAGTTTATTAAGTATTTGCTCACATAATCACAAGGTCCCACAGTAGGTCATCTGCAAGCTGAGGAGCAAGGAGAGCCAGTCCAAGTTCCAAAACTGAAGAACCTGGAGTTTGATGTTTGAGGGCAGGAAGCATCCAGCATGGAAGAAAGATGTAGGCTGGAAGGCTAGACCAGTCTAGCCTTTTCATGGTTTTTTTGCCTGCTTTATGTCGTGGCCACACTGGCAGCTGATTAGATGGTACCCACCCAGATTAAGGGTGGGTCTGCCTTTCCCAGCCCACCGACTCAAATGTTAAGCTCCTTTGGCAATACTCTCACAGACACACCCAGGATGAATACTTTGCATCCTTCAGTCCAATCAAGTTAGCATTTAGTATTAACCAGCACAGAGCTCTTTGGAGAGGCAGCTGATTCTAGGACAGGGCCAGTGTGTTAGTCCATTTCTGCATTGCTGTAAAAAAGTACCCGAGGTTGGGTGATTTATAAAGAAAAGAGGCTTAATTGGCTCATGATTCTGCAGGCTGTACAGGAAGCATGGCATCTGCATGTGCTTCTGGTGAGGACCTCGGGAAGCTTCCAGTCACGGCAGAAGGCAAAGGGGGAGCTGATGTATCACATTGTGAGAACAGAAGCAAGAGACAGAGGGAAGAGCCAGGATCCCTTTAAACAACGAGCTCTCATGTGAACTGAATGAGAACTCACTCATCACCAAGGGGATAGCACTAAGCCATTTACGAGGGATCCGCCCTTGTGATCCAGTCACTTCCCACCTCCCCAACAGGCCCCACCTCCAACACTGGAGGTCACATTTCAACATAAGATGTAAAGGGGACACACATCCAAAGTATATCAACCAGGAAATATAAAAGACAAGCCTGAAGAATCTTGTAGTGCCAGAAAGGAAGGAAATGCACGCACGCGCACACACACACACACACACACACAACCCACAATGGTGGGGTATGCCAAAGGGAGACAGATGCCAACTAAAAGGGTCTCAGTAACCAAAACTAGAATAATCTGAGCAACAAAAAGCCCCCCAAAACATAAAGTTATATTAGATTAGAACTCAAAAGAACTCCTGAGTCCATACTGATACAAATAAATGATTGATCTATTTTTATCTTATTTTTACTTTTATTTTTGACACAGGGTCTTGCTTTATCACCCAGGCTGGAGTGCAGTGGTGCAATCACAGCTCACTGCAGCCTGAAACTCCTGGACTCAAGCAGTCCTCTCGCCTCAGCCTCCCGATGTGCTGGGATTAGAGGCATGAGCCACCAAGCTCGGTTTAAATAAATGATTTCATAAACAAATAAGGAAAACTAGCTCATGGTTCTGCAGGCTGTACAGGAAGCATGGCACTGGCATCTGCTCCTGGTGAGAGCCTCGGGAAGCTTCCAATCATGGCAGAAGGCGAATCACCCATGTGGAAGAATATTCCAAATAATTCATGCAGACACTTTGTCCTCAAGAGTTGGGGGAACATAATGCCTCATTCCTTAAGTGTAGGCAGCACACGGTGTCTTCCTTCCAAAGAGTGCATGCAGTATGGAAAGGGGTGGAGGCAGAGTGAGCGTACAGTGGAGAAACCTGGTAAGCCCAGCCTCAGCCAGGTGATGAAGGTCCACATTAACAGTGACCCGTCACGTTGATGGTAGGCACCCTCGACATGCGATGAGAGAGGCACTTTACCTCTGAGGTCTTCCTCCCAAAACCCCATAACCTCTGCCTAATGATAATAAAGACATAAGACAAAACCAAATTCAGGAACATTCTACAAAATAACCGTCCAGCACTCCTCAAAACTGTCAAAAAGGCCAAGAACAAGGGAAGTCTGAGCGACTGTCACCATGAAGAGGAGCCTAAGGAGATATTAGGACTAAGTACAATGTCATGTTTCTGGATGGGATCCAGGATCAGAAAAAGGACATTACAGAAAACTGAGGACTTAATGCCATTTCTGGTTTTGAGACAAAGTATAACCCATGAATAAAACAGAGAGAAACTAGTGTTGTGTGATTCAGTTGGGGTGCTGCCATCTGCAAGTATTAATAAGAGAAACTCCAGCCAAAAATGGCCTAAGTGTAAGAATCCAGAGCCAGCTGCAGTGGTGCGCACCTGAAATCCCAGCTACTCAGGAGACTGAGTCAGGAGGATTGGATCATTTGAGCCCAGGAGTTTGAGACCAGCCAGGGGAATGTAGTGAGACCCTGTCTCAAAAAAGAAAAGGAAAGGTTGTGGGCTCAGTGGCTCACGCCTGTAATAATCCTAGCACTTTGGGAGGTCTGAACTCCCAGCCAACATGGTAAAACCTCGTCTCTATGAAAAATACAAAAAAATTAGCCAGGTGTGGTGGTGCATACCTGTAATCCCAGCTACTTGGAAAGCTGAGGCAGGAGAATCACTTGAATCCAGGAGGCGGAGGTTGCAGTGAGCCAAGATTACATCACCACACTCCAGCCTCGGCAACAGAGTGAGACTCCATCTCAAGAAAAAAAAAAAAGAAGAAGAAGAGAAGAAAAAGAAAAGGAAAGGAAAGGTCTGGCTCAGTGGCTCATGCCTGTAATCCCAGCACTTTGGGAAGCTGAGGCGGGTGGATTGCTTGAACTCTGGAGCTCGAGACCAGCCTGGGCAACATGGCAAGACCCCATCTCTACAAAAAAATACAAAAATTAGCCAGGTGTGCTGGCACATGCCTGTGGTCCCAGCTACTTGAGAGTCTGAGGTGGGAGGATTGCTTCAGCCCAGGAGTTCAAGGCTGCAGTGAGCTGAGATCACACCACTGCACTCCAGCCTGGGTGACAGAGTGAGACCTTGTCTAAAATTTAGAAAAAAAAAAAAAAAAAAAAAAAAAAAAGAATTCAGGCAGCAGAGAGAATCCAGGGCCAATTGGTTGAGTGGCTTAACCAAGTCAAGCCCTTCCATCTTCATACTTGGCCATTTTTGGGGTCTCCTCCTCTGATTGACCTGATATGGGCACTTCCAAACACTGTGGTCAGGCAGGGATGGAGAGCAGGAGCTGTTTCTTCTTTGTGTGTCTCTTTTTTAAGACTAAAAAAACATTTCCAGAAGCTGCCCAGTAGACTCTGCCTCATTGACCAGAACCTAACACCCCTTGCTAAGCCCAGGCACCACCATAACAGGCTGAGACCAATCAGAATTTGCCCTGCAGTCACACAGGGAGGGCTGGACACAGGGTAAAAATCAGGATTCAGGCTGCAATAAGGGCAGCTGGCTGCTTCAGCACAGTCTTGTGAATACAAGAGAAAATGAAAAGAACAACTCCTTTCATGTGTAATTAGAAAACTAAGGTGAAGCCGGGTGCAGTGGCTCACATCTGTAATCCCAACGCTTTGGGAGGCCAAGGCAGGAGGATCCCTACAGCTCAGGAGTTCAAGACCAGCCTGGGCAACATAGTGAGACCCCATCACTATTTCTAAAACAAGTAAAAATAATTCTAAAAAGGAAAACCAAGTTGAAACTATGTTCCTGTCACCAAAACACACCACTTTCCCCAAAGCCAGATTTTCTCACTAGGTTGGGTTATATGAGGTCCTACCCAAATGCAAAGAGAGAAAAAAATTACCATTTCAAGACCCTTCTAGTCTGAAGACACTAAGTTTCTATCTAGGACGTCAAATTGCTTTGTGCCCTTCAACATATAACCACTTTCTCTTTGAGTTACAATGTATTTGACTGTAAATAAATATGGAAATATGTTTAATTCTGCAATTTTTTATTTTTTTAGAGACAGAATCTTGCTCTGTTGCCCAGGCTGGAGTGCAGTGGCATGATCTCGGCTTACCGAAGCCTCAACCTCCTGGGCTCAAGCAATCCTGCTACCTCAGCCTCACGGCTAGCTAGGACTATAGGCATGCATTACTATGCCCAGCTAACTTTTGTTGTAGTTGTTGTAGAGACAGCTATGTTGCTCAAGCTGGCCTCAAACTTCTGGCTTCAAGTGATCCTCTGGCCTTAGCCTCCCAAAGTGCTGGGAATCGCAGTCATGAGCCATCATCCCTAGCTATCTCCAATTTCTTGAAATTACTGCTTACTGAGTTTTTTTAATATACAAGTGCAACCTTCTAATAACATTTTGTCATCGATATTATTATATTTATTAAAGAGACAGCATAGCTAATTGATTAAGGATGAGACTGTATGAATATAAATCCCAAGTTTACAACAAATCTATTAATAGTAGCAGTGTGACATTAAAGAGATTTATTAACCACTCTAAGCTTCAGTTTCCTTGGTGTATTAGTCTGTTTTCATGGTGCAAATAAAGACATACCTGAGACTGGGTAATTTATACAGGAAAAAGGGTTTAATGAACTTACAGTTCCACGCAGCTGGGGAGGCCTCACCATCATGGTGTGACGCAAGGAGGAACAAGTCACGTCTTACATGGATGGCAGCAGGCAAAAAGAGAGAGCTTGTGCAGGGAAACTGCCGTTTAAAACCATTAGATCTTGTGAGACTTATTCACTATGGTGAGAACAGCATGGGAAAGACTCGCCCCCCGTGATTCAATTACCTCCCACCAGGTTCTTCCCACGACATGTGGGAATTGTGAGAGTTACAATTCAAAATGAGATTTGGGTGGGGACACAGCCAAACCATATTACTTGGTTACAAAATAATAACATTTACTTCTAGGAGAATTATATAAGATGAGGCCTGTGACGTGCTTAAAATGTGTCTGGCACATAATAAATACTCAATAAATGTGAGTCCTTATACACATATGAAAGTCAATATTCGCATCTTTTGCCAGATTGAATCCTCTCTCCTGTCATCATGTGGAGCTGAATGAAAATGATCAGGTGAGGGTGGGAGGAGGTGTGGTAGAACTACACATCCCAAAGATGGACACGTTCTAATTCTCCCAAATTTCTAAGAATATGTTACCTTACATGGCAAAAGAGACTTTGCCCATTTGATTAAGTTATGGATCTCAGGCCAGGTGCAATGCTCACACCTGTAATACCAGCATTTTGGGAGGCCGAGGTGGGCAGATCACTTGAGGCCAGGAGTTCAAGACCAGCCTGGCCAACATGGTGAAACCCTATCTCTACTAAAAATACAAAAACTAGCTGGGTGTCGTGGTGGGTGCCTGTAATCCCAGCTTCTCAGGAGCTGAGGCACAAGAATTGCTTGAACCAGGGAAGCAGAGGTTGCAGAGAGCTGAGATCGTGCCACTGCACTCCAGCCTGGGCAACAGAGCGAGACCCTGTCTCAAAAAAAATTATGGATCTCAAAGTGGGAGATTATCCTAGATTACCCAATTGGACCAAATCTAATAACACAAGTCCTTATCAATAGAAAGGAGAGGCAGAAAAGTGGGTCAGAGAAATGCTATAAGCAAAAGACGCCTCCAGTCACTGCTGGCTCAGAATATGGAGGAGGGGAACACAGTATGTGGAAGTTTCTAGAAGATGACAACAGCCCTTGGCTGATGGCCGGACGGAAAACCAGGGCTCCATCCCTATAGCTGCAAAGGGCAGAATTCTGCCCACAACTCAAATAAGCAGGAAAGGGAATCTCCCTTGTAACATCCAGAAAGAAATGCAACCCTTTGCACACCTTGATTCTAGTCCAGTGAGACAAATTTTGCACTTCTGACCTATAGATATATAAGATAATACATTTGTGAGGTTTTTTTATTCTGGTAAAAAAAAATACCATCTTAACTCTTTTTAAGTGTACAGAACAGTTGTGTTAACTATAGGCACATTGTTCTGCAATGAGCCTCTAGAAGTTTTTCATCTTGCAAAAACGAGACTATATCCACAACAATGCCCTGTTTTCCTCTCCTTCACGCCTCCTGATAATCATTGTTTTACTTTCTGTTTATAAGAGTTTGACAGCCAGGCATGGTGGCTCATGTTTGTAATCCCAATGCTTTGGGAGGCCAAGAGAAGAGCATCACTTGAGCCCAGGAATTTGATACCAGCCTGGGCAACATAGTGAGCTCCCATCTCTACAAAAATTAAAAAATTAGCTGGGTGCAGTGCTGTGTGCCTGTAGTCCCAACTACTCTGGAGGCTGAGGCAGAAGGATCACTTGAGCCCACTGAGCCCAGGAGTGAGCTATGACGACACCACTGCACTCCAGCCTGGCAACAGCGTGAGACCCTATCTAAAAAAAAAAAAAAAAAAAAGGTTGATTAATTTGGATACCTCATATAAATGGAGTCATGCAGTATTTGTCCTTCTGTGACTGGTTTATTTCATTTAGCATATTTCCTCAAAGTTCATCCATGTTGCAGCATATGATAAGATTTCCTTTTTTAAGGCTGAATAATATTCCATTATGTGTATATACCACATTTTGTTTATCCACTCATCCGCTGATAGATATTTAGGTGCTTCTACTTCTGGTTATTGTGAATAATGCTGCAATGAACATGGGAGTACAGATATCTGCACAGATGCTTTTTCAAATATTTTAGGTATATACCCAGAAGGAGGATTGCTGGGGCATATGGTAATTTTTTGAAGACCCTCTGTACTGTTTTCCAGAGTGGCTACATCATAAATTTATGTTGTTTGCAGCCACTAAATTTGTGACAATTTGTTGTGGTAGTGATAGGAAACTAATATTGGGTCTTTATTGATTTTGCTTCTTTTTATTAACGTTTTCTTTTTTTTGAGACAGAGTCTTGCTCTGTTGCCCAGTCTGGAGTGCAGTGGCACAATCACGGCTCACTGCAGCCTCAAACTCCTGGGCTCAAGCAATTCTCGCAGCTCAGCCACCTGAGTAGCTGGGCCTACAGGTGCATGCTACCATGCCCAGCTAACTTTTTCTTTCTTTTTTTTTTTTTTTTGTAGAAACAGGGTCTCACTTTGTTTCCCAGGCTGGTCTTGAACTCCTGGGTTCAGTTCATCTTCCCACCTTGGCCTCCCAAAGTGCTGGAATTACAGGCATGAGCCACCATGCTCAGCCTTTTTTTTTTTTTCCAACCTTTTTGACGTATAACATACACACAGAAAAATGCACCTGTAAGCAAACAGCTTGCTAAGTTTTCACAATTTATCACCTGTAAAACCAGCATCTGGATCAAGAAACAACTCTATGACCCCTCCCCCAGGAGCCCCCTCATACCTGGAAGGAGCCTGTGGGAACTAGCAAGAACCAAGGCCCAGGAAGGTGCAGTAAGTAGCACCATATATTTATTTGGAAAATATCAAGTACTCTTTGAAAATGCTTAATTGATAGAATTGTTGGAGGAAAAGTCATTCCTCTTCTAGGGAAATCCATTTAATGTTTCCATTTTTAATGACTTTTAAAGGGATCTTCAAGAAGGTTTTTCATGTGCTGCAAACAGAAATCATTCCATAAACTTATGGGATTGTTCATTAAAAACGACTTTTAAAAAAAATGTAAACCCACCCCTGCTGTCAATCTTAGGGGGAATGAGAACACAGGTCCAGTTATTGACTGTGGCCTAGCCTCTTCCACCACCTGCTGGTGGATTATGGGAACCTCATCACCATGTGATGCTTGTTTGGGGTATTTTTCATTTCTTCTATAAATACATATTGAACAAATAATATGTGTTGGACACAGTCTTATGTCCATAAACTCAGGATTTGGTAGAGAAGATGGACATCCATTCACATATAATAACTGTAAATTTACGAGTGTAATAAATTCAGCCGTGACAAGAGATCCCCAAGCTGTCTGTTCATCAGATCCCCATAAGAATTTTGTTAGAATAATTTTTACCAAAAACCCCACTCCCAGAGATCTGTGTCCATAGGCCTACTGTGGGGCCCAGGAAATCTGTATTTTCTGTCAGCACCCAACAAGATTGTTGATGCACAGATAAGGATGTCGTAGATCGGTTTGGGGTGGGTTACAGGGAACTTTGAACGTTGAATTAGACTTTAAATGCACTGACAGTAAAATTACAAACAAAGCAAAGATATCAGAGCACCAAGAACCAGTGAATGGAAATCATCAGGTTAGCAAGGCAGTTGGAACTGGAGAAAGTTGTAGAGGGAAGAGGGAGAGAGAAAAGTAAACGGGGAGATTGATTATAAGGCAGGGAATTGGGTTTTATGGAAGAAGAGGGAGAGAAAAAAGCAAGAGAGGCCAGGCACGGTGGCTCATGCCTGTAATCCCAGCACTTTGAGAGGCTGAGGTGGGCGGATCTCTTGAGCTCAGGAGTTCAAGACAAGCCTGGGCAATGTAGTGAGACCCAGTCTCTACCAAAAAAAAAAAAAAAAAATTTAGCTGGGCATGGTAGCATGCGCCAGTAGTCCCAACTGTTTGGGAGGCTGATGTGGGAGGACGGCTTGAGCCTAAAAGACAGAGGTTGCACTGAGCTGAGATCACTCCACTGCACTCCAGCCTGGGCAACAGAGTGAGACCTTGTCTCAAAAGAAAAAAAAAAAAGAAAGCAAGAGAGAAAAAAACAGATTTTCAAAAGCACAGCCCCTTATACCAGGATACTCAATCCCTACCACTGTAATCACTGCATCATGTATACAGTCATGCACTGCGACAATGTTTCCACCAACAACAGGCTGCGTACACAATGATGGTCCCATAAGATTATAATGCTGTATTTTTACCGTAACTTCTCTATGTTGAGATATACAAATACTTCCCGTTGTTTTACAATTGCCTAAAATCTTCAGTACAGGAACGTGCTGTACAGGTTTGTACCCCAGGAGCAACAGGCTATACCATTATACCTATAGCCTAGGTGTGTAGAAGGCTATACCATCTAGGTTTATGTGAGTACACGCTATGATGTTCACACAGAGATGACCTTGCCTAATGACACATGTCTTGAAACAGATCTTCATCGTTGAGCAACTCAGGACTGTACTATAAGGGCTCAAAAGAGTCAAAACAGTAAGCATAACACTCAGGGCCCGGTGTGGTGGCTCACCCCTGTAATGCCAACAGTTTGGAAGGTGGATCACTTGAGCCCAGGAGTTTGAGACCAGCCTAGGCAACATGATGAAACACTATCTCTACAAAAAATACAAAAATTAGTCAGGCATGGTGGTGTGCACCTGTAGTCCCTGCTACTCAGGAGGCCTCCCAGCTGCTCAGGAGGCCGAGGTGGGAGGACCGCTTGAGCCCAGGAGGTCAAGGCTGCAGTGAGCTGTGATTGCACCACTGCACTGCAGCCTAGGTGACAGAGAAAGGCCCTGTGTGTGTGTGTGTGTGTGTGTGTGTGTGTGTGTGTGTGTGTGTGTGTGTATGAATGAACGAAAGAAAGAAAGGAACAAAGACAGAAAGAAACAGACACTCAGCACCCCAGAGCACAAAGCGTGATAAGAAGTGCGATCCAGGATATATATTTTGGAAATGCTCTACCATGCTATGTGCCAAAGTCTGGAAAGTTCCCAAAAGACCACCAGACAGGGACTGGTAAACTAACCAAGGCAGGGACTCACCTGCCATCACCGTCATTGTCTATAAGCACGTGGGTGCTTATAGAAAAGACACATTGAGCAGGGCATGGGCGCAGGCACCTGTAATCTCAGCTACTCAGGAGGCTGAGGTGGGAGGATCCCTTGAGCCCAGGAGTTCAAGATTACTGTGAACTGTAATCTGTGCCACTACACTCCAACCTGGGCCACAGGGCAAAACCCTGTCTCGAAAAGAAATCTTGTGCTCCATGGCCAGTTTGTACTGCTGCCCTGCCTGTTGCAGGCACAAGTCGAAGAGCAAGTCTGAGAGGAACCATAGTACTTCAACTTGCTGACACAATGATTGGGCCAGAGTGTGGTCATGTGACACTCAATGAACCAATCAAAGTCCTTCCCTTGCCTTTTAGAAACAGACTGGGAGACATTTACTGAGCACCTATTTTGAGGGACTTACAAGGTTTCCTTCCAGCTTTGAAATCCACGAACCTATAAAAATAATTCCATTTTTAATTCCCCACTTGGAAACAATGATTTGTTAAGCACTTATTGTATGCTAAGCAATATGATCTATGCATTATCTTTCAACAACCTTACAAGATAGATAATATTTCTGTTTCCATTTCTTAAATAAGGAAAGGTTTCCCAGAAGTTAAACAATTTGCTTAAGGTCAAACAGCTAGAAAGTGCTCAAGTTTGAAGTTTCAATTTCTCTGACTCCAGAGTTCAGAGTCTTAATTAATGGCTAAATTGACTCTCATTGACATAATTATGCTCTGAGCCCATCACTAGTTCATTACAATTTCTTTGAAAATACCATTTTTAATGGCTGTAACTTCTTTTTTATCTTGTGGATGCTGTATAATTTAAGTAACTCCCAGTTGTTGAATAATTAGGACATTCACAATCTTTGCCATTATAATCGGCATTTTGTTCTAAATCTCAGTCAGCAAACTGCAGCTTGTGGGCCAGATTCACTTTGCTGCCTGTTTTGTTGGAACACAGCCACGTGCATTTATTCCCATAGCGTCTATGGTTGCTTTCAAGGCAAAGTGGAGTAGTTGCAACAGAAACCTTATGTCCCACAAAGCCTCAAATACTTACAATCTGACTATTTACAGAAAAGGTTTGCCAACCTCTGTTCTAAATATTTATCTACAATGCTGATTCCATCCTTAGGATAAACATATAGAAAGAGAATCAAGGCCGCGAGTGGTGGCTCATACCTGCAATCCCAGCACTTTGGGAGGCCCAGGTGGGCAGATCGCTTGAGCCCAGGATCCTGGGCAACATGGCTAAACCCCATCTCTACAAAAAAAAAAAAAAAAAAAATTACAAAAATTAGCTGGCATGCACCTGTAGTCCCAGCTACTTGGAAGGCCAAGGTGATAGTATGGCTTGAGCCTGGGATATGGAGGTTGCAGTGAGCCTAGATTGTGCCACTGCTCTCCAGCCTGGGCAACAGAGCCAGACTCTGTCTCAAAAAAAAAAAAAAAAAAATAGAACCAGCCAGGTGCAGTGCTGCACACCACAGTCCCAGCTACCCTGGAAGCCGAGGCAGAAAGATCTCTTGATCCCAGGAGTCTAAATCCAGCCTGGGCAACATAGCAAGAACCCTACCTCTTAAAAATAAATAAATTAATTAAAAATTTAAAAGTAAGACCAGGTGCAGTGGCTCATGCCTATAATCCCAGCACTTTGGGAGGCCAAGGAGGGAGGATCACTTGAGGCCAGGAGTTTGAGGCCAGCCTGAGCAACATAGTGAGACCCTGTCTCCACACACAAAATATATACATATATATATAATTTTTTTAAGATAATAAAAGTTTAAAAATATTAAATTTTTAAAATCGAGACAGGGTCTTTCTCTGTCATCCAGGCTGGAGTGCAATAGTGCAAACATGGCTCACTGCAGCCTTGACCTGCCAGGTTCAAATGATCCACCTGCCTCAGCTTCCTAAGTAGCTGGGATCACAGGCGAATGCCACCACATTGGGCTAATTTAAAAAAAAAATTGTAGAGACAGGGTACCACTATGTTGCCCAGGCTGGTCTTGAACTCCTGGGCTCAAGTAATCCTCCTGCCTTGGCCTCCCAAAGTGCTAGGATTACAGGCATGAGCCACTGCACCTGACCTTAATTTTTTTTTAAAGAGAGTATCAAGTCAAATTACTTTTCAGAAAGTTGATTTCAAGCAACATTGCCACCAGCAGTTTGTTTAAAGGTTTCATATCCCAGGCCTTCCACCTTGGCCAGCCCTGGATGACATTATGCAAATAGAAATTGAGGTATTCCACTGTTTCAGGGGCCTCTGGGGATACAGCAGTGACCAAAATACACAGGTCATTGCCCTCATGGGGCTTGTAATCTATGAAAGGGGTGAGGAGATACAATAAACTGCTTGCCAAGTAAATATGTCATTTGTCAGACGGCAATTGGTGCTATGAAGAAAATCAAAGTGGTTGATTTTCCACCCAAGAAGGTGGAGTGGGGTGCTAGTTTACATAAGGAGTTCAGCATCTGTCACTGATACGATGACATTTGAGCAGAGAACTGAAGGAAGAGCATCCCAGGTGGAGGATAAAGCAAATACAGTGAACATGATATTTTCAAAATTCAGCAGGGAAAATCATTATTTTTAGATCCATAGTAGAGCGGTGCTGGGGAGTATTGAGATAACTTTGTCCAGCAGGTAAGTCCAAAGGTATTTCTGTTTGACTCTGAAGCCCCTTGTACTTGCAGCTGATTTGCTTCGAGATTAGGGTTGGCTAAAGCTAACACTAAAATTAGCTTTCGTTTCCTAAATAAACAGCAGCTGGCAGTACATTTGGGGGTGGAGAGCAGCCTGAAAGAGCAGGGTAACAAGAAAAAAAATTGAGGTTTTCACATTTGCTAAGGAAGGAGAGATGCATATCAGTAACTGAGTCAGGTGATATATTCAAGCCTCCCTGGGTGATGGTGTCTTCTGAAACCATAACATGTTAAAATCCTCACTGTCATCAGAAATATTTTCCTTTCCCTCCTCCTCCTTCATTCAATCACCAAATCCTGTAATATCTCCCTCAGAATGAGCACATGAGGCTGGGCACAGCGACTCATGCTTGTAATCCCAGCATTTTGGGAGGCCAAGGCAGGCATTAGGGCCAGGAGTTCCAGACCAGCCTGGGTAGCATGGTGAAACCACATCTCTACCAAAATATGTATATATATATATATACAAAAATTAGCTTAGCTGGTCATGGTGGCACACACCTGTAGTCTCAGCTGCTTGGGAGGCTGCGGTGGGAGGATCACATGAGCCTGGGGAGGTCAAAACTGCAGTGAGTGATGATTGCACCACTGCATTCCAGCCTGGGCAACAGAGCAAGACTCTGATTAAAAATTTTTTTTTTTTGCTGGGCATGGTTGTGCACACCTGTAGTCCCAGCTACTCAGGAGGCTGAGATGGAGGATCACTTGAGCCCAGGAGTTTGAGGCTACGGTGAGTTATGATTGTGCCACTGCACTCCAGCCTGGATGACAGAGCAAGACCCTGTCTCAAAAATAAAATAAAATAAAAATAAAATGCCAACATGATAATGTCACACTCTTATATTAGTAATGTCTGTTTATTCCCAGCTAGAACTCTCATCTTTGGCTTAAATAGACACTCACAACCTTAGCTCCTTTTCCATCCTTCATTCCTGCCACATCTGCCCCAGATGTGCTCTGCTCCTGCCACACTCACCTCAAATGTAACTGTGGTGGCCAGCATCCAAGATGACCATCAGGGATTATCATCTGGCAATGATGCCCGTGTCTGATCCCTTTCCATGTTGGATGGAGCTAAGCGATCTGTAGGATATTGCAAAAGTGGCAACATATAGCTTCCAAGCATAGATCATTAAAGATGTTGTGTCTTTCTCCTTGCTCTCTCTTGAGCTGCTCTCTTGGGGAAGTCAGCCATCCTGTTGTGAGGACGCTGAAGCAACCCTGTGGGAATATCAGTGTGGTGAGAAACTGAGGCCCCCAGCCAACAGCCATGCGCGTGAGCTGCCTTGGAAGCCTGACTTCACACATCCACCTGATGACTTCTGGAAGCCTGACTCCACGTGTCCACATCTGCTCCATCTCCTTCAGAACTAGGCTGTTGGCCAATGCCCCTGTTTGTGTCTTGCTATTTCACTTGGACTATGACTAGGATTCAGGGGGCAAAAATCACCAATTATGGTGAATTCATGTTTTAGTTGATGCAGCTCCCATCAGCAAGGGCTTTTGCCTTTTTTAATGAAAATACCCACCTGGCATGGTGGCTCACACCTGCACTTTGGGAGGCCGAGGCAGGTGTATCGCTTGAGCCCAGGAGTTCAAAACCAGCCTGGGAACATGGTGAAACCCTGTCTCTACTAAAAACAAACATTAGCCAGTCATGGTGGTGCACACCTGTAGTCCCAGGTACTAGGGAGGCTGAGGTAGCAGGATTGCTTGAGCCCAGGAGGTGGAGGCTGCAGTGGGCCATGAGCATGCCACTGCACTCCAGCCTGGGAGACTGAGCAAGACCATGTCTTAAAAAAAAAAAAGAAAAGAAAGAAAAGGAAAAAAGAAATACCCAAAGCCTGAGCTGACCTGGTGATTCTGCCACCCCTGCAATCCTGATTGAATAATGCAACCCAAATTGGTCATAAATTATTCTCATGTAATTTGAAATCATCTACCACAAGGAGAACAAACACAAAAACTGCATAATCTCACAGCTTGCTGATAAGAACAGAGGGCTTACCAGTGGCAGTGAGGGCTTGGTGCTTGCCCTTGAAAGTGGAGTTCTCATCTGGAATTTCTATAATAGACCCAGAGTCAACAGCCAGGTTCATGCCTGAGGGACCTCAAGGACCATACTGGTTGCTCTGTGAAATGACTACCCCTGGCTTTTGGGAGGTTTAGAGATGACTTGAGCTCTTCATAACTAAAAACATCCATGGCATTTGAGCCTCACCCAATCTCTCAACTTTGTCATTCCCTGGGGATTTAGGGTGCACCGTTGGCTGGGGAACCAGCTGGCTAAAGAGAGAGGCAGTGCACCTGAGACTGTACATGAGCCCGGGCACCTGAGACAGGGAATCTGAGACAGTACTCTCTGTACTTCTTTATCCTCCTCTATAAAGTGATTCTAATAATAGCATCTACCTCTGTAGAAGAAAAAATTATTCAATGGCACATGTTAAAATACGGTAAGGCAGATTTTTCAGGACCATCATGATAGGTATAGGGAACATAGTAATGAAATTTTGCAATGGGAGAGAGATTGGGCTCAGTCTTAAATGGCTGGCCGGCTAAGTGGCTGACTGGGAGGCTGGGTGAGGGGTAGGCTGGGAGGCTGGCCGAGTGGCTGTCTTGGAGGCTTGCCAGCAGGCTGGCTGGCCCGCTGAGATGCTGGTGGGCTGGCTGAGAAGCTGGTCGAGAGGCTAGCGGGCAGTCTTCCTGGCTGAGTGAGAGGCTGGCTGGCTGAGAGTCTGGCTGAGAGGCTAGCTGAGATGTCGGCTGGCTCCGTCTGGGTTGGATGAGGACACTTTGGAGGAGGGAGCAGGAATAAGGAAGATACCCTTACCACCTGCTATCCCCCAGAGCTGGGAGCACCCGGCGCTGAGGGTGGGAGGCGGCAGTGACCGGGCACAGCTTATAGCACCCGGCTCCCTCCGTGCACCCTCGGATGCCAGGAACACCTTCCCTATGAGCACTCCCCATGGCCCTACCGTGGTGGACTGCGGGCCGCAGTCTCTATCTTATCCTCAAAGGTTTTCTGTAGATCTAAAACTGTTCTAAAACAGAAAATTATGTGTGTGGGTAAGTAATTTCCTGGCTCAAAATAAAAGCTATTTTCATTGTGGTTAAGGGTAAGGTCACTGGATGAGAACCTGGTTTCCGATTATTTCCTGTGTGAGCTGGACCACATGCCACAACCTTTCTGAGCCTGTTTTCTCATCCATAAAATGAGGATATAAGACTAGAGCTTAGGTCTCAGGGCTGTGGCAAGAACAATTGCCTAGAGGCAGCCTATATTTCCATCGATAGGAGATGGATTAAATAAATTTTGACACATCTGTGCAGCAATTACCTCTATATGTAGATATATAGAAAATTATATTTATAGAAGGTTTATTATTATTATTATTAATATTCTGAGATGGAGTCTCTGTCGCACAGGCTGGAGTGCAGTGGCGCAATCTCGGCTCTCTGCAAGCTCCACCTACGGAGTTCACGCCATTCTCCTGCCTCAGCCTCCCGAGTAGCTGGGACTACAGGCGCCCGCCACCACACCGGCTAATTTTTTGTATTTTTGGTAGAGACGGGGTTTCACCATGTTAGCCAGCATGGTCTCGATCTCCTGACCTCGTGATTCGTTGGCCTCGGCCTCCCAAAGTGCTGGGATTACAGGTGTGAGCCACTGCGCCCAGCCTATAGAAGGTATATTATGAAGTGAAAAAGCAAGGTGGAAGCTAGACATAGTGGCTCATGCCTATAACCCCAGAATTTTTGGAGGCTGAGGCAGGAGGTTCGTCTGAGTCCAGGAGTTTAAGACCAGCCTGGGCAACATAGCAAGACACCCATCTCTACAAACAATAAAAAAGTAAAAATTAGCCAGGGATGGTGGCACATGCTTGCAGTCCTGGCTACTCAGGAGTCTAAGGAAGGAGGATTGCTAAGCCCAGGATTTCAAGGTTACAGTGAGCCATGCTCATGACACTGCACTCCAGCATGGGTGACAGAGTGAGACACTGTCTCAAAAACAAAACAAAACAAAACAAAACAAAACAAGATGCCAGGTAAGCCACCTTTGGGGTTAAAAAACCAAGAATATATGTGTATATGTTTGTAAATGCATCATACATCTCAGGACAAGGGCAGGGAAAATTTTACTGATTACCCCTTTTTTTTACTAAATAGACATATTACTAATACATGCTCAAATTTTAAAAAATGATCTTTAAGTCTGTGGCACAGAGGAAGTGTCAGGAAATGATGGCTATTTCTATTGTGAGACAATTCCTCCCTCTTCCCTTCCTTACTGGAGGCCACCTCCCCACCCCCAGTCCCAGCCTGCAGATCTGGAAAGGGATGGGTGGAACCCAGTTGTTCCACGTATGGAAGATGGAATGTGATGGAGGCGAGTGGTGACTGTGCAGTGACCTTAGAGAGAAGACCCAGCACTTCCTGCTGGCTGCACCTGGCACCTGGCACCTGGCACCTGGCCCTGACTTGGATCTGCACCTGAGCCAGGGAGACCTCAGTTTTTTTCTTCCAGGAGCAGAAGAATGAACCAGGTTCCTGAAGGAGACTTCCCACTCCCAGAAGAGGAACAATTTTACAGGAATAGAAATTGGATAGTTCTTCAGGAAACAACAGTCTCTTAAATCTCCTGTTTGAAGGAATAGAAGACGACCATTTAGGAGGATGTCTTTGTTCTCAGGAGGTACCTAGAAAAGTAGCTGGGATTGAGGTAGGCTAAAAGATGTCTCCCGAAGATTTCAGACCCTAATCTAAAAAAAAAAGTGTGAACATTACTATGTAGTGAAGAATTACTTTACTCACAGAGAGGTCTATCCCTTTGCCTCCAGCTCCTGGGGGGTGATCTCTAAGCCCCTGAGATGGACATCTTTATTTACCTGGATCCTTGGGTGACATCAGATAATTTAGCAATGTGATTTATGGTGGAGCTTTGTGAATTAGCCAACAAATGTATGATAATTTGTTGCAGCAGTCACAAGAAACGAATACAGGAATGCAGTTTCAAAAAGTCTGTAATTAACTCTCATATGGCTCAGAGAGAAGTAGGAAGAAGCAAGTCTGGTAAAATGTGAACAATTAGTGAACTTACATAAAAGGAATGTGGTTGTCTATTGTACTGTTCTTGCAAATTTTTGTTGGTTTGAAAATTTTCAGAATAAAAGATGGAGGAAGGAATAAAAATACTCATTTAAAACATTACAGTATAGGCCGGGTATGGTGGCTCATGCCCGTAATCAACATTTTGGGAGGCTGAGGCAAGAGGATCGTTTGAGGCCAGGAGTTTGAGACTAGCCTGGCCAACATGGCAAAACCCTGTCTCTACTAAACATGCGAAAATTATCTGGGTGCGATGGCACACAACTGTAACCCGAGCTACTCAGGAGGCTGAGGCAGGAGAATCTCTTGAACCCAGGAGGTGGAGGTTGCAGTGAGCTGTGATCACACTACTGCACTCCAGCCTGGATGACAGAGTGAGACCCTGTCTCTAACAATAATAAAAATAAAATAAAATAAAACAAAACAGCATGGAAAAGTCCAGGATCTTCAAATATTGCTGGAGTATTACTGCCAAGCCCAATGTAGTCAGAAGTAGGATTTGAACATTTAAATGCATCCTTTGCTGATTGGACAGAATGTAACCTTTAAAAATTATTTTCCTTCTTATACAAACAGCAGGGTTCCTTCTTCATCACTGAAGAATAAGATGGCATGCTTCAGACCACAGCATCAATGCCCATGCCAGGTAGCTTCACTTTGTGGTTCCTGGGTGATGGCTCTGTGTTCCCATCCAAATCTCATACTGAATTGTAATCCCCAGTGTTGGAAGTGGGGCCTGGTGGGAGATGATTGGATCATGGGGGTGGTTTCTAATGGTTTATCATCATCCTTCTAGTGGTGTCTTGTGACAGAGTTCTCCTGAGATCTTCTTGTTTAAAAGTGTGTAGCACTTCCCCTAAGCCTCTCTCCTCCTCCTTCTCCTGCCATGCAGATGTGCCTGCTTCCCCTTTGCCTTCTGCCATGATTGTAAGTTTCCTGAGGCCTCCCCAGCCATGCATCCTGTACAGACTGTGGAACTGTGAGCCAATTAAACCTCTTTTCTTTATAAATTAGCCAGTCTCAGGTATGTCTTTATAGCAGTGTGAGAACAGATGAATGCACTGGGCTTGTTTCTTGTGCTCAAAGGCCAAGTGTCATGGATATTAATTACCAAGTCACATGCTGGTCATAAACTTACATGATGTGCTCCCTGGAAACTAAGCTAGAAACTCACCAAGGAGGGTTTGGTGGCGTGGGGGTGCAGGTTGGGGGATCAAAGGAACTGATGAGAGGCACAGAGAATAGGAGACCTGGTTTCTTGCACTCTGCCCTGTATCACATTTCTGCTGGTGCTGAGGTTAATTGCACCACCTCTGGGAGTGATTTACTCAGGCTGTGATCCTGGCCCCAGCTCTGACTACTTGGTAATTGGCAAATTATTTGACACCTTTATGCCTAAGTTTCCTCATCTGTAAAATGGATGTGATAATAAGTGCTGTAATGTTTTTAAAAATAAATAAGGATAGGGTCTCGCTATGTTGCCCAGGTTGTTCTCAAATTCCTGGGCTCAAGCAATCCTCCTGCCTTGGCCTCCCAAAGTGCTGGGATTATAGGCATAAGCCACCATGCCCAACTGAGTAATATTTACTGCTGCATAACAAATTTACCCAAAATATAGCAATCTAAAACAACAAATAAGAATTTATTGTCTCTCACAGCTTCTATAGGTCAGGAATTCAGGAGCAGCTTAGCTTGGAGTTTCTGGCTCAGAAACTCAGGGTCTCTCATGAGTTTGCAGTTAAGATGTTGCAGGAGCTGCAGTCATCTGAAGGCTTGACTGGGGCTGGAGGACCTGCTTCCAAGGTGGCCAGACACATGGCTGTTCCTCTGTTCCCCTACACACAGGCATCTCCACAGGGCTAACTGTGGGTCCTTACAAAATGACAGCTGGCTTCTCCCAGAATGGGTAACTCAAGAGAGAGAAAGAGGAAGGAAGCAGCAGCAGTGTCTTTTATAACCTAGTCTTGGAAGTCACATGCCATCATTTCTCTGTTTTCCTTTTTTTGAGACAAGGTCTCACTCTGTAGCCCAGGCTGGAGTGCAGTGGTACAATCACAGCTCACTGTAGCCTCAACCTCCTGAGGGCTCAAGAGATCCTCCTGCCTTAGCCTCCTGAGTAGCTGGGACGACAGATGTGTGCCATTGCCACCATGCCAGTTAATTTTTAATATTTTGTAGAGGTGGGGTCTTACTATATTGCTCAGGCTGACATACCATTATTTCTACAATATCTTATTGGTGGCACATATTGGCCCTATTCACAGGGCATACACAAGAAGGTGAATACCAGGAGGGGAGGATCATTGAGAGCCATTTTGAAGGCTGTCTACCACAAGTATCTAACTCAAAGGGTTGCCATGGGGATTAAATGCGTTAGTATATGGAAAGAATCCTAGACCAAAGCTTATATACAGTAAATGTTTATAAATGTTAGTTTTTGTTATTATTGGCCCGTAGCATAGCAGTTTCACTACAGATACTGTCATTTTTAAGGTAATAATCTTTCTGTCTTCGTTTGTTTGTTTGTTTTTATCTGGTTACAGATTAAAATCAGCAATTATCTTTTTTTTTTCCTTTTTTGCCCATCTTCAATCTCAAAATCACCTATGGATTTTTGAGTTGAATGTTGTCTTTTAAAACAATTTTAAATGGTTTTGAACTTATGAAAATAATGCTTGTTGAAAAACTTGACAGAAATATGTATAACATGGCCAGGCACTGTGGCTCATGCTTGTAATCCCAACACTTTGGGATCACTTGAGGTCAGGAGTTTGAGACCCAACTGGGCAACAGGGCAAAACCCCATCTCTACTAAAAATACAAAAATTACCCAGGCATGGTGGCACGTGCCTGCAATCTCAGCTATTCGAGGGGCTGAAGCAGGAGAATCGCTTGAACACAGCAGGTGGAGGTTACAGTGAGCTGAGATCGTGCCACTGCACTCCAGCCTCGGCAACAGACCAAAAATCCATCTCAAAGAAAAGAAAAAAGACATATGTATAACATATGCTTGTTCTCAATAACACAGAAACAAGCAGAATAAAAAGTAGCATCCCTCTTCATACCTCTCTCGTGCTTCTCTTCCCAGAGGTAACCACTTTTAAGTTTATAGTCTTCTGACCACTTTGTCTTAAAAGACATGCTGTACTGGTATTAAATACATGGGATTATTGTGTTTATATGGGTCAGTGATTTAAGAATTGGTTGAACAGTTTATCTTGAAAATTATGCATGTTATAACAAGGCATTTAGATAATAGCCCCAAGCTCCACCTCACTCCTGCTGGCATGACCATTGTGAAATATTTTTTTTCTAGAGGGTAGGGGGATGTTTTCATATTTTGGGATATTACATAGGATGGAATAATGGAATTGTGATACAGCTGGATCTACAAATAGGCTGGTTGACTTCATTTCACATCTACAATGCAATATTGGAGAAAGGGTGTGAGCTCTGAATTGGAGACCGATCTGGATTTGAATGTTGGTTCTGATGCTTCCTAATGAGATGAGTTTAGGCAAGTTTTTCTTTGTTTGTCTGTCTGTATCTCTCAGTTTCCATATTTGCAAAGCCACCTCATGGATATGTTAAGTGAGGTCATGCATGATGTCAGGTGCAAAGTTGACTCCTAGCCTGAGGTGCTTAGTCCAGGTTAGCTCCCTTCCGTGGTCCAGGTTAGCACCTTTACTTTGCCCTAGGTTGGCTCCCTTTTCTTAGTTTTGGTTAGCACCGTTTCTTTGGTCTAGGTTAACACCCTTTTCTGCACCCCACTTCTGGAAAGACTGTGGGACTTCCCACAAGGGGGCGCAGGTACAAAGGTATTGCAGCCGGGAAGCAGAGCACAGTCCCTGCCCGTGGAGGCTAAGGGGCCACCTTTGTATGTCTCTGCTGTGTGCAAACACCATCCTCTCAGGAGAGGGCACAATAAAATGATCTCAGTTATGAGTGCTCCAGGGGTTGGCCACAGCTCTGTTCTCCCTCTGGGGAGCCTGTCTTCTAGTTGCTATGCAATTTTCCGTCCTTCTCTTCCCAAAGGCACTGAGTGAAATCCCTTTTGTGACCAGGAGCTTTAGTTTTTACCAACTTTAAAGTAGATGATGTCGTACTTCCAGTGTTTTCACTATCAGGTTAGCTGAAGAAATTTGGACAGAATCAAGGGCCACTCAAAAAATGCTTGCATGAACACAGTGTAACATGCTTATGAAACCGACCCAATAGATCCACACACAGACTTCTTTTTTTTCTTTAAACATGGAAATCGACTCTTCTGGTTGTTTCGTTGTTGTTGTTTTTATTTCGTTTTGTTTTTGTTTTTGATGAAGTCTCATTATGTTGCCCAGGCTGGAGTGTGGGGGCACAATCTCGGCTCACTGCAACCTCTACCTCCCGGGTTCAAGCCATTCTCCTGTCTCAGCCTCCCAAGTAGCTGGGATTATAGGTGTGCGCCACCACGCCCAGCTAATTTTTGTATTTTAGGTAGAGACGGGGTTTCACCATGTTGGCCAGGCTGGTCTCGAACTCCTGACTTCAAGTGACCTGCCCACCTCAGCCTCCCAAAGTGCTGGGATTACAGGCATGAGCCACCATGTCTGGCCGCTTCTGGTCTTAAAGCTTGAAACTTACATTTGTTTTGTCTGAGTTCCTTCCTCAGAAAACATCTTCAGACCTCTCAAAAAATAAAAAATAAATTTAAAAAAAAAACTATCAAAGAACTGAAACTCACAAGATCACCACATCAGAACAATGAGGTATGGGACCCCTCATTTATCATGATTGCTTCCTTGCCCCTTCCTGTTTTCTTATACATTGTTACATTTCTTCCCTGTTATGTAAACCCCTAGATTTAGTCAGTCAGGGAGATGGATTTGAGCCTGAGCTCCCATCTCCTTGGCTGCAGCACCTGATTAAAGCCTTCTTCCTTGGCAGTAGTCATTGTCCCAGTCATTGGCTTTCTGTGTGGTGAGCAGCAGGACCAAGACTGAACCCCTGGTATTTTGGTAACACTTAGATTTTTTAAATTATTTTTAAAAATCAGTTATTGTTATGTTCCAGGTCTTACCTCATTCAATGCTCAGAACCACCCTATGAGATAGGTACTGTCATTATTATTATTTTGATACATGGTCTCATTCTGTCACCCTGGCTGGAATGCAGTGGTGCAATCTCAGCTCACTGCAGCCTGGATCTCCAGGGCTCAAGTAATCCTTTCATCTCAGCCTCCCGAGTAGCTGGGACCACAGGTGCATGCCACCACACCCAGCTAAATTTTATATTTTTTGTAGGAATGGGGTCACACTGTGTCCGGAATTTATTCCTTCCAGTGGGTTCTTGGTCTCTCTGACTTCAAGAATGAAGCTGCGGACCCTCGCAGTGAGTGTTACATCTCTCAAAGATGGTGTGTCCAGAGTTTGTTCCTTCAGATGTTCAGATGTGTCCAGAGTTTCTTCCTTCCGGTGAGTTCGTGGTCTTGCTAACTTCAGGAGTGAAGCCGCAGACCTTCGCAGTGAGTGTTATAGCCCTTAAAGGTGGCGTGTCCAGAGTTGTTTGTTCCTCCCGGTGGGTTCGTGGTCTCGTTGACTTCAGGAATGAAGCTGCAGACCCTCACAGTGAGTGTTACAGCTTGTAAAGATAGTGTGGACCCATAGAGTGAGCAGCAGCAAGATTTACTGTGAAGAGTGAAAGAACAAAGCTTCCACAGTGTGGAAGGGGACCCGAGCAGGTTGCAGCTGCTGGCTGGGGTAGCCAGCTTTTATTCCCTTATTTGTCTGCACCCATGTCTTGCTGATTGGTCCATCTTACAGAGTGCTGATTGGTGCATTTTTACAGAGTGCTGATCGGTGCATTTACAATCCTTTAACTAGACACAGAGTGCTGACTGGTGCATTTTTATAGAGTGCTTATTGGTGCATTTACAATCCTTTAGCTAGACACAGAGCGCTGATTGGTGCATTTTTACAGAGTGCTGATTGATGCATCTACAATCCTTTAACTAGACACAGAGTGCTGATTGGTGCATTTACAATCCTTTAGCTAGACACAGAGCGCTGATTGGTGCATTTTTATAGAGTGCTTATTGGTGCATTTACAATCCTTTAGCTAGACACAGAGCGCTGATTGGTGCATTTTTACAGAGTGCTGGTTGGTGCATTTACAATCCTCTAGCTAGACAGAAAAGTTCTCCAAGTCCCCACTCGACCCACAAGTCCAGCTGGCTCCACCTCTCAACATGATGTTGCCCAGGCTGGTCCTGAACTCCTGTACTTAAGTGATCCACTGGCCTCAGGCTCCCAAAGTGCTGGGATTACAGGTGTGAGCCACCAAACACAGCTGGTACTATTATTAGCCCCATTTGATGAGTGAAAAAAATAGAGACAACAGAGAGGGCTGACAACTTTCCCAACATCACACAGCCAGGAAATGCTGGCGGCAAGTTTCAAAGTCTTTTCTATCCAAACTCCACAGCTTGCAGGTCTTAACTGCTGCATATGTAGACTTTCTGCTCGAGATAAAGACAACTGGACTTGGAATTAAAACACATGGTTGAATCACTGTTCTTTACCACTGAGTAAACTGATCATGGGAAAGTCCCCTGGTTTTATCCATTTCTTGATAAAAAACTGAAGTCTGGGGAGAGTATGAATTTTTTTGTTTTGTTTTAGAGACAGGGTCTCACTCTATTGCATAGGCTGGAGTGCAGTTGTGTGACCATAGCTCCCTGCAGTCTCTAACTCCTGGGCTCAAGTGATCTGAGTTGCTGGGGCTACAGGCATGTGCCACCATGCCTGGCTAATTTATTTGTTTTAGAGATGAGGTCTCAGTATGTTGCCCAGGCTGGTCTCAAACTTCTGGCCTTAAGCAATCCTCTCACTTCAGCCTCCCAAGTTGTTGGGATTACAGGGGCAATCCACCATGTCTGGGAAAAGTATGAATCTTAACTCCACTGAGAGCACTCTCACCGGGTTGTGTGTCATATCCAATAATGGGTGTGAAAGTGCTCGGCAAACTGTAAAACAAGGTACACCCATATTAAGGGTGTGTTGACAAAGTTGAAGCTGATGATGATGATGGCCAGGAAACAATCAGTCAGGGACTATAGGGTTCTCATCAAATTTGGGGGTTGCTTTATTTTTTTCTCCTTTCTTACTTTTAGCCCCAGGGACCATATTCATTCAATAGATATTGAATACCTACTATGTGCCAGGCACCATCCTAGGCACTGGGGATTCAACAACAGACAACAGAACAGAGCAAAGTCCCTGCCCTCTGGGAGCCCACATTGTAGAGACAAGACACACATGCATCTATAATGTGTCAGGCAGGGACGAGTGCTTTGGAAAATAATAAAGCAGAAGCCGGGTGTGGTGGCTCATGCCTGTAATTGCAGGCTCCCACCAAGGTGGGAGGATCACTTGAGGCCAGGAGTTCAAGACCAGCCTAGGCAACATAATGAGACCCTGTCTCTACTAAAAATTTTTAGAAGTTAGCCAGGCATAGTGGTGCACGTCTGTAGTCCCAGCTACTCAGGAGGCTGAGGCAGGAGGATCACTTAAGGCCAGGAGGTCAAGGTTGCAGTGAGCTAGGATTGTGCCACAACACTCTAGCATGGGCAATTTCAGGGGTCCCTGAAGTCCCCTCCTTTTCCAGAATACCTAATGATTATTCCACCCCCTAATTAAAGAAACACCAAATAAAATTAGAAACCCAAACTCTGTTTGCGTGACTCGTTCTCACGAGCATGCACCCACTTCTCTCTTAAGTGCAGACTTTTGCTTTCCAATAAAAGCTTCTTGCATTTCACTTCATTCTGACTCACCTGTGAATTCTTTCTTGTGATGATGTCAAGAATCTGGGGACCGGCTGTGGCTGGGGTCTCGTTGGCATCCAGAAACCCTCCTGAGCCCTCTTGTGACACCAGGATTTGCCGACAGAGCAAATGTGAGGAGAGGCATCAGAATTTCTCTAAGACTTCTGAGCTGAGCAACCATCTAGAAGGTTGGAGCTGCTTTATTTGGTGGGGAATGTTAGGGAAACCAGCCCCACACCACCCAGTGGGTACCCTGAGTCTGGTGGAGACATAGGAGTTAGAAAGAGACAGAATAAGCATTTAAAAGGCGGGTTCAGGGGACCAGAATATCGGAGGCTTGCTCACGGCCCAGAGCTCTTGAGCTCTGCCAAATTTACTGGTTTACAAGCTCTTTGTTCTTAGGGCAGATGGGAGGGGGAGGAAGGGATGAGGAAAAGGATTAATCAGTGAAGGAGAACTCGTGAGTCATTCCATAAGATGTGTAGCAGTGGCGGTTTCTGTGAATTTCCTTGAGCAAAGGCGTGTGTCTAAACTACTTAAGATCTTTAGCTTATCAGGACTGAAATGGGTGGGAGCGGGTTTAAGGAGGAGCCAAGATGTTTGATTATACTCCACTGCTTCAAGGGAGTGTTGTCTCCCTGAGCAACCTGTGGAATGCTGCTGAGTGGTTATGCTCTTGGGGCATAAAGACATGAAAGCAATAAGGAGACTTTTCTCCCCAGAGGCTGCCCATGGCTTCCCATGGGTGTCTCACACAGGGGAGACCAACTCAACTGGCACCCCAGAAACACTTTCCCACATGTTCCCCTTTTTTGCCTCTATTGATTTTTTTTTATTAATAACTGCCATTGCTATTATGGCTCATTCATGGTGTCTGGTTTCTCTCCCAAGGCACCATCTGCATCTGTAGACTAAAAACAAGCAACATAAACAGACACAAACCAAAATAAAATTTGCAATTGTTGATCCACCTATGGTTTCAATCCACTTTAAAGGATTGGTATTAGAAAGGCCATCAGAGGCTCCAGCAAGAATATCAGCTCCAGGCAATAGGGTGAGATGAGCCTGAGATGCCTCAAAAACTTGTTTTTTCAGTTTAGCAATATCTAATGTTAAATTATCTTTTTTTCCTTGTAGGTGACGTCTAATCGTCTCTCACTGGTGTTCAATGGCATTATAAGAGCTAGGAGTAAAACAAAAATCGGAAGTATTCCAGTCACATTGTTTTTGAATTCTATGCTCCAAGCTCATAATCCAATCTCCCATCCAAATTACTGTTTGACAGAGATCATTAATTTGATTTGCCAATTTTTGACCTATTTGGCTTTGGGAATTCCAAAGCTTAGAAGAATTTTTCTGCCAACTATCCACAAAGCCCGCTGTTTGAATAGAAGAGTGCAAAGCAACACCAGCAGCAGCAGCAGTAGCTGTGACAGCTATAAGGCCCATGATCACAGCTATTAAAGTAAATATGAATCTCTTTGATCTATTAAGTATTCCTTTTAGTACTTCCGTGATAATATGTATGGAGGGAGAGGCCTCCCAAGGTCTATTGAGGGAAACAGTTATTCAAACTCCTTGGGCCCTAACCGGTAAAATGCTATTATCTTTATTAAAGGTAGAATTAATGCAGGTAAAAAGATGACAGTTGAGGCATGATATGGTTTGAGAGTCAGTTAGGATATTAATTTTTCCCACTGCCAACATAAAAGGAGGTTTAACAAAACTCTGCAATGGGAATGTCTGATTAGAGGTCATGGCTACGACAAATCAAAGTTTTTTTTACTAAGGGTCTTTGTTTTATATTCTCCTTTCCAAATCCGAATTGGGGTTTGAGCCATCATTAATTTCCACAATTCTAGATGTTCTGGACTTATAATTGGATCAATCATTTTTGGGCTTGAAAGAGCCATACCGTTCTCCTCCCACTTAATAGGTTAATTTGTTTTAATTCTTCTATATAATTTTGGTGCATTATCTGGGTAGTTGTTTGCAAAAGGAGTCTCTCTACCATCTTCGCACTGTCCAGTACAATTTACTGCAAAGCGTCCCATAGGGGCCCAATCAATGACGATTCCATAGGAATTACTTTGCAGTACAGCAGTGCTGTTTGCAATACAATCTTCCCAGGTTAGCACCTCTAGCTTTCCAGACCATTTAGTGGCCTTCCTAGGGCAGGGCTTCTTATTAGGTTTATATTTATTAATCTG